>NC_000006.12:24908484-25211515 GCF_000001405.40 Homo sapiens
ATAATCTGTGAATTAACACAAAGTGTAACAGAGAAGTGTCTTGGTTATACTTAGAAGTGGGCATGTAGTTGGTATCACAGTTGGGCTGTGGGGTTTTATCGTAGTAGGGATGTTTCCACTTTAGTGACCTCAGATTTAGGGAAGGACATTTGGCAGTGATTAGCAGGGCCCCAGGTCAATGGGTATGAATACTAAAGAGAAGAATTTTTATGAGAGTTTAGCTAACAAGATCCACAGATATAAATATCTCCCTCCACCCGCCCCCAGCCTCCTTGGCTTCTCCAGGTCAACCTTGGGTGGGTCCCTTCTCTGCTGGAAATAACTTCACTTTGCAGTTAACAAAAGGAAGGAGAGCCATTTCTGGAATTGTGTTTGTGTAATCAGAATTCTATGCAACTCCCTAGCGCATGCTTTCGGTTTTCTTTCTCTGTAGCTTGGTATTTCTTTTTATTTATACTGAGGATAAAATATTCAAAGCGAAATCTCACATTAGAGTGTCAGAGGAAGAGAGAAGCAACAGCAATTGGGGGGTCCTTTGGAAAAGCAACATATGCAGTATGTTTTTGCTAAACAGATTCTCCAATGTTCAAGTTTTCAGATGTTTGGATGCAGTAAATTTTTGGACAGGCAGATGCATTATCTTCCTGGGGGAAAGGACACAATTTGACACTATTGCAACTGAAGGGGAAGCTAGCACAGAAAGCTAATCCTGAGTGCTGGGAGATGGGGGCTTCAGATAGGGGAGTTCCTCAAGCTGCTGTTACCCTAAGTTGGTACATCCCTGCAGTTTGTTCCTACAGAAGGATAACTACTGATGCTTCCTAATTAACCACTGGAGAATAGCCATGATGGTGCTGGTTCTCGGAGAGTTCGTGGCTGACATCCCCTGCTTGTGACAGCAGCTAAAATACAATTTGAGGAAAGTAGATGGTGTGAGTGGGCAAGCTCAGAGGCTGGTCCAAAATGGCTGGAGGAGCAAGGGGAAGAGGGGAATTGAGTGAGTGGGAATACCCGGGTAGGGGAGGGAAGGAGGTGGGTACACTCTCAGAGCAAGACAGACCCGATAGAAAACAAAAGGGAAGAAATGATTGTGTGTCAGCTAACAATCGAGCAGACGCTCACACAGGATGCCCAGTCCCATAGAGATGGCCAAGTACAATTTCTTCAGAATGGGGGCAGTGATTAGTCACAATCCTAGACCTTCTACCAAGCGTGTGGACGTAAGAGGGTAGGAAGTGGGGAGCAGGGAGGAAACAGCCCCAACATATATTTTATCATAACTGTTTTCCCAGATTAAAAGCTTGAACATTTTTCCTCAGTCACTCAAGCAACATGTAGGTATCTCCAAGACAGGGACCTACGAGCCTACCAATCTCACTCTGCGCCACCCCCATCCCAGCAGAATCAGCCCGGTTCTCCTGCTTTTCCACTTGCTCTCTCGCTCTCCAGGGAGCTGTCACTTCTCACAGCGCCTCTGCCACCTTAGCACCTGATGACTTCTGCTTATCTAATTTCAAAATGCACCTACTCCCTTCGAACGTGAGGGGTCTCTATCTGCTGCCCACTGCCCTGTAAGAGGGAGCTAGAAGGTTATCGTCTCGGGCAAGAGAGCTGCACATGCTCCGCTTGACCAGCCCCCTCCCATGCCACGGACTCCTGCTAGGGTGCTCCTGTCCTCAGGTGCATCCCCTCCCCCCATCTTTCCAGACACAGATCGGCATCAAAGCAACACATTTTTTCCTTTCTTGCCCCTCTTCCCAATTCTCATCCTCCCATTCCACCTGGCCAATTTGGAATTCAGACACGGTGAGGAACGAGCTGGTTCATAGTCCAGCTCAAACGGGCAGCCCGGGGGCAAATGAAGACCCTTGAGACTGCCATCCCAGCCCTGAGCTGGATTCCCCATAGGCTCTGCGAGTGCCGAAGTCGTTCCGTGCCAGGGGGCCACCCAGGACTCCCATCTGGGGGCGCTCGCACACACACCCCTCCCTGACTCCCGGGGCCCGGCGCTTCCTCGCCCCAGAAATGTCCCAACCCCGGGCAATGCTGTGGGCCCCTCTAACCTTGGCCCGTTCCTCCACTCCCCAGGGCATCCTTCAGTTCTGCTTGCAAAAAGTGCGCGTGCCCCTTTCGCTCAGCAACTTCCCGACCGTACCCTGTGGGCTTCAGATGCCCGAACCCACCAGGGTGGTGGAAGCTGAGGACGCTCCAGTTTCAACGGCTGCTTAGCATTCAACGCTCATTCAAGTCGAGGACACCCCTCCCCACACAGACCTCACCGCGTTGTACGCAAAATCAGAAGCAAAAAAGGAGAAATGAAAAGGTGAACCTACCTAACGACGACGGCTCCTTGTCATGTCAGGGGCACACTCAGGGTTCTCTGGCATATAAAAGCCTCCGCACCAATGCAATGCCCGGAGCTGCCCGCACCTCCGGCTTTGCAGACAGCCTGAGCTGGCTCACTTGGGTGAAGGGGACCCCGGGAGGAAGTCGGGTGGACGCGAGCTGTCCCCAGCGCCGGCTGCCCTGCCGCGTCCGCTCGCAGCAGCTGCGGCGCGCGGGGTGAAGTTGCGGGGCTGGCGGGCGCGAGGGTGGCGGAGCGCGGAGCTAGAGCGGCGGAGCGGGCGGAGGGGCGGGAGCCGTGAGGAGGGGGAGGCGCGGCGCGGGGGCCGGCGGCGTCACTTGTGCTGGGAGGGGAGGGCGGGTGGAGACAGCTGCTTGACAGCTACTTCAGCCCAACTCCAGGAGGCTGCGCTTCGGTGCCTGCTTCCAGCTGATCGCCGGCACGCCAGGCTCCTTTGCAAGAGCTGGCGCGGCAGCTTTGGAGTGACCCGTGGAATCGCGCCGGGGAGCGAGCCCGGTGGATCCAGCGCGCTGGAGGGAGAGGGCAGAGGAAAGGAGCCGAGGCAAGGAAAGGCCCTTTCAGCTAACCTTTTGGGATCTTTCATACAAGCTGGGCTGTGCATTGAAAAAAATGAGGCGGTGGTGTATGGGGTGGGGGCGGTGTGAGGGTGAGGTTGGCTGCCCACGGCAAGGGTTGTGCTGGAAAGCCCCGCTGAAGAGGGCTGCTTTGTAGGGCACTCTCTCTACCGGGGCTGCTTTGGACACAGCTCTCATAAAGATGGCAGAAAGAGAATTGTTTTTTATTTTGTTCTGGTGGATTTGAATGATAAAGGTTTCCTGTGGGGAAAGCATGGGTCTGCCTGATAGACAGACATTCCCAAAAAAGGGCCTTTTGGAGTGGAAACTGTATGGAACTGGGAGTCGACAAGGACCCAGGGAAAAGGTCCTGACTCAGTCTCCATCCTTACATAGGGATTCCCTGCTATGCCTCAGTCTCCTCATCTGTTAAGTGATCATAATGAATAAATTGTGTATTTAGAATATGTTAACTAGAATAGTACCACAAGACACATCCACTCCCTCCCACACCACTTGAGATTCAGTCACCTTGTGAAAGGATCAGTAATAATCAGTGAGCTGAGACATTAGCCGAAAGGGAACATCCTAGGAGACATGTCAACATGGGAAACACCCACATCCAGTCGTGGTCTGGGCACTGCATCCTCGGGCTGGAATACAAGCAGCCAGAACCATCGCCTGATAAACTGTGTCATAACTCACCTAGGAATACAACAGAAAGGGCAAAATCGGCTTGATCCCCAGAAAGAACGCCCAAGAGCATGCCTTTACTAGACTGTGAGTTCATAGGGCAGGGACCATCTCTGTCTGATATAAGCTGTCCCCAGCACAGAGCAGGCACTCCATAGCTACATATTGAATGAAAGATGGATCACCCAGTCATTCTGAAGCACCCCTTCACTCTTACATTGATCCTTTTATTTCCCTTGCCAACCCCACCCTGCAACTTATCTGCAACCACATAGCTTTTGCTCATTTCCAAATGGCCACATCTATTCATTAGGATCCAGTTTAAATACCTTAATCTGCATCCATTTTTCCAAGATCCCTTGCCCCCCCCCTTTTTTTTTTGCCCTTTCATTTCAGAGCTTTTATAGCACCTTAGTTTACTCTCCAGATGCCTACACCTTCCACCTTGTATCATGACTATTTGTGTAGAGATGGATGGTTCCAAACATTTCTCTATTTACTGGAGTCTGGAGAAAGAGACCTGGAAAGAAGTACAAATATGCAGTAGAAGTTTGGGGAGAACTGAGTAAAGCGCTACTACGGATTAGCACAGTACTAATGGTCTCATAGGACGAATCTGGAGGGAGAAGGGCCTGACATCCACCCTGGAGAGAAGCCAACTGTATTTCCCCACCTTCCCACTCCCATCACCTTCCTGACTCAGGAATGGCACTGTTGTAAGTGACATATAACCTTTTATGAGAGGGAGGAGGAAGAGGATGAAAAGAGAGATGAGGCAGATGATGTTAGGTACTTTATAGATATTATCCCACTGAAGCCTGTCATCTCTTTCCCATAGCTGCCTCCACTTAAAAGATAAGACTACTGATACTCTGAGAAGATGAACAAGTAACTTCCTGATGATCACAAAGATGAAGCTAGTGTTGAAAGTCAGATGTGATTCCAAATCAAGTGCTCTTTTTACTACAGCACATTCCACTCCCACCCCCAACTTACCCTATTGGGCTGAGGGGTATCTTGCTGAGGTTTGGGCATGACTGTGGGCATGACTTGAGTGTGTGTGTGTGTGTGTGTGTGTGTGTATGTGCACATACAGAGCAGAGACCAGAAAGAAGCATGGAGTGGCTCCCCAAGCTGCTGCCTTTAGAGATTCCATGAGGTTGCCCCACTCACCGCTGTGGATTTAGGACTGAAGCTCTAAACAGGAATGAAGAGGGCACAGTGGGCTGCATCTCCCCTTGAGGGAGCTTCCTTAGGAAGGGAGCAGAACGTGTGGAGTATGGAAGGTGAAGGGCCAACACAGGCCTGAACTGACTGCATTAGACTGGAAGCTCTGGCAATTGGGATCTGTCCTGGGTGACTTTGTAGACCCCACAGTTCCTCCCACAGAGTACCTCCAGAGAACAGGTACATGTGTGACTGAGGGACCAGGCAGCACAGATCTAAACAACCACGACACACTGTGTATTGGATTGCCTGGTCCAAATCCCAGAGATTAAGGTCATATAACCAAATAAAAAGCCCACACCAGGTCTCCTAGAGCTTAGTCTAAAGGTCTTCACACCGCCTCTCCAATCACTGCTCCTGTGTGGTCACCAAAGTCTTCATTCTTGGGTAGTTAATTTCTGCTTGCGCCCATTCTCTCTCTTATAATGCTGTTCACTTCCTTTTAGGTTCTTACTATCCCTTAGGCAGGATTCTTTATCCCCAAAACTTCACTGAGCAGAGCACTCAGATATCTCGGCTGGGTCCTTTTAACCTCATCCAGGGAAACAGTGAAGCCTAGAGCTTGACAGGCATTGGGGGTGGGTATCCTCACCCCCACCCATGAGACACTTGCATTGCTCTTTCAGGCCAATGAAAAGGAATGGTTCTTTCCAAAGAAGAAATCGTTTAATACAAGTCAGGGTATTTTCCCCCCTCACATATAAATTTTAAATTGAATACACCCCTAATGGCCGGGCATGGTGGCTCATGCCTATAATCCCAGCACTTTGGGAGGCCGAGGTGGGTGGATCACTTGAGGCCAGGAGTTTGAGACCAGCCTGGCCAAAATGGCGAAACGCTGTCTCTATTAAAAATGCAAAAAATTAGCCGGGCGTGGTGGCAGGTGCCTGTAATCCCAGCTACTCAGGAGGGTAAGGTGGGAGGATCACTTCAACCCAAGAGGCGGAGGTTGCAGTGAGCCGAGATTACGTCACTGCGCCTCCAGCCTGGGTGTCAAACAACAACAACAACAACAACAACCAAAACAAAACAAAACAAAAAAGACCCCAAGTAGTAATAATAGCTATTATTTCAAGAAGTAATTGAGTGCAACCCAGGTGCCAGGCACTCTGCTAAGGGCCGGAGGTAAGCCCAGTAGTTGTGAAACCTGCCTTGTAGAGCCTGGCGATGAGGACAGTTGTAAATAAGTGGGATGGTGAATTACGAAGGAGGCAGCACTATGGGTGCTATAGGAACTGTGATTATTTTTTATACCATAAAACAAAGTGTTTGAACTTCAGCAGCACTGAAAATGGCCTCTTTTAATAACTGAACTGTATCCCATTCTCCTCTCATGAGAACTTTTTAAGCCAGTGTGTGGTTGAAGAACGGACTCAGCCAAACAAGTCTTATGGTTCTTACTGCCATCGATCAATCCTAGTAAATACACAATTCATCAGAAGAAAGCAGAACAGCAGCCAAAATGCAACCAATTTAATTCCCTGACTTACAGCTTCACATATGTAATAAAGAACTTAGACCATGCCTGAAGAACCACTGCCGTTATGAAGTGAAGTCGGTGCTCTAGGTCTAATCAGAAGGTCACTTAAAGATTTGGTTGTACCTACCGACCCTTATCTATCTATCTGTCTATCACATAATTTTTTCTGCATTCCCTGCAGAAATAAAAAACCATAGTTCTGTAACTACCTGTGTCTATTGTTCTGGTGAATTTGGCTTCTATTCTTACAGGTGACTAGTCCTAGAGACAAGTAAGCAGATACAACAGAGGTCTAATTTCTCTTTATAACTGTGATGCTTCTTATCCATAGGAACAGCAGATCTAACAGCCTTGAAGGTCTTTACTCTTATGACCTTTCTGTATAGGCACTTGGCCACCCAGATCCAGGGCCAAAATATGGCTTGGAATGCTGCCAGTTCTAAGAGTTTTGCACTCCTTTCTAATAGTATAATCTTTTGGCCTCCACATTGCTCACGTCTATTGAATTCTTCATTTGCTGCTCTGACCAATCTTTCTCCCTCTGTCTGTACTTTTTTTTTTTTTTTTTTGAGATGGAGTCTCGCTCTGTCACCCAGGCTGGAGTGCAGTGGCACGATCTCAGCTCACTGCAACCTCCACCTCCTGGGTTCAAGTGATTCTCCTGCCTCACCTTCCCAAGTAGCTGGGATTACGTGGGATTACAGGCACCCGCCACCACTCCCAACTAATTTTTGTATTTTTAGTAGAGATGGGGTTTCACCAGGTTGGCCAGGCTGGTCTCAAACTCCTGACCTCGTGATCCACCTGCCTCGGCCTCCCGAAGTGCTAGGATTACAGGTGTGAACCACCGTGCCTGGCCCCCGTCTCTCTGTATTTTTGATTTTCCAGCTTATGAAGTGCATAAGAATCACCCTGGGAAGGAATTTAACATGCAGATTTTTAGGTCCCCCTCCTTACACAGTGTCGTTTTAACAAGCACACTGATGGTTCTGGCACAGTCATCTCAGAATGCACTTCAGGAAACACTGGTCTGAACCAAGTCCAAATAGGCATCCAGCTCCCTTGGCACTGCAGTTGGTTCCAGAAGCCTTCC
Source organism: Homo sapiens (assembly GCF_000001405.40). Classification (NCBI taxonomy): domain Eukaryota; kingdom Metazoa; phylum Chordata; class Mammalia; order Primates; family Hominidae; genus Homo; species Homo sapiens. The sequence continues at coordinate 24,915,897 of NC_000006.12, forward strand.
CAGCTGCATCCCCGCCACTCTGCCATGCAGGCTCTCAGCTCTGGCTCTTCTCACCCTGCATCCAGGGAAGAGTCTTGGAAAAAGTGCTGGACTCAGAGTCGATGCCTGGGTTCTATTTTAGTGTTGCCAGTAGAGAACTCAGTGGCCTTTGTGGACCTATGTCCTCATCTATCAAACGAAGGGTTTGGACAACCTGATCACCAAAGCTTCTTTTGGCTCTAACATTTGACAATTCCTGCTTCCACCTTTTTCCTCAGGCCATTCCTACTGCCTGAAAATTCTCTGCTGAGCCCTTGCCTCACTTTTCCTCCTACCTTTAATATTTGGCTCTAAAAATCCTGCCTGGCCCATGAAGCCCTGTTCAAACATTACCTCCTTCATGACACTTTCCTTGGTCATCTGTGCTGTACCTGAGTCCTCTTGTAAGTCATCTGTCCCCTGAGTGCAGACTCAATCACACATCTTCCATTTGTTGTAGCTATTTAATACACTTCTCCTCATTGGTTTATAAGCTCTGCGATGTCAGGAACTATGTTTTGTGCTGCATATAGGATAGTAACCTCTATATTAATGAGTGTAGAGGATAGCCAATAAATATTGACTAAACGAGAAATGAGAGCATACACTATCCCTGCTGGTTTCTGCCACCTTTTTCCCTGGAAAAAGAACATAACAAGCCTGCATTTATTGGTGTCTGAACTGTACCTATAGAAGCATATTTCAACCCGACAAGTGACAGCTGGGTCTTGCTCACCGCTTTCTGAACTGCTAAGAGAAAGACCCTGTTATCCTTTGCCCGTGTCTGGCACCCATGATAAGGTTCTCAAGGGAGTGGACATCTTAGGCTATTTCCTTGCCATTGTCACACATATCTGCTTGCACAATGAGAAACTTGTTTGGCCAACACTCTTGACATTTTAGTATGTCCCAAGAATGAATGTCCCGGAGGTTCAGAAGTCAGTCCCCTGTACTTGGGCAAATTATCTTAAGCCTAAACCTCCTCTCCACCCCCACTTCTAGCTTCCACACCAAGTGACCTGTAAGGCTGCATAGGTAGACAACAATCAGTGAAATGTTCAAAGTTGATGGGAAATAAAATATTCTCTAAATATAGCAGTCTCCTTCTCTCCAGAAACTTGAGATTGGATTTCTCATATATTATTATTATATTACATATTTACATATAGAGATCATTTTCTGCAATAATATAATCTAGGCCAACAGTTCCCCCGGCCCTTTTCTTGGTTTCAAGATCCATTGATACAATACCATAATCTAGAATAGCCTTTTTGAATTTTTGGTCCCAAGACCATTTTATGCTTTTAAAAAATATTGAGGACTTTGGGGACCCCTTGAAAGGGTCCTGGGAAACCTCATGAGTCTTTAGTTCACATTTTGAGAATCAGTGATCTAGATGGACAAAAATGTTGGCAAAATGTTAACTTTACAAATTCGTATAGTTCTAAACGCCATAGGCTGAAAGTAAATGGCATACATTTAATCAATATGTATTATTGCACAAAGGTATTAAAATAAGTATAACATGATTCAAAGCAGTTGTAGAAGTGATTGGAAAGTATCAATATCTACGTGTAAGCACAATGCTAAGTACTTGATATGTAGTAGGCTTTTTTTTCTTTCTTTTTTTCTTGAGACGGAGTCTTGCTCTGTCACCCAGGCTGGAGTGCAATGGCGCGATCTTGCCTCACTGCAACCTCCGCCTCCCGGGTTCAAGTGATTCTCCTGCCTCAGCCTCCCGTGTAGCTGGGATTACAGGCGCGTACCACCAGGCCTGGCTAATGTTTTGTATTTTTAGTAGAGACGAGGTTTCAACATGTTGGCCAGGCTGGTCTCGAACCCCTGACCTTGTGTTCTGCCCGCATCAGCCTCCCAAAGTGCTGGGATTATAGGCGTGAGCCACCACGCCCAGCTGTAGTAGGCTTTTTTAAAGGTTCTAAGTTGACTTTCACTTCACAATATCTTTCCTTTTTCTCTCATGATCAGGGGAAACATTAAAAAAAGAGACGTATCTGTAAAGGTCTTCCAAGGTGATTTATTTATTCTGTGTCCCTGGGTCTGATGCAGTCCCTGGTTTGCAGGTTATCCCATGTTGCCCCTTTCTGTCCATCTCCATCTTCTGTCTCCTGGAGGGCTCACCTGTAGGGACCACGTCAGTGGCCGCCCTGTGATGTCCAGGTGGGTCTAGCCAATGGGGATCCCCAACAGGAGATGAAAGTGAGGTGGGAATATGCATTCCCTGGCTCCTCCCTATGAGGTCACCTTGGGCCCCAGTATCCCCTGCATCCCCATCCCCCTTGTAACTCGTCTCATTGTAAATAAGCTTCCTTGAATTATTCTAACATGAGGGAGCCGTCAGCTTCCTGACATTGGCTTGATTGATAATCATTAATCATTACCTATTATTGAAAAATTTAAAGTATCTGCTTTTATCCAGTCATTCATATTTTAAAAATATTTCTTCTTCAGGTAGCTCCTTTAATTTAATTTAATTTTCATTTCTCTTTCCATTGTAGGCCAGTGATGTTATTGCATGTAATCCTGTTTAATTCTTTTCCAACTCCCTGCCCCCACCTATGCAAAGATCTTCCCAAAGTTTAGTTCCTCCCTAATTCATAAAGTTGGGACCATTAACTTCAGGAGCTACTTTTAGGAGGAATTACAGGCCCAGAAGCCCTATTGCTTAAAACTTTGTCACTGACTGTTAAACTTCAAAATCTTCATGGACATTATTTTGGAGCCTGATTTATATCTGGAACTGAGGTCTCAGTAAGGTTAAATGAGCTGTCACTACTACTCAGGCAAAGCTAGAGAAAGCTCTAGAGTCTCAAGGTAGCTTAAAACACAAGGGAACACACACCGAAGCCATAACTGAGGCTCCTCCTGGCTGTGCTCTATTCCTTTCTCTCATACTCCTGCTCCTAGGCTCTGAATCCAGCTGCATGCTAAAAAGGCCTGTGCCTCCTCTGTAAACCTGGAAACCATTAGATACCCTAGCTAGCTCCAGGGTCTAATGCCTCTTTCCTTCCTAAGTCACTCTTTCACAGCCTGCACCTCCCCCAACTAACACACATTTTATGCAAAATCAGGATACTGGATACAAGATTCATCCCCATGGGCCCAGCACAGTTTCACTTTGCAGAGGTGAAAGTGGAAATCCAACTCCTGCAGCACAGCTTGCTCAACCCACAAAGCCTTCTTTGGTAGCAGGAACCTGGCCCCACTGCCCCTCTTTCCTTCTCTGCTCACATAGAATCCACATCCCTGGCAGCTTTGGAGAGGAGCTGTGACAACAGGATAGAGTGCTGTCATCCTCCATAATTAGCCAGGCTAGCAAGACTGCTGTAATATCACTACGTTGACAGTGCTCTTGCACCTAATAAATTATTCACGCCACCGAAGTGTAATCGCTGTCACATTCAAAATAGGTCATTCATGCTAAGGCTGCTGGAGATGAAAATTTCACAGCAATGGTAACAAATCCAAGAGCTTTGGTTTAAGCAAATCTCCAAAGAAAGTGGCTTCTCCAAGCAATCCCATATTAAATATCTTTTATGGAATCCCGGCTATGTTTTCATTAGCAGCAGCAAGAAGAGACTGAAACAGCTGTCTGCTGGCAGGAGTGAGAGTTGGGGGATGGAAGGCTGTATTTCAGCCTCTTCCTTTCCTGACCCTCCCCCAAAAAGCCTCAAGGGGCTGCTTGAGGAAGATAAATGTGAACACCTGCTCTCGTTTGTTCTCTGCACACAAGACGATGGCTAAGTCACAATGAGGATAAGCCCTGTACATCTAGAAGAGCAAACGTACACAGGCCTCTCTGAGAAGTGCCTCTCAGCTGTGGGGTTTGCATTCACAGAGGAATTCAAGTTCAACAGCTGTAGGCCGTGTGCCCCTGCATTTCATATCCTAATTCACACACGTTTGAGCCTCTTCACCACTGAGAATACACTCGCCCTCTTGTCGGCAGTAGATACTATTCGACTCAAGTGCCTGGTGGAATACAAATATTGGACTGGTGATTTCGGTGTTTGGAGAGTTATTGGTGTTGTTACTATGTTATTTTAATGGTTTTTGAGGACTGTCTTACAGAAGGAAGAACAATTATTCCCCAGAATTAGAATAAAGAGAAGTGATTGAAGATATAACCTGTGGGATTTGAGTTAAAATAAAAGCAAATGTGGTGCCTACTAGCTATTGACTGTTAAATGGATGTGTGACTGATGGAGACAGATAAATCTCCTTTGGAGGGAAAAAGGGAGGGAGCTGAGCACTGGGGCTGATTGCTTGCCAGCCTTCTGTTAGGAACATAGACCAAACACCTCTTTAGGTCTCTTCCAGCTGAAATTCTATGAATGTATGGCCTTGGAGCAAAAGGGCAAGAAATGCAAGCATGTGAACTTGGTATGCATAGCACCAAATGCAGGAGAGCATGTGAAGATAAAGCATTCCCTGATGCATTCCCACAATTATCATGTTTACAGAACACTGCTTCCCAGGACATTAAGCTCTCAACTTCAAATATTCACCTCCAAGAAGCCAGCCCTTTCCCTCTGATCTTTCCTTAAATTGCCCTTTAGTGTTCTGAACAGTTTGCATTGTATTACTGAACTCATGGTCTTATGGAACACACCATATAGGTTATATAGCCCAATCCCTATAAGCTAGAGATAAATCTATGAATAATTTTCTATTATGTATATGCTGCTTTATAGGCAACATTTCAACAACTATTTCCTGAATGTTCGCTATTCTGAGTACTTAGAATGGGACTTCATGAAGTCATCCACAATTTATATGTATACTATAAACTTAACTGTCCAAAACTGGACTCCTGATTCCGCATCACAGCAATACCCTTCCTCACCTTAAGTCTACTCCTCCAGCAGCAGTCTTCATTTCAGTAAAGAGCAATGTTATCCTTCCAGATGCTTAGGCCAAAGCCCTGGAATCATCCTTGACCACTTTTTCCCATACCCCCAGTATTCAGCCAGTATCAGGCCAGGTAAGGATCCCATGAGCTCTTCTGGAATATGTCAGTAGTCTCCTAACCTACCTTTTCCCCTATTCCCCCATCTTTCTTTCCAAGACAACAGTCAGAATGATCCTTTTGTAAGGTAAATCAGATTGCATTACTTTGCTCAACACTGGCCAATGGCTCCCCATCTCATAGAGTAAAAACTCAAATCCTTACAGTAACCTATAAGGCTTTACAGGAGCTGAACTCCCCAAAACCTCTTAGATCTCTCTCTCTCTCTTTTTTTTTGAGGAGACAGAGTCTTGCTCTGTCACCCAGGCTGGAGTGCAGTGGCATGATCTCGGCTCACTGCAGCCTCTGCCTCCTGAGCACAAGCAGTTCTCCTGTCTCAGCCTCCTGAGTAGCTGGGACTATAGGCACGTGCCACCACACCCAGCTATTTTTTTTTTTTTTTAGTAGAGACGCTGTTTCACTATGTTGGCCAGGCCGGTCTCAAATACCTGATCTCAAGTGATCCTCCAACCTTGGTCTTCCAAAGTGCTAGCATTACAGGCGTGAGCCACCATGCCCAGCCTTAGATCTTCTACCATTCTCTGCCTTGCTCACATTGGTTTCCTTACTATTCCTGGAACACTCTCCCCAGACCTCCATATGTTCAGACCTTGACTTCAAACCTCTGGGCATTTGTCAGTAAAGTCTTCCCTGACCACCATGTCCTATTCTGCCCACCCTGCACTTAATTTTTTCCCATAACACTTATCGCCCCCCCCGACCCTGATGTACTGTATTTTTATAGGCTTGTCTATTGTCTGCCTCGCTTCTCTGCAATATAACTTCACAAGGCTGGGACTTTGTTATATTCACTGCTGTACCTGAGAGCCAGAACAGAACTGAACCAAGCATGTGGAAGACTTTCAATTGATATTCTTTCTTTCTTTCTTTCTTTTTTTTAAAATTTGAGACAGAGTCTCACTCTGTCGCCCAGGCTGGAGTGCAATGGCGCAATCTCGGCTCACTGCAACCTCCACCTCCTGGGTTCAAGCAATTCTCTTGCCTCAGCCTCCTGAGTAGCTGGGATTACAGATGTGTGCCACCACGCCCAGCTAAGTTTTGTATTTTTTAGTAGAGATGGAGTTTCACCATGTTGGCCAGGCTGGTCTCAAACTCCTGACCTCAAGTGATCCGTCCTCCTCGGCCTCCCAAAGTGCTGGGATTACAGGCATGAGCCACCACGCCTGGCTGATATTCTTTAAATGAATAATAATAAAAAAAACCTTATTTATATCCCTAAATAGCTCATAAGCTCCCAAGGGAGACACATCTTCTAATTATGCTATTCATCTCTAGAGGAGCCTCAGTAAGTGCTAATCTCAAAGTATTTTTGCAGAGTTCCTAAAACTGACGCCCAGCTAGGAAGAAATTAGTAGCAAGAATCCCATACGTAACTCTCACATACGCTGTTATAAAGGAAACAGTCTTTCTAAGATTGCATCAGATATGCTTAGCCTTGGTCAGCGTCAGCTGCCTAGAACCACTTCTATCTTTTGTGGAAATTCAGTTCCCTACTGTTAAATTTACCTGGCTCAAGAAAAAGCAACTGCTCTGTAGACCCTCAGGAATTGCCTGGTACTTTCCTGTTTTTTTTTGTACCCATTCTGAACTCTTTTTTTAAAAAAAATGTGGTAAGGGGCCAGGCACGGTGGCTCACGCCTGTAATCCCAGCACTTTGGGAGGCCGAGGCAGATGGATCATTTGAGGTTAGGAGTTCGAGACCAGCCTGGCCAATGTGGTGAAACCCTGTCTCTACCAAAAATACAAAAATTAGCCTGGTGTGTTGGCGTGCACCTGTAGTTCCAGCTACTCCAGGAGGCTGAGGCACAAGAATTGCTTGAACCAGGGAGGCAGAGGCTGCAGTGAGCCAAGATGGTGCCATCACACTACAGCCTGTGCAACAGAACAGGACAGTCTCAAAAAAAAAAAAAAAAAAAAAAAGGTAAAATACACATAACATAAAATGTACCATCTCAACTGTTTTTAAGTGTATAGTTCAGTAGTGTAAAGTACATTCATACCGTTCTGCACCAAACTCCAGAACTCTCTCATTTTGCAAACCTGAAACTCTATGCCCTTTAAAGCAATTCCCTGCTCTCTCCTCCCCCCAGCCTCTGGCAACCACCGTCTATTTATTGTTTCTATAAATTTGATTACTCTTGGTACTTCATAGAAGTGGATTCATACAGTATTTGTCTTTTATGGCTGACTTATTTCACTTAGCATAATGCCCTCAAGGTCCATGCATGTGGTAGCAGGTGTCAGCATTTCATTCTTCTTGCAGGCTGAATAATATTCCATTGTGTGTATATACTGTACTACATTTTGCATGGGTGGATACCTGATTTACTTCCACCTTTTGGCTATTGTGAACAATGCTGCTATGAATATGATATACAAGTATCTTTTCAAGATTCTGCTTTTAATTATTTTGGGTATATACCCAGAAGTGGAATTGTTGGATCACCTGGCAATTCTATTTTTAATTTTTTTTAGGAACTGCCATACTGTTTTTTGTAGTGGCTGTACCATTTTACATTCCCACCAAAAGTGGCCGAGAGTTTCCTAACTCTTTTCAATAGCAAGATTTTTCTCCCCCACAGCAAGTTAGAACTGCTCAGAGGCTGGGCGCGGCGGCTCACTCCTGTAATTCCAGCATTTTGGGAGGCTGAGGTGGGTAGATCACTTGAGGCCAGGAGTTTGAGACCAGTCTGGCCAACATGGTGAAATCCCCTCTCTACTAAAAATACAAAATATTAGCAGGGGACGTGATGGCGCATGCCTGTAGTTCCAGCTGCTTGGGAAGCTGAGGCATGAGAATCACTTGAATCTGGGAGGCAGAGGTTGCAGAGAGCCGAGATAGCACTACCGCACTCCAGCCTCAGCGACAGAGTAAGACTCTGTCTCAAAAAAATAAAATAAATAAATAAATAAATAAACAAATAAATGAAGAACTGCTCAGAAATGCCTCACAGAGCTCGACATTCCTGCCTCTTGTAATGCGTAGCAACCAGGAACCATGTGGCCCCTCTAAATGTGCATGGGTGTGTGTGGCAGTGCTTTTAGCGCTCTCCTGTCGTGTCTGTTTTGAAAAGGCTTTCTTGTTCTTGAATTAACATGCAGGCTGAGCAGACCCACGCTGGTCTGCTTTACAGACATGGGGCAGTGGGCAAGAGCCAGCACTGTTTTGGGATGATCAAAGCTCTGCTAATCCCATGTAATCTCCTAACGTAAGGTAATGCATTTCCAATTTGTGGTTTCTTTGGGATATGCTCCCTGAGGCCTGGCACCATCACTCCTTGGTAAATTGGGACTTGCGTGTGTGTAAAAGCCAAAAAGACAGCTTTGAGTCATGCTTGCCTATCACTCATTATCATGCATTATGGTTAGGTCTAAGGGCTTCAGATCTTGTGGATGTGTGAACTCGAAGCATCATATGGGGGAAAGAAGTCCCTTGAAATGTTGCAGAGGTGTAAATAGAAAAGACCCCTTGGACGCTTGCTGTGTGCTATCTTCTTTCACCTGATTTACTGTTGGGCTGAGAGAAAAGATCCTTAGTCTTACGGTGTTTCTCCTTTTATAGGATGTTGCCTTCTGTTCCCTCCCCAACCCAAGGCATTCTGTCTTAGCCACCAATTTTTCATCATCCTTCCAACTGGTATTACAGAGCAATGTAATATAATGACAGATATTCTCTTTAAAAGAGTATTAAAATAATCATAAGAAGGGATAAGTCCCTTCCTACATGGGGCTTTAATAATGATAAGACCCTCCCAGCAGACATGAAAAGGAAGAAAGAGATGATACAAAAGGGGAAGAGGAAGAGAGGATTACAAAACTCTCAATGACCTTAAGATTTGGAAGTTGATGACATAGACTAGAGTTGGCAGGCTTTTTCTGTAAAAAGCTAGATAAATAGTTTAGGCTTTGTGGGCCAAGTGATAAAAATGAGGAAATTTTATAAATATATATAACAAGAAAGAAAATAAAATTTCACATATTGTTATTGACAAAATTCAAAATATAATTGAGTACTCTAAAAAATGGTCTAGTAAGGAGAAGAATGGAATTCTTTTCCTTTGGGATAATGTTTTGCTTAATTGAGATTCTAGGTTAGTGATCCCTATCACCAAATTAACTGCAAATGTTCATCTGTAAAAAACCATTCTTATCTTGCAGGTAGTTGGCTGGATCTGGCCTGAGGCCATGACTTATCCGTTTCTGCCTAGACCAAGAGCAGTGCAGAAAGCCACTGACTCACTGTGTGCAGTTCTCAGTGTTACCTGGTGGGTCATAAAGGCATAAACACCTATCTTTCTGGGTGTATTATCAATATTAGGAAGACTCACGGGGCTATCTGTGTCTACTGCATTGTAGTCCTTGTTGTAAAGGACAAGCTGTGTTGTCTTTTTGCATAGGGCAGATGATGCTTCTGACCCACCATCAGTTGCCTTTCCAGAAGTGTAGAGAATTTAGGTTCAGGCTGGGCGCGGTGGGTCATGCCTGTAATCCCAGCACTTTGGGAAGCCGAGGTGGGTGGATCAGGAGGTCAAGAGATCGAGATCATCCTGGCTAACATGGTGAAACCCCGTCTCTATTAAAAATACAAAAATTAGCTGGGCGTGGTGGCACATGCCTGTAATCCCAACTACTCAGGAGGCTGAGGCAGGAGAATCGCTTGAACCCAGGAGGCGGAGGTTGCAGTGAACCAAGATTGCACCACTGTACTCCAGCCTGGTGACAGAGTGAGACTCCATCTCAAAAAAAAAAAAAAATTTGGTTCATCCATTCTTGGTCTATCCTGCTGCAGCTGGTACTGTTTTCAACCTAACCAACTAATTATGTGCCCTCTCATAACTTTTATGAGTGGCACTCAATAAATATTTGTTAATGAGCTCACAGAGGATTGATTCTATTCACTCTTTCTCTGTCCCATGTACATGTAGTATTATTATGAAGCAACTGAGCTAATGTTTGTCCTGTACATTTGTATAAAATTAATGTTTACACACAAATACACATAAACAGCTTATCTTTTTTTCAGGAAGTTTTACCACTGAAAATATTTTTAAAACAATGGAATCTAAAACAAAAACAAAACACCACTAGAGGGAACATTGTAGAGGCTTCATTTAAAAATCTTAATTGCTGTCCTAAAATACTTAATATATACAACATTAAAGTTTTCAGTGGGTGTTATCTTTAAATTAGAAATGTTTTAACAAATACAGAAAGTTCAGCTTTTCTCAGATTACGTTTTTAAAAGAACTCTGTAAAGTGGTGATGGGGGAGGCAGTGCCTCTGATGTGTTTACCACAAGTAAATATTTACTCAGGAAATAGGTCCTGCATACTGTTAAAGATACGGTTAAAGATATGATTTTCACCTCCAGCATTTCTGGAGGAGGCAAGGGGCCCCTCTACACAATAAAACTGCCATAGTACATGTTTCTCCCTTGGATACCCAGAGAATTTTCAGGCGGAGACCAGATTGATTAAAGCAATAGCACATGGGTAAGTAATCATGTATGTATTCTGTGCCAAGCAATGGGGTTATTCTCAGCCCTGCCTTGGTCACATGGTGGAGATCAGATAGCAATCAGGTTTGCTAATTCATGAGCCAGAGGTACCTCTATATTTTCAGGAAAGTGTTTGAGGTGAGCAGTCGCAATAGCTCTGCTTTAATCAACTGTGTCTTTTATTAAGCCAGCTCTTCCTAACAAAGGCCAGGAATAGAAGAGGGGAATTGTATAGACTTGGGGGGCTGAGACAGCTGAGAAAATCGCCGTTACATAATAACTGATATTTATGTAGTAAACCCTTATGGTTTTCAAGTATATCATACATTATCTCCCTTTAAACGCAGCAGTTTTTTGAGTGGTTAATCATCATCATCATCATCATCATCACCACCAACATCATCATCAGCAGCAGCATCATCAGCATCATCTTCACCATTACCATCATCACCACCACCATCATCATCACCACCACCACCATGATTATTATAATCATCATCTCACTACCACCACCACCACCACCACCACCACAACTACAATCACCACCACCATCACCACCACCACCATGATTATTATAATCATCATCTCACTACCACCACCACCACCACCACCACCACAACTACAATCACCACCACCATCACCACCACCACCATGATTATTATAATCATCATCTCACTACCACCACCACCACCACCACCACCACAACTACAATCACCACCACCATGACCACCACCACAACTACAAGCACCACCACCACCACTACCACCAGCACCACCACAACTACAATCACCACCACCACCACCACCACAGCTACAATCACCACCACCACCACCACCACCACCACCACAACTACAATCACTACCACCATCACCACCACCACCACCATCACCATCATCGTGAATATCATCATCATCACCTCACCACCACTACCATCACCACCACCACCACAACTATAACTATCACCACCATTATCACCACCACCATCATCAACATTATCATCATAATCATCATCACCATAACCACCACTACAACCATCACTACCATCACCATCATAACCAATACCACTACCACCACTATCATCATCATGATTATTATCATCATCACCTTACCACCACCACAATTATTATTATCTCTATAATCGCTACCACCACTATCATCACTACCACCAGTCCAACCACTACCGCCACCACCACCATCATCATCAGTATCATCATAATCATCATCACCATTACCACCACTACAACCACTACTACCATCACCTTTATTATCATCATTTTCACTGGAAAAAGGGAATTGAATCTTCTCAGGGGTTAGGTAATTTGCCTAAAGCCAAACAACTAGTAAGTTGAACTAGGTTTTATGAGTTCAAATATTTTGCTCATTCCACAGCATATATGTTACTTCCCCTCAGTTTGGAAGTCTGGAAGCTAAAAATCAAAGATTTAAAAACAACAATGGCTTCAGAATTTCTGTATGCAAAGTACCCAATACAGCAATATGGTTAGAAAAGGGGTCTGGGCCTTCTCTAGAAGCTGTTTGCAGAGCAACACGTGATTTTTTACTCAGATTGTAGAATGCAGACCACTCAAAACTGCAATGTTTTCTTTAAAAAGCTTTCTATTACGCTTTCTATTAAGATTAAAAATTTTAATTGATTTTTCAGTTTTTAGAGATGCTTGTGGAGATTAATAGGGGTGTGAGTCATGCCCTACCTCAAAAACATTCTTGGTATCCCTCAGCATATGAACCACAAGTTGAAGGAGAAGAGTTTGTTTTTCCTAATATTTTAGTCACGTAATTTATCTGAAGGCAGTTAAGAGAGTTAAGAGTGCCTTCTACAAATCATATCTGCTTATTTGAGTCTTTGGTATATTTTTTTAAATACCATTCTACTAGTGTATTTTGCTGTTATAAATAGAAAGAAAATTCCCACCATAGAAAATGTTTTCATATTTATTCTCTCTCAGAGATTTCTGAAGTTCAATTTATAGAGAATAAAAAAATTATACTCAAAGGCTCAGCCAGCTGACTCATCTTGTGATCTGAAAGGCAAGTTATCTTTTTGTTACTTCTTACACTGAATGAACAGTTTAGAATGAAGTCAAGAGGGAGAAGGGACCAGCTGCTCTTACGCTGTTGCTGTGTGAGTGGTATAGTATAAATATTTAAACCTTTAACTCCCAATAATTCAAAGGCAAAGAAAGAAAAATCTGTGGAGAAAAGTAGCACCATAACCTCATCACTTTCCGGAAGGCAGCAACGTCTTTCTTCTCTTTATTTTATTTAGAAATAATTGCTGTCTAGGACTAAACTTGTAATATAGCCACAGACGAAATAACCCCAGGATCTCTTCTCTGTTTAGAGGTTCTCTATTAATGAAAATCTTTACAAAGCTAGATCCGAGTGTGTTCTCTCTTCCTCAGTTTGGAAAAGAGACACTTTACCCACCCCAAAAAGTTCCCATGTTTCTCACATTTATATTTTAAGTTTCAAGAGTTTTACTTTGTATCCATCACTGTGTCTTTAAGTATCTTCTGCGTGAAGCATTTTTTAAGCAAACCGAGACATGAAAAAATTGAAGATAGAGAAAGCCAACATGTGAAAGAATGATGACATAAATTATTATTAATTTGCTTTCTGGAGAAACACTGCCAATTATATCTGGCTTTTGATTGCTATCACAGCATAGGTCAAAATCTTTCTCTTAAAAATATCTGAAAAGGATAAACTAAATTGTTCTTTTTTTTTTTTTGGAAGGAATATTCTAAATGATAAGATATGCTCTGGCTACACAGCACAAAGTAAAGATGGTTTTTAGCTTACATGATCTGATTTGTCTGTCAACAAGAATCCAACAGTTCAGGCTCTTGACACGTCCCTCTTCAGCCTAGGGTGTGCAGATGTTATGGAATCATCACCCTCATAGTCAGCCAAGCACATCCTCATTTCAGGGTCCCAGAAACTAGCACCTGGCACAGCCTGGACCATACTGAATGATGAGGAAGTACAAGAGAGTTTACTGTCTCATTAGCACTTGCATTTCTAGTTTCATTTTCTTCTTTCCATTTTCACTTTCTAGGACCATTTACTAGTTCTTTTTCTTGCTCTCCAACTTTTCTCTGTCCTTCTGGTACTTGAAAGAGTCACTTTAATTTGTCTCAACTAATACCTTTTCTCTTTTAAAATATCTTCCAAAATCAACTGAATTTTAAACATTTTAGTTAAACATCACAGCTTTTGGCAGATAATTAGTAGACAAAATTTTGCCATCCGAAAATAAATGAGAAGTTGAATAAACTGACATTTGCTTAGCACAATAAAATATAGAAGGCAGGCTGAGCATGGTGGCTTACGCTTGTAATCCCAGCACTTGGAGAGGCCTAGGTGGGAGGATCACTTAAGGCAAGGAGTTTGAGACCAACCTGGGCAACATAGTGAGAGGCTGGCTTTACAAAAAAAATTAAAAAATTAGCTGGATATGGTGGTGCACACCTGTAGTCCCAGCTACTTGGAGGCTGAGGCAGGAGGATCCCTTGAGCCCAGGAAGTTGAGGCTGCAGTGAGCTGCAATCACACCACTGCACTTCAGCCTGGGTGATAGAGCGAGAGCCTGTCTCTTGAAAAAATACAGGAGGCATAGTTAGCCAGATAAATCACATCTTTTTAATAAATATGTTGGCTTGTGTAAGTGAAGTGGCTTCTATCAAAAAGAGAGGTGGGAGTGCAACCCTCCAGATTTATTTTAATATTTTGGTCACAAAAACTACACATTTCTTTTTCTTTGTTTAAATTATCATACCTACAATGAGTATGCATGTACTTTTAGTTTTCAACTCAAGCCCTATAGAAGACATACTCTAGTATATCTTACACACATCATTCCTAAAAAGTTAAGACTTGGCTTGCTGCTCATAGAGATATTAAAATAAACATCTAAAATGTTTTACTTGTAGTTTTGGGCCCCTTTTGGCATTGGCCTGATCTAAACAGGTTACCCTGAGGTCACTGGGGGCCATAAATCAGGGGGGTGGACTGGTGGCTAAGACAGCCTGCATAGCTTTAGTGCAATGTGCTATTTTAGTTTATGCCCCTGCAATGACACCATCTCTTTGGCACCAGCCAAAGAAAGCTTCCTAGACATCTATGGGAAGAGAATGTTTTGCAGTAATCCAAGGCAGAGGTCACACAAGCATGAATTACTGTGGGGAGGTCTTTGTCTGCTCCAGACCCTGGGACAAATAAAGTAGGGAAAGTGACTTCCAACTAAAGCATTTATCCAGGAATTCGGGGGTGGAAATTGATCCAAGCAATCTTGGCAAATTGTGAAAGCAAAGAGTGACCAATTCTTTTCAACCCAGGAAACTAGGGCAGCCTCTTTCTGCCCCTTTTCCAATCCCGTTATTGGGTCCACTTGAGAAACCCAGATATTTCTTGAGAAAGATTCAGCATAGTTAAATAGCAATGCTTGTATTTATTTATGTTATAAAATGTGGCATAATCACACAAAAATCTCCAATCCTCTCTAGCCAAGGCTCATATACTTTTACATTTGATTTCTCTTACTTTTTCCATGGAGGGTATGACTTAACCAGTCTGAACTTTCAACATTTACTAGTTTTGTACATAATATGAATTTAATTGCTTTTTTCCCCTTTCTTCTTTCTATTAATTTTGGAAGGAGCAAATACAATTCAGGAAACAATATCAAAATATTCCAGATTATACCAGATTGCATAATTATTTACCTATTAAAAGAAAAATACTACCTTGGTTTTGTAAACAGCCTACATGGAAAGACAAAAAAAATAGGTATTTATCCTAATTACAATTCTTTTTGTGTGTGTGTGTGTGTTAAGTGTTTTGTAGTCTTCTTGCTCCCTCTGACCTGAAGTTCCCTTTGAAAAGGAAAAAGTGCTAACTTACTTGGCTTGGAGAAAGGAGAGAGGCTTGGTTCAAAAGTGACTGCCAATTTTTTTCCAACCAGCTGTTAGTCTCCTTAAGAGCAACAGGCAGCTAATGGTTGAATGGACTTCCTTTTGCCAGTTCATCTCCATCTGGGAGAGTTCCCCTCCTTTGTGGAGGTTGAAACAACTTTCTCAGACACAGTTATCCAGGACAGAAGTATTCTCATGCTCAGTTGCACTCTACCAGCTCTGGGGGACATTTGAAAATCTGACAAATGCTTTGTAGTTTCTTGTGATCTTCAAGCATAATCTTAAAAGGCATGTAAGTGTCCAGGAAATACAAGAACCTGAGAAATACTTTGCACACTTACTGTGAACTTGGGGTGTTTTATTATTCTAATCATTGCACCTGACAAAAGATTACTGAGCAGTGCTGAAAATGGAGGCGGGGCGGGTTGCGTTTCTAAGGAAAGAAGCAATTGCAGCTTTAACTTGTGCCAAGGAGTAATTTTGGCTGCTAAAATACTCACTGACCACCACCTGGTGAGCCGTTTGCTCCCACACGTGAATTCTGTTCTGTTCTTGAAAGCAGGATAGGAACCTACACTGTGCATGGCCCTTCTTTTTTCCTTTTTTCAATTGTCATCATCATTGTCATCATCATCATCAGCAGCAGCAGCATTGTTGTAGTCATTACCATTATTACCCATCCAGTTATTTCCACTAACACTGACCAGACTGGCTGTCAAGATCACACAGTGACAAAACAGATGAAAGCCCTTTAATTTGATAAGTTTGAAAGAACAATGGGAAAAGAGTCTGTAAGGCTAACTACTGGTTTTTCACTACCTTGATAATCAAATGAATCATTTCTCCAGGAAAGATTAAGCCTACTTGAGAGTAACCATTTTCTAAATGACGTGATGATGTTGTTAGGAAAGCAAACTTAAGACTGTGTGTGTGTGTGTGTGTGTGTGTGTGTATGAGAGAGAGAAAAAGAGAGAGAAGAAACAGATGGAGAGACAGAGAGAGAACAGACATTGGGATTTGCAGTGTGTAGGTGAATCCCTTTTCTTTCTGTCTCTCTTTCTCTTTCTCTCTCACTATATGCAACCTGTTTTAGAACAAGAGCAGTTACACACCAATGCTCCGAAGTTCTGTGAACCTTAACATTTCCTTTAACCACAAAAAACAATTGCTGAAGCAAACAGGATCTCAGAAAGGCAGTTTAAAAAATACATTGTGAGGATGACTCATTGACTCATTTTTTTTCTTCCCAGATCTTTATAGTGTCCATATATCTAAATGGATTTATATATACTTTTAAGCAAATGCACCTAAATTCTAAATCTGTGTAACCTCTAGGAGAAAGGGATCTTAAAAATGTGTCAATTGCAAGGAAATATAGTTGCCCTAATAACAAGCTTCTGGGCATTTTCCTTTTTTTATGTTACGGAAAACTCATTGTGCCAAAAGCTTTCTGCTTAGGCATGTTAAGTGAGCTGAAAGTATGCGTGAATCCTAGAACAAGCATGAACTTTTACAGGTAGATACATCATTTTGAAGTAAAGACTGGAGACTGGGTAGTAGAATGCTCAGAGAATGTGTAATCAGTCCCCTTGTTTCAGAAGAAGAATGAGGCTCAAAGAAGATAAATGACTTGCCCAAGATCCTCCAGCTATACCACAGCAGGGGCAAGGCTACAACTCAGACTCCTAACAACTTGTTCAGTGCTATATCTGCCACGTTAAACCTCTGAAAAGTTATTTATAAACTGAAGTTCTGTAAATAAGTCCTATTTTGAATCTGAGGTTAACCAGACGTGAAAAAATGGTCACTATTCTATAAACCCATTTTTGTAAATAGACAATAGGGATTCATATGTATTAAGTACTGACCACTATTCTAAAAGCTTTCCCTATCATAACACTTAAGCCACACACAGCCATATGAGGTTTGGACTCCATTTTATAAGTGAGTAAACTGAGGCACAGAGAGATTAGGTAACCTGCTTAAGGTCATAAGTGAATTGGTTGGCAAAGCCTAGACCGTGCAATTCCAGAGCTGAAGCTTTTGACTGTTACCCCACACAGAGCTTGCTTAAAATGAGGCAGCAGCTGGACATGCTTTCACATAAATTGCCAAACATGAGCCACGGCTCTGAAAACTGAATAAAAATACACTGGATGTTGGCCTTGCAAGGATTTTCTCTTTAATCTTTAGGGATTAAGTTAAATGAGATAATCAGTTTGGAAAAGATAAAGCATACCACATTGAAGTGCAACGCAAACATTATGCATCTACTATGAAGATAATCTGTACAACCGATAGGTATTACTGTCCCACTTCACCATTGAGGAGACCAAAGTTAGCTTGTATGGGTACCACGAAGCAGAACCAGAATCTGAGTCTGAATCTCGTTTGACTCCCAACTTATCAACCTGCACTACCTCCCTCACTTCCCACCTCAGAGCTAGCTGGTTACCTAGCTACCTGGAACCTGGGGACCTCAGCCATTCCACTACAACATGGTTAGTGAGGTTACAATAATCACCTTGGAAATGATGAATGCTCAGGAGAGAGAACACACAGGTTCATCCAGCCCTGCTTGGTCTTAACGCTTCCCTTCAGGATGGGGCCACGCATAATCCAGAGTGCAGTGCATCAGCCTATAGAGGGCGCTCTTAAGTATCATAGCCAGATGTAAAAGAGCAAAATTCCTATAGGCAAAGAAATGTGGGCTGGGCGTTTTGGAATGCCATTCCTGGAGGGAGGTGTGGGTGAATGATTGCCAATTTTTCCGTTCTAAGCTTATCTTCATAGTTGTGAGCATTTTTCAGGTCCTCAAAAGAGTTAGTATCTAAGTATAAATTTTCTCTTTAAGGTGTTTGCTTAAAGAGGAAACATCTTTAAGAAGTGAAAGCTGAAGAATGGGGCCTAAGATCAAACTTCAAGGTGTTGGTGGCCTAAACGCCTGCCATCAAAGTAACACAACAGAATGATAACTTGGTAAACAGCAGCGAAGCTCAATAGATATTCTTCAAATTGATTTAAGTTGTGATAAAAACCCAACTAATGATTTTAAATATTTCTGTAGCTAGAACAACATAGCAGAAAGACAACATCAAAATATTAACCATGATTACATTCTACATGACTAGATTACAAGGGGTTCTTTGCGACACTCTAATTTTTCTTCAGCGAACTTGTATTGCTTGGGTAATTACACATACACAAAAACCTTACTACTGTTCCTTTTAAAAAATTACTGAATAGAGTTTTTTAAAAAATTGCTAGACGTAGTTTCTTGCGGAAAATAATCAAATTCACGAGATTCTTGAGTCCAAATTTCCTTTATTTAGGTGGCTCCAAATTCTAAAAAAGCTTTTGCCTATAGCCCAATCTCATAGGCAGCATTTGAACAAAACATCCATCCAATGACTAGATCATCCCTTTAAAATCGCAACCTTTACAGTTAAATTCCAGTGGATAGGTCAAGTCATGGAAAAGCTGCAAGATGAGAACAGAAAACTGAGCAGTGCCAATGGGGATTGGAAGCTACCAGGGCTCCAGTATCCCGACTTGGGAAAAAAGAAAATTGGAAAAGGGAATGGAGGGTTGGAGTGCCAAGTATGTGTGAGGAAGAGTAAGAGAGAAGGACCCAGGCCGGGCATGGTAGCTCACGCCTGTAATCCCAGCACTTTGGGGGGCCAAGGAGGGTGGATCACCTGAAGTCAGGATTTCAAGACCAGCCTGGCCAACATGGCAAAATCCCATCTCTACTAAAAATACAAAAATTAGCTGGGCATGGTGGTGGGCGCCTGTAGTCCCAGCTACTTGGGAGGCTGAGGCAGGAGAATGACTTGAACCCGGGAGACGGAGGTTGCAGTGAGCTGAGATTGCACCACTGCACTCCAGCCTGAGCAACAAAGCAAGACTCTGTCTCAAAAAACAACAACAAAAAAAAAAAAAAAAAAAAAGAGAAGGACCGAGAGAAAGATAGACAGAGAGAGAGAGACAGAGAGAGAGAGAGACAGAAAGAGAGAAGTGCAAATCAAAGCAACATGGTACCATGAAAAACCACTCCTGGTCCATTTATTTAACTTCTTCCCTAGCAGCCCTGCTGTGCTCAAACCACTGTGACAGGCTTTCCTTAAGGTGTTAGACAAGAGATAGCACAGAAGAGAGACAAGGCAAAAAATTTAGTACTATTTTCCAGCCTAAACTAAACCTTTATTTTAGTCATGACTTTAAAAAATGTATTTGCGGGAATGACTCAACCCCTTGTTCCACCCCTTGCCTTGTGTATTCCTTCAGTGCCTAAGTTGATATTTGCAGCCACTACCTCACTCAGGATGCTTTGTTTTTATCATTTCAAAATACTCAAGTCCTTGCCCAAGCTGGGCAAAAGTGTCCAGTGGTGTCAAAACAAAGCAAAGCAGACCGGAGAGCCTCCTGCCAGAAAGATGCATTTACCTTCACCAAAAACATCATCCTCTTCATCGACCAGGAGCTCCTCAGCATCAAAAAACTGCATCTTGGAGAGGACAGGCGCGAGAAGCAGCAGGCAGCAGCCCCGGCAGTCTCAGCAGTCACACTGCCGACCGAGGTGATTTCCTTTCCTTGGGTTGCCCAAGCCCTCTGGAGGGCAGCTTCCGCATCTGCCCTGAAGAAAGCAGTTTCATTCATATGAATAGGCTTCTTGAGCCTTGTGAAGAGTGAATCCCAGGTGGGGTAATTCTCACCACTGAGGAGAAAGAATTTTTTGAAGAGGGCTGCAGATCCGGTTGGATATGAATACAGATATCACTCAAAGTCTGAATGCAATGAATTCTATTTCAAAGCAACAACTTTCATATTTCCTTAAAGAGGAAGGTGGGTGCTTAACTTTCTTGCTTATGAATTTGAACACAATGGGTTTTGTTGAAAGAGGGAGTTCATATTTCTCATATCTTGGTTTTGCTTCAATTACAATTTATCTGAAAGTAAAGCAAGCCACTATGTTAAACCAAAGCAGGCATTTAGAGGACAGAGCTTTTATTTTGCTCAGTAATAGTTGCATTTTTCTTTTCTTTTCTTTTCTTTTTTTCAAACCTCTTGCATTTAAGGATTGGAAACTTTACAGCATTTAAACCAAACTGAACCATATCTAGGCTTTATGTGGCTCGATTAAATCTATAGTCAATGAATAGATAACTGGTTTTGGTCAAACATCTTGCATTTCACAATATTTACTCAGTTTGATACTTCAGACTGTATCACTAAAGGAGAAAGAAGAAAATGTAACTCAAAAAGCAGTCCTCCCAAAGGGATGAGTGAACACTGAGCTTCTACGCGAGCACCATTGGCTGGCATCACCATATCGAGCTACCCAACGTGTGCCAAATTCTGTCTGGCTGCACAAACAAACACACATCTCTCTGAGTAATACTGAGACTTCATTTCGGGGTTTCCCAGAGCACTCCACTGTGTTGTAAGATCTCTTAGGTGGCCAGAAGCTTAGAAAATGCAAATGGAGATGACAGTGAGGAGCTGTTGACCCAAGGTGTTTATTTTTGGCACTTTATTTACTGCATGGTTTTGAAGATACTCCCAGTGTTACCCTAGAGAAACTGTCCCCTCCTCCTGTAACTGCAACCTTGAAATTGCACCATTTTCTCCCAGAAGAGACTGTGGACAACAGGGTTGGAGAAATCCAGCAGTGAGAAGGGATCACCCCAGAGGAATTCAGGAATCAGACACTGAGGGTTAACTGAGCAGCAACAGTCAGTTCATCCCTGCATTGGTGGCTGCAGCAGTTCCCAAAGACAGTGTACAGCTTGGGTCCTGCTGGGATCACCAATTGTTGTCAATCAGGGCTGGAACCATCCTTAGAGGAGAGCTTGGAAATGTCTGGGGTGTTTTGGGTGGCACAATGACTGGGGGTTATTACTGGTATTTAATGTCTTAGCACTCAGGGGCCCAGGGATATCAACCTTACCATAATGCATGGAACAGTAGCTCAACAGGAAGAACTGTCCAGCTCCAAATACCAATAATGCCCACCTTGAGACACACTGACAGGCAGAGAACTGGAGTTATCCTTTTCTCTAGCTCTCCTTTGCATCTCCCCTTTCTGACCCTTTTACCACCCCCTACCATGATCCCCACTTGAATGATGTTTCTGGACAAGGGTTGCACTTAGTTACATAAATTAAATTAATTAAAATGGGCCTAGGTGTAGGAAATTTGGATGTGGACTAAAGCTCTCTTTTGTGTGGTTGGGATAAGAGGATGGGTGTCCATTTTGATAATCACTACATTTCTCAACTACTGTCCTATGTCCTTTAATCTCCACAACTTCATGAGGTGGGTGCTATTATCCCATTTTACAGATGAAGCAATGGGGGCTCTGAGGGCTTGAAAAACATTCCTAAGATCAGGCAGCTAGTGAGTGGCAGATTTGACTAATTCCAGAGCTCACTCTGTTACCTCATGTCTGGACAACTTATGGGAGTGACTGCACACAGTCCAGTTCACTGCAGCATCCCCGTGGCTCTTGGGGACCTGCACTACCTCCCTCACCTCCCACCTCAGAACTACCTGGTTACCACGTGAACCTGAGGGCCCTAGCTATTCCACTTCAAAAAGTTAGCATAACCTCTGTAGGCCTGTTTCATTTTAAGTGGGTGGAATTGTGTCTCCCCTGTTGAATTCATATGTTGAAGTCCTAACCCCCAGTACCTCAGAATGTGACCTTACTTAGAAACAGGGCCATTGAAGATATAATTAGTTAGGATGAACTTATATCATATTGGAGGAGGATGGGTCCTTAATCCAATATGACTAACTTCCTCATAAAAAGGAGAGATTTAGACAAAGACATAGACATAGGGAGGATAGTATGTGAAGATGAAGGCAGAGATCCACAAGCCAAGGAACACCAAAGACTGCCAGTAAACCACCATGAGCTAGGGGAGAGGCCTGCAAGAGATTCTCCCTCACATCCCTCAGAAGAACCAATCCTGCCAACACCTTGACCTTGGACTTCTAGCCTCCACAGCTGTGATGCAGTAAGTTTCTGTTGCTTAAGCCACCCAGTTTGTGGTACTTCATTACAGAAGTCCTAGAAAATAATATACTTTCTCATTTGGCTTGTTTTGAGGATTAAGTAGGATAATTTATGTAAAGAAGCTGACACAGTACATGGTACACAGTAAATACCCAGTTATAATTATACGCCTAAGTCTCTCACAGGGACGCTTAGGATATTTCCCAAATTGAAGGCTCAATGGGGATAGAGAATGAGAAGTCACCACACTCCATATAAAACCTCAATAACCCTTAGGAAGTTTCCCTCAGTCTCCTCTTCTCCAATTTAGATATCTCAGAAACACAGCTAATCATCTCAAAGAACAAATCACAAATGCTACCACGAACTCCTTGAAAGCACAGAGGATAGAAAACATGGTTCTTGCTCTCCAAAGTTTACAATTACCTTAGAGAGATATGACATACATGCATGATGTGTTAACTAAAAAGAAAAATTAATAAACTACATATGCATGCATCAATATGGATGAGTTTCAAAAACATAATATTGACTTTGAAAGGTCTCAGAAAATTATAAATGGTATAATTATATTTATATGAGTGTCCAAAATGAGCAAATAAAAAAATGTAGGTAATCGCTAACACAGAGTGCCAGCAACAGTTTTAAGTGCTTTGATTCACTTAATTCCTATATCAACCCTAAGATATAGATATATTTATTATCTCTATTTTAGTTTAAGGCCCAAGAGGTGAAGTGATCCACCCAAGGTCATACATTTGGTAAGTGGTAGAGGTACTGAGATTTGATCCCAGAGTCCAAACTCTTAAACACCAGGCTACACTATCTCTTATCTATGTAAAGTCTAAAAGAATGCTGAGCTTATATAAAATTTTAACAAAGTGCAATAAACTGTGAAGAAGTGACTAGACAAAGGAGGCAGAGTAGGGGAGTGGGCTCCTAAGAGTGGCAAATTGTGGGAAGGTAACTAGGAATGTATGATAGCTAAGGATTGTTATGCAGACTCATCTCTCATATCAGGAAGAGGACCATGAGGCTTAGTCACCCAAGATGGGAAATAAAACACCTTTACAAGTGGAAATTTATGGCACTTAAAGCAGAAAGGAGAAGGGCAGAAGATTCTTTCTCAAAAATAGCTCAAAATAGTACTTATGCTAAATTAGCATATTTTGGGGGACACATTCTGATCCCCTTCGAATCCATATTAGAAAAGAAAGACTAAAGATAGGGAAATTCAGTGCTTAGTTAAGGGAGATGTAGGTCACAGAGAGTAGTTTTCACTAAGAAATGAGGAGTAAGTCTGAAACAACAATGAAAGAATCTTGCTTTTCAGTGATTGAGGCAAACAGCTCCAATAATTGGATTTGGGGAAGAGAACAAAAGTATAGATGAACCAGTATAAGGCAACTACTTTGATCAAATGGTGATTTGTGACAACCTGTACTAAATTTAACAGCAGAATTTCATCAAGGTCATAAGCACAGGAACATAGCAAAGCTTTTATACTCCAAAGAGTTGGTGCCCACTTTATGCCATACTAGGTCTGTGAATTACAATGATATGAAAGGTCTGGTCCTTGCTTTGTGGAACTTTACTCACTTCATTCATTTGGAGAATAGTAATGAATACCTACTATATTTCAGGTATGGTGTGAAATATTTAAGTAAATATATAAGTGAGAAGGCATGTGTTGTGTTGAACATATGAATATCAACACAGTATTATTATTTTGAGTTATGAGAATTGAGGCTATAATAATTAATAATTTATTAATTTAAAATATTTCTGCATAGTTTGCTGTTTTGAAAAAAAATACCACCTGTGAAGCGTGTACAGGAGGAAACCATACTAGTGGAAAAATTTCAACATCCAACGTGGGCTTTTATTCCAACAGAAGAGCCTCACAATCTTCTCTCTGTGCTTCTGGAGAATTTCCCACTCCTTTCAGAAAGTGTTTTAAAATACTTAATTTTCAGATATACAAACTTCTGAACAGGGAGAAAAACCTGAACTAATTAGGAGCAAAATGTTCGAAACAGAAAGGAGAACAAAGTAGGAGAGAGGAATTGAAACTGTGAGGAGTGGTAGGAATCAGAAAAGAAAAAGGTGAAAAAAACCACAGAGTCAGAAATAATCTTATCTTTGGGTAACTTTGCCAGTAAAGATGCACCTAAAAATTTGTCTAATTTGTCTAACTGTAAAATGCCATGTCTAAAGAGCTGGGACAAAAGGAATACGATTTTTTTTTTTTGAAACAGAGTCTGTCTCTGTCGCTCAGGCTGGCGTGCAGTGGCTCGACCTTGGCTCACTGCAACCTCCACCTCCCGGGTTCAAGTGATTCTCCTGCCTCAGCTTCCCCAGTAGACTAGCTGGGACTACAGGTGTGCGCCACCATGCCCAGCTAATTGTTTGTGTATTTTTAGTAGAGACGAGGTTTCACCATGTTGGTCAGGCTGATTTTGAACTCCTGACCTAAAGTGATCTGCCCGCCTTGGCCTCCCAAAGGGCTGGGATTACAGGCGTGAGCCACTGCGCCTGGCTGGAACATGATTTTTAATAGTATTCTTGTTTTCATGTTGCAAAGAGGAGGTACCAATCTCATGGGTACAATCTCATGAGGGTTGTCTCATGAGGAAAACCCTCCCAGAGCCTTTAGAAGTCTTCCTGCCTGCCTCCCCCAGTTTCAGGCGCATCATTAGGCTGCAGGAGCCACACTTAGAGTCACTTACTGAAGGTGCTGGGGAAGCCTGACCAAAGTCCAGGACTGTTTCCTTCAATGGGACTAAAGACAATGACGGTAATTGCCCGCTGAGGGAATCCATTCCTTCCACTTACGAAAGAAGGAGAAGAACCCAGCAAACGAGAGTTCTATGGCAAGACTCACATTGGGTATGGTTGGCAAGGTCATAACTATGGGTTAAAGGTATGACTGCTGGGAGTGGTTAGCTTGCAACTAGAAACAGAAAAAAAAAAAAGCATATAAAGGCACTGGTTCTGGGATTTGACAGGGCTGAGTTACAATCTTGGCTTCGTTACTATCTAGCTCTTTGACTAGAGTTAATAATTTCACTTTGAATCAGTAAAATGGAATAATAATAATCAATTACTGAGTTAAGGGACAGTTCAGCCCTTTCCCACTAATTGTCCCAAATTAAAATACAATCTATATTAATACATTGTGCTATCAATGCAAACACAACTTCAAGACCCAGTCCCTAGTCCCTGGCCTTACCCTCTGTCTCAACCAGAATGTAATCACAAAGCCTCTCCAATAAAGAAATCCTGTAGCTGCTACTGATAATAAAATTTACCTCTCAGGGTTTGGCAACATTAACTGAGATGGGAATCCTTTCCTGTGGCCCTACCATTGACTTTAAAAGCATTTTCAGGGATCACTGTACAGTCTGCCCCTCCTCCCCTTTTTTTAACCTCAAGACAAATTTCTTGGTGTGGGAGCTACAGAAAGTGACAGAAGGGGTGGAGAAAAGATACACAGGAAAATAAACTTTAAGAAGACAGAAAGGAACAGTCTTCCATGTCTGTGAGAGATGTGGGGAAAGTTTAAGGAGAATTACAATCCTTCCTCCCAGAATGTGACCCCAGACCCAAGACAGCCAAAGAAGGCAAGATGAGAAGATATAACTTTCTCAACTTTTAAAGAAAGGCATGCATTTTGTGCACCCTAAATCTTATAATGAAAGATTGCTTGATAGCACATAAGTCACTGGGTGGCAAAATAAGAGACAATATAAAATATTGTTATTGAAAAAATGAATTTTATTTAATGACTAGTACTTGATCCTTTGGTAAATCACAAACTTTCTAATTATTTGTTTTCAAGGAACTGAAGGAAGATCTTACCGAGTTGATACTATGGGATCAAGAAATGTATTTTTAAATAATAATTTATTACATGATATTTGACATACGATTGACAAAAAATTAAAAGAGATTGGATATTAGAGAAAACGCTGACATAAAGACCTTTAAAAAGCCTTTCTTTGGGTATATACCCAGTAATGCAATTGCTGGGTCAAATTGTATTTCTAGTTCTAGATCCCTGAGGAATCGCCACACTGACTTCCACAATGGTTGAACTAGTTTATAGTCCCACCAACAGTGTAAAAGTGCTCCTATTTCTCCACATCCTCTCCAGCACCTGTTGTTTCCTGACTTTTTAATGATTGCCATTCTGACTGGTGTGAGATGGTATCTCATTGTGGTTTTGATTTGCATTTCTCTGATGGCCAGTGATGATGAGCATTTTTTCATATGTCTTTTGGCTATATAAATGTCTTCTTTTGAGAAGTGTCTGTTCATATCCTTTGCCCACTTTTTGATGGGGTTGTTTGTTTTTTTCTTGTAAATTTGTTTGAGTTCATTGTAGATTCTGGATATTAGCCTTCTGTCAGATGAGTAGGTTGCAAACATTTTCTCCCATTCTGTAGGTTGCCTGTTCACTCTGATGGTAGTTTCTTTTGCTGTGCAGAAGCTCTTTAGTTTAATTAGATCCCATTTGTCAAATTTGGCTTTTGTTGCCATTGCTTTTGGTGTTTTAGACATGAAGTCCTTGCCCATGCCTATGTCCTGAATGATATAAATCATGCTGCTATAAAGACACATGCACACATATGTTTACTGCAGCACTATTCACAGTACCAAAGACCTGGAACCAAGCCAAATGTCCCACAATGATAGATTGGATTAAGAAAATGTGGCACATATACACCATAGAATACTATGCAGCCATAGAAAATGATGAGTTCATGTCCTTTGTAGGGACATGGATGAAGCTGGAAACCATCATTCTCAGTAAATTATCGCAAGGACAAAAAATCAAATACTGCATGTTCTCACTCATAGGTGGGAACTGAACAATGAGAACACTTGGACACAGGAAGGGGAACATCACACACTGGGGCCTGTTGTGGGGTAGGGGGAGCAGGGAGGGATAGCATTAGGAGATACACCTAATGTTAAATGACGAGTTATTGGGTGCAGCACACCAACATGGCACATGCATACGTATGTGACTAACCTGCATGTTGTGCACATGTACCCTAAAACTTAAAGTATAATAATAATAATAATAAAGCCTTTCTTCCATAAAAGCAATAAGAAACTGGGAAAATGGCCAGTATCGACTTTTGCAGAAGGCTGGAAATTAACCAAAGGCTTACAGCAATCCAGGAGCATTTATTCAAGAAAAATGGCTGAATTTCAATAGAACAATGAGTTTTATGGCATTTTAATTTACCAGCTTCCACACACTTCACCTTATCTCTGTGGTAGCCTTGAAAATCAGCAGCCTGCAATCACAGTGAAAATCAACAGCCTGGCAGCTATTGGAATGGTTGCAGAATGGAGATAAAGCTTCTTCAAAGTCCCATTCCCCCCAAAGTCCCATTCCCCCAAAACTGTCACTATTTGACCTGTCTGGTGGTTCTCTGGAAGACTTCACTCACAAGCCTTTTTATTTAATCTGATTTAGAGTTGCCAAGTGTGAACAGTCTTTTCCTTGGGGGTGTTTGTTGAAAAGAATCACAGGCAATTAGTCAATACTGCAGCCGCCTAAGTCAGTGGATTAGAGTTAGGGGCAAACAATAGGCTTAACAAAAAGCTTAAAAGAAAAAGCTTGGGAATGAGATGCCCATAGGAGACTTTGAAAAGCTCCCACATATTCCTGGGAATCTAGAAGGTGAAGCCTATATAGGGCTACGTGCATGCCCACAGCTGTGTATATGCTCAGAAAATACTTGAGAAGGCCCTAAGGTCTGACCACTGGCTAACCTTAAGGCTCTCCAGAAGCAGAAAGTAAAGGCTAAGGCAGAGTTGTAAAGTGCTTAACTGAGCATTGAAAGTGTGTCCTAGTGTGCATATAGAACCCCTTGGCAAAGACTGCAAGATTTATTGGTCCCAGGCATCTAAAGAAATTTCTGTTCAGTCATTAGTGTACCACTAAGCTAATCAAGCAGAGATTTCAGTGGCCACACATGACAAACAATATAGACTTTACAGAACTATCTCAGAAAAGTCACTAAAAAAACAACAAGAACAGCAACAAAAACCTTGGGGGAGTAGGGAGAATCTGATTTCCAGAGTTTCCATATAATTTTAAACATCCCGTTTTCAGCAAAAAATTATGAAACATGCAAAGAAGCAAGAAAGTATGGTCTATACACAGGAAAAATAAACAATCAATAGGAAGTCCCTAATGAAGCCCAGAAGATGTTGGCTGCAAACTTCCCAGATTTGATGAACAAGATTAATCTATAAATCTAAGAAGCTCAATGAATTTCAAGTAGGATAAACTCAAAGAAATCCACAACTAGACACATCATAATCAAACAGTAGAAAGTCAAAAACAAAGAGCATCTCACCCAAACAAAAGTGACTTGCCATATACAATGGATCTTCAATAATACTAAAAAGCAATTTCTCATTAGAAGCAATAAAGGGCAAAGGGATGAAAAAAAGTTGGTTAATGGGCACAAAAATAGTTATATAGAAGAAATATGTTCTAGTGTTTGACAGTACAGTAGGGAAATTATAGTTGACAGTAATTTATTATATATTTCAAAATAGCTGAAAAGAAGAATTGTAATGTTCCCGCCACAAAGAAAAGATATATGTTTGAAGTGATGGATACCCCAATTACTCTGATTTGTATATATTCCATACATGTATCAAAATATCACATGTACCCCCAAAATATGTACAATTACCATATATCAATTAAAAAAAAGAAATAAACCATAGAAGGCAGAAGAAAGGGGACAGCATATATAAAGTCCTGAAAGTAAAAAATAAAAACAAAAAAACTGTCAACTAAGAATTGTATATCCAGCAAAACTATCCTTTGAGAATGAAGGAGAAATAAATATATTTCCAGATATACAAAAGCTGAGGAAGTGTATTACTAGTAGATTTGCCTTGTAAGAAATGCTAAAGACAGTCCTTTAGGTTGACATAAAAGACACTGGACAGTAACTCAAAGCCATAAGAAAAAATAGAGAGCACTGGTAGAAGTAACTTCATAAGTAAACATAAAAGACAGTACAAATGTATTTCTTGTTTGTAACTCTTTTCCCTCATCTGATTTAAAAGACAATTGCGTAAAACAATAATTATACATCTGTGTTGACGGGCATATAATATATAAAGGTGTAATTTGTATGACAATAACAGCACAAAGAAGAGGGGAATGAGTAGAGTGATAGAGGATAAAAGTTTTTATATTCTCTTGAAATTAAAGTGGTATTAATCTAAACTAGATTGCTATAAATTAAGATGTTAATTGTAATCCCCAAGGCGATCACTAAGAAAATAAATAAAAAGTGTAGTAAAAGAACCAATAGAAAAATTCAAATTATAAACTAGAAAAATATCAATTTAGCACAAATAATTCAGTGATACCTCTATAAAAAATTTCTTTTATTCTCGTTTATTTTCTTATGTGAACTTGGCTTCTTAGTGCTTACACCTATATAAATAAAATATGAATATTTTTACAAATTCCTGTCTCACTGTAGCAAAAGTAATATTCATCCATGGATAAATGAACTCACTGAAAGAAAGTCAACCTCACTCATCTCATTAAGAGATACATTTCTAATAAAATTTTGATTTCATGCTGGAAGATGATAATTATTTACTTATTTATTTATTTTTAATTAATTTTTTTTTTTGAGACAGAGTCTTACTCTGTTGCCCAGGCTGGAGTGCAGTAGCATGATCTCAGCTCACTGCAACCTCCACCTCCTGGGTTCAAGCAATTCTCTTGTTTCAGCCTCCCAAATAGCTGGGATTACACCACCATGCCCAGCTAATTTTTATATTTTTAGTAGAGATGAGGTTTCACCATGTTGGCCAGGCTGGTCTCAAACTCTTGACCTCAGGCCATCCACCTGCCTCGGCCTCTCAAAGTGCTGGGATTACAGGTGTGAGCCATCGCACCCTGCCAACCGTCTCATTTTTAAAGCCCAAAGTAGATTCTGAAAAATTACATACCTTCACGCATTGGAAACCTTGTATCCTGTAATCCCAGCTACTCAGGAGGCTGAGTCAGGAGAGTCGCTTGAACCTGGGAGGTGGAGTTTGCAGTGAGCTAAGATCGCACCACTGCACTCCAACCTGGGCAACAAAGCAAGACTCCGTCTCAAAAAATAAATAAATAAAATAAGATGGTTAAAGACTACTGGTGCAGATCTCACATTGAGCAGAGTAGGACTACAGCAGGACCTGTAGGGCAGGGACTGGGATCAGGGGGTTCCTGGGGGAGCCAAAAGAAATAGGGGCCCAAGGGGTCTGGACCCTGCAGGAGGTAGGCTTCGCAGTGCCATCCCTTTGCACATACTAGCTTTGTGGGCTGTGACCCAGTCTCTCCTGACGTATTTCTTTTTGGCCTCCAAATTTCTTGTCCTCAAAGAAGGAATAAAACAAGGATTTAGAATTCAGGACTTGTTAAGTTGATTTTGGCCAAGTGTTTTTGAAAATTCTTCCTGGCGTGGCTTCTTTTCAGTATATGTGTTTCAGTGACCTCTGACTATACAGAGACAGAAAAACAATTTGGAGAAAGAGATATTTTGAAGACTATGTGACAGAAAGAAAGAAGAAAGAAAAAAGGAGGAAGAAAGAGAAAACGTGAAGGAGGAGCAGAATATTCTTCTTTTGGAAGGAAAATACTTCCAGATTGTGTCTGTTTTTTTAAAGATTCCGTGGGAGGATATCCAGAGACACTCCTTGATTTAAAACTTCAGCCTTCCCTCCCGCAAATTCGGCTCTGGGTGCCTATCAATGCTACAGGACAGACGTGGGCCCAGATAAGGCTGAAACACACCTCAACTCTCCGTCTCGGGTTTTGGGCTCACCTTAGATGCACTCTAACTCTGCTCTGTCAGGCATCCAGGAAGAACTACATGCATTTGGGTCAATTTGGATGGAGGAAATGAAGAATTATCGAGTAAGAAATCACCATTCCTCTTTTGTGTACTAGAAGGCTCAACCCTGAATGTACCTTCCTACTTTAATGTCTGAAATGTATTAATAAATTACGATAAAGAATGAAACAGTGAAAACAAAACCCCAGAATAAAAGAAAAGAAAACGTGTCCTGTGGACCGAATTATGGAACGGTCCTGCTCAGGAGGGAATAAAGTCTCATGTTTTCCTGACCTGGGACTGGTGGAGAAAGAAGATGGTGCAATTCTCCTCTGATTCCTTACAGTTTAATTAGCAGCCTTGATCTTCTTCAAAAAGGGGCTCTACCTTTTCTTCTCTTTCAAATAAAGGATGGGGAGGAGAAGGAAAAAGTAGGGGGAAGGGGAGGGGAAGGAAAAGAGTAGGGGAAGGGGAAGGAAGGAGCAGTGAAGGAAGGGAAGGAAAGAAAGAAAAAAGAAAAAAAATGAGATATTGCCTCAACTTTTAATGTATAAGTTAACTCTCGCATGTTTTAATAGCTCGTCTAGTTCAATTTGGCCTTCAAACGCTATATCCCCTATTATAGAGCTCACTTTCCATGACCACGCTCTTATAATTATTTTCCTAATTAGTTCCCTGGTCCTATACATTATTTTCCTAATACTCACCAAAAAATTAACTCATACTAGCATCATAGATGCCTAAAAAATCGAGACTGTCTCAACTATTTTACCTGCCATTATCTTAATTTTAATTGCCCTCCTATCCTTACGTGTTCTGTACATAACAGATGAGGTTAACAACCCTTCTATCACTGTCAAAGCAATTGGCCACCAATGATATTGAAGCTATGAATATACAGGCTATGAAGAATTAGTCTTCGATTCTTATATAGTCCCAACAGCAGACTTAAAGCCAGGAAAACTTCGATTCCTGGATGTTGATAACCAAACAATTCTCCCAGTAGAGATCCCCATCCGTATATTAATCTCATCCGAAGATGTCCTGCACTCATGAACTAACTATCCCCTCATTGGGCCTCAAAACAGATGCAATCCCCAGAATACCTGACTATGAAGAGAACCTCTGAGCATTAGGATGATGAGCCCAGATTCCTCTCCTTCACTGCTCTGTGTCTGTCTCAGATGATTGCTCATGGGAGTTGTTAGTTATTAATCACTCTGCTATTTCTTTCTTTCTTTCTTTTTTTTTTTTTTTGAGATGGAGTTTCGCTCTTGTTGCCCAGGCTGGAGTGCAATGGCACAATCTCGGTTCACCGCAACCTCTGCCTCCCGGATTCAAGAGATTCTCTTGCCTCAGCCTTCCGAGTAGCTGGGATTACAGGCATGAGCCACCACATCCAGCTAATTTTGTATTTTTAGTAGAGATGGGGTTTCTCCATGTTGGTCAGGCTGGTCTCAAACTCCCGACCTCAGGTGATCCGCTCACCTTGGCCTCCCAAAGTGCTGGGATTACAGGCGTGAGGCACCACGCCCAGCCACTCTCCTATTTCAAACATTTTTTTGCCTTTTAAATGTCAGTTCAGGTTGACCACAGGGAAACTTTGTAACGACCAATGGGTCAAGCTTCTGAGGCACTGGTTCTGGCCCCTTTTCCTCCTCTCTCCAACCCTCTCCCTCTTGTCCCTGTTCCCTGACTTCTCTTAGGTGTCAAAAACAATCCAGGGCTCATTTCATCTCTGTACATCCATGTCACTCTCTCCTCCTTAACTCTTCAAATAGTATCTTTTTTTTTCCTTTTCTTAGAACCATATCTGGTGTGACAACAATTTGAAAAGCGCCACCCATCCTCTCTGAGACCACAAACAGCGCTGAAGGCAGTGAACCAAGACTTACAAACAAGGGTGTAGACCAAGGAAAATGCTGGGGGCCAGAGGAGGAGAAAGCAAGAAGATAGAAACACCATAGTTTCAAGAGGGAGGGGAGCAGAAAGCCGCCAGCTCTCCAAAAAACAAGAAGCAAAACCCAGAACTCAAACCTCATGAAAGTATCACGAGGTTGAAGCCTTTAAAAGGTGTTTTTACAGCAGATTTTAGAGACTTCTCACCTTACCAACGGTTATAAACCCGTATCCTTGCAAATTCAGCAGTAGAGTCATTAGATTGCCCTCTCAGCCTCTGCACGTGAAGGGTCTCAGGGCTTTTCAGGACATCTTTAGGGTCAGGTTTCGTGAAATAGGTAGGTTGGGCCAGCTTTCTGGGGACTCTAAGCAACCTTGGAGAAAATGGGCAGGAGTAAATAAAGGTATGCCAGCTTGCTTTTTCCAGTGGGGACTTGGCAAATGCCAAAAACAGTATAAATATTATATTCCCATCTTCTAATATCATGGAAACCCATGGTGGCAATGGGGCGCAGGGCTCACTAGCCACCCTGAGGTGAAGAAGTGGCCCCTCAGAGATCTGAAGCTGGTTAGCAAGAGTTCACCAGGGCCTAGCTCCTTGTCCCTCAGGGAAAGCCCCTGGGTGCTATAGCCCACCACCTGGAAGGGGCAGCCCCTGGAGAAATGTTAGAATTCTGGGTGAATTATTTTCTTATGAAATTTCATCCAAAGTTTTAACAAAGTACCAAATAGGAGAGTTGTTAAGTATTGTGAGTGAGTGAGGTGGAGGAAGCAGAGCGGGGAAGGGGTGGCTCCACTCTCTCACTATATTCACTGCTCATCCTAGAGATGACCTAGTGTCAAAAACGTTGCAAATGCAACCAGCTGCCTGTTGCATCCATGTAGTTCAGTTGTTGCTATTTACAGGGTAGTATAAATGCCCGGTGCTGCTATGAACCAAGGTGCTGAGTATCAAATGTTCCTGGAAGAGCACCTAGTAGTGTTTCATTGGATGGTTTCTAGTAAAAACTTTATGCAAAAGTAATATGGTATTGCTGATTATAGGTATTATCTGATAATAATAATCCTGTCAAGTACTTGCTTGGGCCAGATCACTCTGTGAAGGCAGAAAGTTGGCAATGCTTGTCTTAAATGCAAGATTCTTTCTCTTTTCTTCCTCCCTCCCTCCCTCCTATTCAACCATCCTTTATTCACCCTTGGAAAAATTTGGGCTCTGCATTCACTCTTGCACAATCCTGTAATCTCATGGTTTACTTTATGATGACAATATTAATGACAATAAAGGCACATTTTCCCTAAGATACTTGGGAGTATGTGTGGCTTATCCTTCTGTTTTCCTTACGAAGTAAAAGGGAGCTCAGTGTGTCTGTCCTCACTTTACTGATGCAGAGATTAAGGACAAGGAATCTAAGTGAATGGGCAGTAGGGGACATGAAACATGGCAGGGTCACCGGAGCAAGCCAAAACACTTTTGAAGAGCCAGTGAGTCAAACCTGTGGAAACCTATGCCAGAAAGTTCTTACAGGGATGACTGAACTGTTCCATCTGAACAAAAAGAAAATATATTCATTTAAACAAGCCTAAAGTGCAGCTATCTAACAGGCGAGGTGGATGGGGTTGGGTGCATAGGGTTTGCTGCTTTAGTGCTGATTTCTCAAATCTTTTATTTTCTCTGCTGACCTCTGCAGTACCATAGAACACAGTCCAGGCATTAGACTTGCAGCCACAGGATCTAGGTCTTGTGTGTCAGTTTTGAAGGCAGCATGCCCTGCTAGACTGCGACATCCTAGAAGACAAAGGTCAGCCAAGATCTTTGCGTGAGGCCTGATAGAAATCAATGTTCCAGACATTTTAAAAATCAATGACTTCATTGATTTCCAGAAGTTCTCTAGGCAAGAGCGATCAGAGACTTTAGAAGTTCATATCAACATGGAAGTGGTAGAATGACACCTGAGAGAGTAGTGGGTGGTCACCAGGTCACAGGTGTCAGGGTGATCGGAACACTCTGCCCTACAGTGACCTTTGCTCTACCTCCCAATATTAGGCAGAGGAACTACCATTACACAGAGCCTGATTATGGTTTTTATGCTCAGGAGAACTTGTGTTGTCTTCTAAGTGCTGCAGCCCCCAGGTTTTTTGTAAGAGAGGGGCAAATAGACATTTTCTCACGTAAATTAATCAGCTCATTCATGAGTTTTGCAGTCGAATCGCTGTCTTTGCATGGTGTTGTCTGCCAACTAATGGAATAGGGGGTCTTCAAATTTTGTTGACAAAGATAAGACTTCCGTAAAAGGATCCCTTCAAAAGCAGCTTAAAGAGAATTCCGAAGCAACTGTGCTTATAACAATAAATGTTTCTCCATCACTTTCTTTCCAGTTCCTTTGCCTCACGCTTCTGCTACTCTAGTTGTTTTTCCCAGTTTCTCTCCTGTTTACATGCGCTAAAAGAAAACTGTGTAAGGCACTTCATAGGAACATTAAAAACTGGTACAAAGGAAATGTCATGGTTGGTGGGGCGGAGTTTTTAAAGGTTTGGTGAGAAAAAGAAATCCAGACCTTGCTTCTGGCATTTTCTGGGTAGGATTTTTTCACTGGTCCCTAATTCACAGAATAATCAGCTTTGGCAGCAATATTTAGTTCTCCTTTCTTTCTACACACTGGGATGAGGGCATATGAGAACGGAACTTGTGGTAAAGACTACCTTGCCACAACAGGACCCCACCCTGCTTACCTTCCGCTGGATCCACAGTAGTCGTAAATATGTAGTGAATTGTAAATGTGGGGCTTCCTGTATTCTGCAGTGGACATTGCCACACCACTGTCTCCAGTGGAATGAACCAGAATGTAAAATTTATACCTCTTTTGAAATGCGATGGAGCAACATAGGATGACCACATTTTTTCTGTACTATATTGCACTCTTTTGCACAATGTGTAAGAACACAACATGAGAAACCCACAAAGAAGGAAATAGAACAACTGAGGTTGTTGGCTGGGTAGGCTGCAAGGTAAAGCGCAGAATAGTAAATGCCCCACCTAGCCAACATCCTCTGCCAGCTGTTATTCCTGTCACCTAATCTCTACTGCTCTCTCTCTATTATTCTTTCCTATCATCCATCCATTCATCCAGCCAGTCAGACAGCATTTACTGGGGATCCTGTCATGTTGGCTGCTGGGGATATAGACTGCGAGTAGTATGCTGGTAAAAACTAAATAACTAGCTCTGAGGTAAGGGAGCTGATTTGCAGTGCTTATGGATTTTCATAGTGCTAATACTCCCACCATGACTAATTTCAAGCTACTAATGCAACATCATTGAAGCAAAGTTGGGAAGAGATGCACAGTAGCACACCATTTCCACCAACCAGATACAATCGATGTAAATAACCTCCAGTGCACAGATAATAATAAAAGGTAGTAATGAGGAGCTGATGAGTATTGAGTATTTATTAGCATTGTTTTAAATGTAATTTATTTAATTGCACACTTATATAATTTAATTTTAAATCATGGCTGTTTTAACAAACAGCTCACAACATTTCTGAAACTAACAACTGGCTCTCATAAGCAGGTATGTGCTGACTCCAGCACACCACTAGACAGAAAGAAACAATGTATGCTGTTTGCTTTACAAAAGTCTTTTTTAAATCTAGAAAGAATAACATACACATGTAAATAAGGAGTAGCCATATAGTTAATGTGATAACGCAGTAGGGGAAAGTGCTGGGCATAGAATTAGTGGGAAGCACAGTGAGAACCTGTTATGCACTGAATGTATGTGTCTCCCCGAATTTCATATATAGAAGTCCTAATCCCCAGTGTGGCTGTATTTGGAGTAAGGAAGTATTAATAATGAAGGTTATGGCTGGGTGTGGTGGCTCATGCCTGTAATCCCAGCACTTTGGGAGGTCAAAGCGGGCGGATCACCTGAGGTCAGGAGTTCAAGACCAGCCTGACCAACATGGAGAAACCCCGTCTCTACTAAAAATACAAAATTAGCCAGGCATGGTGGTGCATGCCTGTAATCCCAGCTACTTGGGAGGCTGAGACAGGAGACTCTCTTGAACCCGGGAGGCAGAGGTTGCGGTGAGCCGATATTGTGCCATTGAATTGCAGCCTGGGCAACAAGAGCAAAACTCTGCCCCCCCCCAAAAAAAATTAAGGTTAAATGAAATCATAAGTGTGGGGCCCTGATCTGATAAGATTAGTGTCCTTATAGAAGAGACACTGGAGAGCCCTCTCTCTCTCCAGGTGTGTGCCCCACAGAAAGACCATGTGAGGACATAATGAGAAGGCAGCTTCCTGCAAGCCAGGAAGAGAGCTCTCACCAGAAAGCGAATCAGCTGAGATGGGGTTCAGGCCATGCTACTTCAAAGTGTGGTACCTTGGCATTTGAGAAAACAGCAGAAGCAAGAAGGTCGCTCTCACCTTTCCCTCATCCTTCTCTGCTGAAGCGGGTCACAAGGCTTTCATTTGAGAAGTACCTTCCCTATACCTGGAGGAATGGTAGACCCTTATTTCTGAAGACACAAAGACACAAAGAAGAATCTGAACAGTCTTCAAAACATTCCCCCAGTTTATGAACATTAGATGATCCCTTTGTCCAATCATACATCTGCATGACTGTCTCCTCGTCATCAAACCTAAGCATAAAAATACACAAGCTTCTCTGTTTCTTTGAGTCTTCATTTCTAAAGGCTCCCCTGTCATGTAAAACTTACGTTCATTAAATTTGTCTGCTTTTCTCTTGTTAATCGGTCCTTTGTTATTGGAGCCTCAGTCATGAACCTAGTGATGGGAAAGAAGGATATGCTTTCTTCTTACAGCTGGAACATTGATGATCTTGGACTTCTAGCCCCAAGAATTGTGATGAAATACATTTCTGTTGTTGAAGCCACCAGGGCTATTTTGTTATGGCAGCCCAAGCATACTAATACAGAGCCCTAAATAAAATTACCTGGAGGGCGGGTTGGTAACTTGGACTCAACAGAAGCACCTGAGGATGCTCAGAGGCAGGCTGGTTTGCATTTAGCAAGTGGACCTCCCTATTCCTGAATATTTTCTCTTATCGCTAGTCAGTGTCTTCAGATACAAACACCCTGGCACAATTATGATCCTTGGCAGAATGTTGACTTTAGAAGGGAGAACTCCAACTTTGAAGCCCAAGCTGAGAAACACAGCAGGGCAGGTGAGGATTGGTGACCAGTGACTGCCGCTGCAACACAGGAATCACACCTGGTGAACTGTGCAGGCCCAGTCTCTCTCTCCTTTTTTTTTTTTTTTTTGAGACAGGGTCTCACTCTGTTGCCCAGCTTGGAATGCAGTGGTGTTATCATGGCTCAGTGCAGCCTTAACCTCCCAGGCTTAAGCGTTTCTCCTGTCTCAGCCTCCCAGGTAGCTGGGACTACAGGCATGTGTCACCATGCCTGGCAAATTTTTTGTAGAGACAATATCTCACTATATTGCTCAGGCTGGTCTCGAACTCCTGAGCTCAAGTGATCCTTCTGCCTCAGCCTCCCAAAATGCTGAGATGACAGGTGTGAACCACTGCACTCAGCCTTAGGCCCCGTCTTTAATAGTGGCTTCTCATGGCAAAGAAATAAACAGCACACGTTGGATTAATAACGTATTCTCATTCCCAAGAGTCCTAGCATTGATAATAAAATGTATGCCTTCTAGAATGAGAAAGTCTTTGAGATTCTTAGACATTTTGGTGGCTGTGCAGCACTTAGGGCATTCTTCCTAATGTGGTATATATGGACATGAACAAATAGTAAAAGAATTAAGAGTTGTGGCCGTTTATATATCCTGATTTGTAGAACAGGTAATGACATATATACTGAGTATGTGTAGATGTGCTTAGAGGAAAGGATGTTGGCCAAAATGTGAACAAGGATGTTATCTCTGGATTAGATATTTTGGGAGGAGAGTTTACTTCTATATGTTTGCTTGTATTGTTTGCATTTTAATTTTTTGTCAAAAAATTTATCAATTTATAATACCTGTCCATTGTAAATAAAGCAAGTAAGATTTAAAAAGGAAGTTTAAAATCCAACCATAGTCCCAAGAGCCAGAAATAAGCACTGTTAATATTTTGGCTTAGAACCTTCCAGATCTTCCGCTATGCGTGGCATATTTTCTTTGTAACCTCTCATCAGCCTTGGATTAATCTGTCTCCATATCCTAGACCGGGGCATCTGAGCCCTGGGGGACAGAAGGCTCACAGCTCACACAATATTAAGTTAGTTTTAAAACACAGTAGGCCCCTCACCCCTGCTCACAATTTTTAAAAAAGATCTCTAGTTAGCCCTTTTTCATTCCTCCCCCCACTATTTCAAAGCTTAAACCATTCTCCCTATCTCACCTCCTATTTCAGAGAAAATATAGACCATCAAGCATGACTCTCTTACTTTCTTCTCTTCCGCTTTTAAATCTGCAGTTTCTTTTCTTCCCCTCTGTTATAGTTGAAAACCTATCTCTTACTCCGTCTAAGGTCCATGCTGCTCCTTCAAAAAAAAAAAAAAAAAAATTACAAGCCTGGTGCAGTGGCTCACGGCTGTAATCCCAGCACTTTGAGAGGCTGAGGTGGGTAGATCACTTGAGGTCAGGAGTTCGAAACCAGCCTGGCCAACATGATGAAACCCTGTCTCTACTAAAAATACAAAAAAATATTAGCCAGGTGTGGTGGCAGGTGCCTGTAATCCCAGCTACTTGGGAGGCTGAGGCAGGAGAATTGCTTGAACCTGGGAGGCGGAGGTTGCAGTGAGCCAAGATTGCAGCAACCGCACTCCAGCCTGGGCGACAGAGTGAGACTCTGTCTCAAAAAAAAAAAAAAAAAAATTACAACTTTTCTCTGGTTTTGTAATTAATCATATCCATATTGAAAATGTTAGGAAATATGAAAGACACAAAGAAGAAAATAAAAATCACATGTAACTCAAACATTAAGAGACAATTACTGCTGGCATTGTAGATTCTTTGTTTTTTCCACACATGATTGTGTGTCTCTGCACATTAAATAAGTATTTTTACACAATTGAAATTATTCCGCACATGCTATCTCATAAATCTCTTTTTCCCTCTTACAATAGATCATAAATATTTTTGCATGACTACAAATATTCTACACTGAGATTTTAAGATGATTTTTTAGGTTAAAAATAACTTTTTCCTTATTTTAAAAGCAGTGTATGCTTATTGTGAAACCATTAGACTTTTGTTAAAAGGGAGAAAAACTTAAATACTTATCATCTTACCTCTGAGATATGATGAGCTGACATAATTTTTATATAAATTTAATAAAAATAAGTTCAGTCAGATATCATTCTATATCATTTGTGATATGCAAATATTTCATTTAATCCTCATGACACGCTAGGTAGTTGTAATTATTATGATAATCCCCACTTTCTAGATGAGGAAACTGAGGCCTAAGGAATTTAAGTAATCTGTTTGAAGTTTTTAAGCGGTAGAGGTGGGCTATGGACCTAGGCAGTCTGCCGCAGAGGCTGGAGTTTTAATAACTCATCTGTACAGCTCTCAATTTATAGGGAACGTCTTTCCACATCAATAAATCTTGCTCTCTGTGCCTTGCTTGCAAATATCTACTCTAGCTCAGAATCAGATAAACATTGTTTTGTTTTCTTGTAGTTCTTTTAAGATTTTCTCTTTCGATTACCAGTTGCACGTAGAATTACTTTTGTTTTTGCTGTGGGTGGATTCTCACTTCAGGTTTTTTCCAAATGGTTAACAAATGATCCAAGTTTTATTTATTGAACAACCTATCGTTTCTCCACCAACTTAAACTGTTATCTTTGTTTCTGCCTCTGTCTTCTCTTGACTTCTCTGAAAACTTATTTCATCTATTATCCACCATTTCTCCTGGATCTTGAAAATATGAGGTAGCTTTGAATTATTGGTACATTTGCTTAATTAATTGATTGATGTATTATTCATTAAGTAGCATTTATAAAGGATGCAACAGGAAGATTTTTAAAAATCTCTCTTGGGACTCACTGTCTAAAGACGTGTAACGACTCTTTTTAAGAAACACTTAAGTTGTACTTACAATGTGCCAGTCACTGTTCTTGGTGATTTACAAATATTATCTTATTTAATCCTCATAGCAAGACTATGATATAGGTACTATTTATATCCCCACTTTTCATATGAGGCAATAAAGCATCAAGAGGTTAAGTAACTTGTCCAAAGTTACATAGCTGGTAAATGGGTGGCTGGGAAAAGTTAACTGGCAATTCCAATGTTATGCAATGAGTGTCATTATCATAGGGGAAATATAGGGTTCTGTGGGCTCTTAGTAAGGGCATTTGATAGAGCCATGGGAGTCAGGAAAGACTTTTGGAGGGAGTGATGGCCAAATGATTCCTAAAGAATGAGAAGGAGGGTCGGGTGCAGTGGCTCACGCCTGTAATCCCAACACTATGGGAGGCCGAGGCAGGTGGATCACGAGGTCAGGAGATCGAGACCATCCTGGCTAACATGATGAAACCCCGTCTCCACTGAAAAATACAAAAAAATTAGCTGGGCATGGTGGCAGGCGCCTGTAGTCCCAGCTACTTGGGAGGCTGAGGCAGGAAAATGGAGTGAACCTAGGAGGCAGAGCTTGCGGTGAGCTGAGATCGTGCCACTGCACTCCAGCCTGGGCGACAGAGCGAAGACTCCGTCTCAAAAAACAAAAAAGCAAAAACAAATAAACAATTACACTTAAAAAATTACAAATCCTTCTGATAACACTGTTGGTGGTATTGTAAACTGGATCAGTCTTTCTTGAGTGTATGATGGTGACAAGTAACATACTCTTAATAGTTTGATCTAGTAATGTCTTTTGAAAAATAACTTAAGGATATAATCTAAGAGAACAAAAAATATACACAAAGATGTGTTATTTAGGCAAAAATGGAAAAATATCCGAATGCCTAAGAATCAGAGAATGAATTTTAAAAAGCTATGTTTTGCAATGAAACACTATAGAACACTAAATAATAACTATGGTTATTATAG
The DNA here is from genome assembly GCF_000001405.40 of Homo sapiens. Classification (NCBI taxonomy): domain Eukaryota; kingdom Metazoa; phylum Chordata; class Mammalia; order Primates; family Hominidae; genus Homo; species Homo sapiens. Next base: position 24,958,210 of record NC_000006.12, read on the forward strand.
TGTAGTATGGTCATATGTACAAATGCATCTACTAAATAATGTTGACATGTGCAAAGCAGAATTTGCATATGCACCTTAATTGAAAATGATCTAAGGAAGGATGGATTCTGATACTCAAAATTAATTTAACACAATATTAATATCCATTAGATCTATTTTTAGCCTTCTCACAAAGGCAACCTAAATTTAAAATGGAAGTTAAAATAAACCTCTCTGAAAATCAAAATAAACACATTTCTATTTCTTCAACACATTTTTTACTTAGTTACTTCCCAGCGCATTAACTCCTTATTTTAGCATGAGAGGGGGAGAATAAACACTTAGAAGAAATGAAAGATTTCTTAGAATTTTGCTATTAAAATTAATTATTATTCCTGAGACGTATAATCAACACCCAATGATGTGTTATCTCTTTGATGTTTGATGAGCTACACTGGAAACATGTCTGCCTATAATTTGGGGTGAGAAACAGAGTGAACTTTCACTCTTGGGTATACGATGGTTTATTCATTTTCTAGGACTGTTGTAACAAAGTACCACAAACTGGGTGGCTGAAACCAATAGAAATTTATTGTCTCACAGTTCTGGAGGCTGGAGGTCTGGAATCACGGTGTGAGGAGGGTGGGGGTCATCCAAGGACTCTGAGAGAAAATCCCTTCCATGCCTCCTCTGTCTTAGCTTCTGGAAATGGCCGTCAATCCTTGGTGTTCCTTGGTTTGTAGATGCACCACTCCAAGCTCTACATTTTCTTTTTTTTTTGGAGACAGGGTCTCACCCTGTCGCCCAGGCTGGAGTGGAGTGGCCAATCATAGCTCACTGCAGCCTTGAACTCCTGAGCTCAAGCCATCCTCCAGCTTTGATCTTACAAACTTCTGGGATTACAGGCATGAGCCACTGCACGTGGCCCTTCTGCTTCCATCTTCACATGGCATTCTCCCTGCATCTCTGTGTCTTCTTAGGGGCCCACCCTATTCCTGTATAATTTCATTTTAACTAATTACATCTGCAATGATCCTGTTTCCAAAGGAAGTCACATTCTGAGGTACCAAAGGTTAGGACTTCAACATATCTTTTTATGGGGACAAAATTCAACTCATAACTGGTAGCCTTGGAGTTAATGTAATTAATGCACTGTTTCATTTCAGAATTTTCTGAGAGCAAAATCTGTGATGTCCATGACAGGTCCTAGGAGGATCCACACAGGAAAAGGGCTGGTAATGGAGGAATGGTCTCATGAAAGTAGGAAAGATTGCTTTAATAGACTGCTGACCTTTTTTCCCAGGAGGGTGGCCTCACTTCTGGTTAACCACGGATGTAGTGCTGAAACCCAATGGGTAAAGACAGCTGCAGGCTGTTGTGGGGACTCTCTCTCTCCTTGATTTTATATTTCCACATGGAGGAACACACATTAGATAAATGCTTCTGTCCTCATCACTCCCTCATTCATCCTCCTCAGCTAAAAGCAAACTAACTGCTTGGTAAATTTTGGAAGAAGGCCATGAGCATACCCCAATTAGCCTTTTTCTCTCCTCTTTGTAACCAACTGCCGGCATGTCCTCTGTTTCTCCACACACTAAACTGTATTGGGGCAAAACTCCACGGGGAAGGTCTGTGGCTGTCTTGTGCTGCTTATGACTTGGTGGGAAACAAACACTAATTCTGGGGGGTCAATGTTATGCCACCTTTTGGCCAACAGACCTAAGCCACACTCTCCAACCTGGTTTTTATCTACATTAAAAATGTGTCTAAATTTCCTATAACACAGGTGATGTTTTAATTTTCTTTTGTTTACCTCCTTCTCTAAGTCTAAACGTGTTACAAGTTCAGGGAGAAAAAAGGTTGTCCCTCTAGGCATTCTTGGACCTCCAGAAGAGAATACAGTTAGTTCATTTTTAGTTACTTCCTCTACACTGTAAAAACCAGGTATGGAACAGACACCAAAAAGGGTATGGAGGATGCATGTTGTTGTCTGTTTGTATTGCTACAACAAAATCCTGAGACTGGGTAATTTATAAATTATAGAAATGTACTTCTCACAGTTCTGGAGGCTGGGAAGTCCAAGGTCAAGGCACCAGCAGTTTAGGTGTCTGCTGAGGGCCTGGTCTCTGCTTCCAAGATGGCGCCTTCAATGCTGTGTCCTCACATGGAGAAGGGATGGAAGGGCCTAGGCTAATTCTCTCCAGCCCTTTTATAAGGCACTAGTCTCATCCATGAGTATCCAGCCCTCATGGTCTAATCACCTAATCACTACCTAAAGGCCCCACTTCCTAACACTGCTGCACTGGGGATTGAGCTTCAACATAAGTTTTGAATTTTTTGTTTGTTTGTTTTTTTGAGACCAGGTCTCACTCTGTCACCCAGGCTGGAGAGCAGTGGTGCAATCTCAGCTCACTGCAGCCTTGACCTCCCCTGGTGCAGTTGATCCTCCCACCTCAGCCTCCCCAGCAGCTGAGACTACAGGCATGCACCTGTAGTGCACCTGGCTAATTTTTCCATTTTTTGTAGAGATGGGGTTTCTCCATGTTGCCCAGGCTCATCTCAAACTCCCAGGCTCAAGTGATCCACCTGCCTTGGCCTCCCAAAGTGCTAGATTTACAGGCATGAGCCACTGTGCCTGGCCTCAACACGAATTTTGGAGAGGACACAAACCTTCCAACCACAGCACATGTTATTAACCTCCAGCCCCCAAGACTCTCCCCAGTCATACGAGTGAGGGGTGGAATGTGCTACAGCAGAAAAACGGGTGTTGGTGGAAATCAAGGGATACTTTGTCCATTTCTAGCTGCTTTTGCTCCTACTTATCACTGAGCAACAATTTGAGGAGAGTCGGCTCTGGGCAAGGTGCCATGCTGGACCCCGCTGAGAACACAAAGAACCATAAGGCAAACACCACCATCCTCAGTAAATTTACAGTCTTGTTGGCAAAACAAGCCACATAAAAAAGACAAGTTATGATACAAGACAGGATATGACCAGTGCCAGTGAGTTTTATAGGCTGTTAAAGTGCCATAAATATTAAGAAGAGGAAGAGAACACTGTGGAACAGTTTGAACTGATAAGACATCGGGGGGATACTTGTTGGAGAAGGGAGTATTCCAGGTTGGGGGAACATTGTGTGAAAAGGGACTGGTGCTAGCATGTTCAAGATATTTTAGTAAACAATTTGAGCAACACCTAAGAAGTCCCTAGCTTGTGAAAAGCCAGGGGTTGATGCATACAGTGTAATATGGTGCTCCTTGGGTGGCTCTGAAGTCAAACATGTAGCCTGGAATTCTGTGCTCTGGGGCAAGTCACTTAACCTCTCCAAGCCTCACTTTCCTTGTATATGGGGTGGCTGCTGTCATAGGCAGTAAGGATAAAGCAATAAGTAAGAAAATCCCTATTTATTTTGTGCTTACTTTGGGGTACAGTTGTTATTCTAAGCTTTTTTTTTTTTTTGAGACAGTCTCGCTCTGTCACCCAGGCTGGAGTGCAGTGGCACAATCTAAGCTCACAACCTCTGCCTCCCAGGTTCAAGTGATGCTCCTACCTCAGCCTCCCTGAGTAGCTGGGATTACAGGCACCTGCCACCATGCCTGGCTAATTTTTTGTATTTTTAGTAGAGATGGGGTTTTCCCATGTTGGTCAGGCTGGTCTCAAACTCCTGACCTCAGGTAATCTGCCCGTCTTGGCCTCCCAAAGTGCTGGGATTATAAGCATGAGCCACCGCACCTCGCCTATTCTAAGCATTTTTTAAATGCTAGCCTGAGGCAGGTACTTTTATTACCCTCATTACACATGTGAAGAAAGTATGGTCCAGAGAGGCTAAGCACCTCACTCTAAGTCTCCCAGCCAGCAAGAAGCAGCAGCCAAATGCATACTCAGGCAGTCTGGCGCCAGAACCCATGCTTTCAACCATTGTGCTAACTAGCTGTAAGGTGGTGGGTTTGTGAAGGGATGTTGCAGTGGGAGATATGATTGTATAGGGTACAGATGACCTTGACCACCAGATTAAGAAAAGTAAGAATATCTGGCAACTGAGATTCTTTTCGATTTACTGCTTTGCTGCTTGAACAAGTTGTTTGGACTTAAAATTACAGGTTTTGGGTGGCCATGCAAGGCCTTACAGAAGAGATAAGTAAAAAGCTATTTTAGGAAGATTATTCTTCCTGTGACATAAATTATGGTTTGGGGAGGAGAGAGTTTGGAGGTCGGGGAGAATAATTAGAAGGCAATAATAAAGCTTGCATCTAGAGCAGGTGCATTGGGAATGTAAACGGAGAGATGAGTTTAAAAGACACTACTATGAGAAGAATATTCACTCCATTAAAGAATGTTTAATCTACTAGTCTATCCTTGTATTTAATGCCATGGATATATCATCTTTTTATTTGGTTTTCATGGTAACATGTATTGTCTAGGAGAGGTGGGATAAAAGAAACTTCATGGTTTTTTTTTAGTATGGTAAGGTTTGAGCTTTTAGCCACTTAATAGCATTTGAAAATGAGCTACATTACAGCAAAAAGGAGATTGTACACTGATATACATAAAAAGGTGACAAAATTCATCCTGGCTTCCTTAGTCTTGTGAAAATCTCTTTGAAGAATGGCATACATCTGTTCAAATTCTCTAGAAGTATTGTTGGAGAGTGAATTTGCTTGAGGTCTCCACTTGGGATTCAGTGATTGGAAGTGGAAAAATGAATGACTCAAGGTATCTTTGTTGATGGAGGCCAGGCTAGGGAGAATCAAAACTGCAAATCCCACCGGAGCAGGGTTCTCTAGTTCTCCTGTGTCTATCCCTTTCTTTGATTGGCTACGCAAACCACAGCAGAGAATGCATGTGTTTTTTTGTTTTTGTTTTTTTGAGACAGAGTTTCGCTATTGTCTCCCAGGCTGGAATACAATGGCGCAATCTTGGCTCACTGCAACCTCCATCTCCTGGGTTCAAGCGATTCTCCAGCCTCTGGAGTAGCTGGGGTTTCAGGCGCCCACCACCACACCCAGCTAATTTTTTGTAATTTTAGCAGAGACGGGGTTTCACCATGTTGGCCAGGCTGGTTTCAAACTCCTGACCTTCAGTGATCCACCAGCCTCGGCCTCCCAAAGTGCTGGGATTACAGGCATGAGTCACCATGCCTGGTCGCATGTGTTTACCCCACTTTTTGAACCCCTACAAAGAGGTTTGCATTTGGCAAATAATCCACACCTAGAAGAGGAAAAGCTAGTGCTCACTCTTTTTATAAAAATGTTGACATAGTCTTAAATCTCTAGATGATACCTAAGAACAAGTGTAAAATAATAGAATAGAACAAATGGTATATATGTAGCTCTTCATGAAATGGACACATATATGTACATAAGTACACATATATACATATACACCAATATGTACATATTAATATGTAAGGCATTTTTCTGGGAAGACAAGGATAAAAAAAGATCTCTCATGGAATTTGCATTGTTAAGAGAAAAAGCAAGCTGCAGAAAAGTTATGTATAGCACAATTCTATTTCAGTTTTTAAAAAAGGTGTACGTATGTTTGTGCATGCATGTGAATGTGTGTGTGTGTGTATTTGTCCTCCTTGGCATTCGCTTAGCCTTTGGGTAAAAATACGTGTCTTTGATCTTGTTGTGGAAAATTCTCATACCTTATGTTTTCTTTTTCTAACTTTTCTTTTGAAATAATTGTAGATTCACAGGACATTGCAAAAATAGTACAAAGAGGTCCCATGTACCCTTCACTCTGTTTTTTGAGACAGGTTCTCTCAGGCTGGTCTCGAATTCCTGGACTAAAGCGATCCTCCCCTCCTCCTGCCTCCGCCTTCCATGTAGCTAGGACTATAGGTGCTCACCACCACCTGGCTCTAATGGTTACTTTTTACATAACTTTAGTGCAGTATCAAAACCAGGAAATTGACATTGGTGCAGTATCAAAACAAGGAAATTGACATTGGCTCTGTGTGTGTGTGTGTGTGTGTGTGTGTGTGTGTTTCTTTGCCATTTCACCAGATGCGTAGGTCCCTGTAACTACCATCACAATTGAGATGGAGAATTGTTCCATCGCTACAGAGCTCTCCCTCATGCTACCCCTGTATAGTCACACATACTACCCTCCCATCACTGTCCTTAATCCCTGGCAACTCCTAACCTGTTATAAGACATTTTACAATGTTTGCAAATGTATAATTGAACCCATACAACCTGTGTCCTTTTGAGATTGGCTTTTTTCCCTCAGCATGTTGACCTCAAGGTCCATTCAAGTTGCCGTGTGTATCAATAGTTCCCTCCTTTTTATTGCTGAGTATATTGTATGGCTGGATATATACCATAGTTTGTTTAGCAATTCCCCTACTGGGAGACATTTTGGTTGTTTCCATTTCTTGACTATTGGAAATAATACTACATGGACATTTGTGTACAGGTTTTTGTGTGGATGTAAATGTTAATTTCTGTATCATAAGGCTGAGGAGTGCTGATGTACCATATGGTAAGTGAATGCTTACTTTTTTGAGGAAATGCCAAACTAATTTCCCAAGTGGATATACCATTTTATACCCCCACCAGCAATGTATGAAATATCCAGTTTCTTCACATACTCACCTGCATTTGGTATTGTCAGTATTTTTTATTTTACTTGTTCTAGTAGATGTGTATTGATATTTCATCTTGGTCTTAATTTGCATTTTCCTAATAACTAGTGATATTGAACATCTTTTTATGTACTTATTTGCCATCTGTATTTCTTTTTGGTGAAGTACCTGTTTAAATTTTTGCTCATTTTTGAATTGGGTTTTTACGTTCTTATTTCTAAGATTTGAGAGTTCTTTATATATTTTGGATATTGTCTTTGCTCTGTCATCTTTTATTTTTTACTCTATCTTCCATATCTTTTAACCTTTCTTTCAATTTTCCATTTCTTTGTCTCTCTGAGCTACATTTTTTTATTTTTTATTTTTTTTATTTTATTTTTGGGAGACAGGGTCTTGCTCTGTTGCCCAGGCTAGAGCACAGTGGTACAATTACTGCAGCCTCCACCTCCCAAGCTCAAGAGATCCTCCCACCACAGCTTCATGAGTAGCTAGGACTACAGGTGCACACTACTACACTCAACAAACTTTTGTACTTTTTATAGAAACAGGGTTTCACCATGTTGCCCAGGCTGGTCTTGAACTCCTGGCCTCAAACAATCCTCTCACCTCTGCCTCCCAAAGTGCTGGGATTATAGGCATGAGCCACCACACCTGGCAAAGTTTTAATTCTGTTACTTTATTTTTCATTTCCAGAAGTACTACTTCATTCTTTTTGAAGTTTGCTTGTTTGTTTTATATAGTTCTTGGTTTCCTGCACATATTTTCAAACTTGCGTATTTCTTTAAACATATTAAACATGACCATCTTATAGTCTGTGTCTGATAATTTAATTACATGATGCCTGAAGTCTTTGTGGGTCTTTCCCGACTACACATAGTTTCTTTTACAATTGTTTGCAGATCAATGATTTTTTTAAAAAACATTTTATCGGAAATAAAATCTAGAAAAAGAAAAGCTATACACAAAACAAATGTGTAGCTAATGAATTATTATAATGAAAACACTATTTTTATTTACACCTAAGTCTAGAAATTGAATTTCAAGAGCCATTGTATAGGCCCTTCCATGTGCTCCATCTCAGTAACTTTCAAACGTACTCATCACATGGTAGATACAACTATGGACAAATTTGTTTCTTCTGTATTGCAAGAGTTTCAAACTCTAATTTGGAGGATCTCAGATGATCACAACACAATGAACTGAGGACTCTGAAACATGTACAAAACCAACTGCAGCAGGGAATTAAATGATTGCTTTATTAGAAAAACAGAATGAGATTGGGTGAAAAGCATGAAAGAGGATATATAATCTTTTTCCTCCTTTGGCTCTGGTACAATTTCTTCTCTTTAGCTATAGAGAAGGAACAGAAGCTGTGGACCATGCTTCCCATCTGAGCCTGTCCTCACTTTATGAAGCTTAAAGATCTCAACCTGTAACCCCAGAAGCATCAACCAGCACATACATCAGATGGACAGATTACCATCAAGCTCTCTGCAGAAGCACAGAATGCATCTCATAAAGCTTCTTAGATAACTATGGCTATCACTAGATATTTTACTATCATAATACATAATTTTCATGGAATAGTATTGTGTTTCATCATTCTTATTAATATGATATTAAGTTTACAAAATTACCTAGCCTCCCTCCCCAAAATGTTTTCTTTAATACTGCGTTTTTGATTCCTATATCAGACAGCTGGGATGCCACGTGTTGGGTCCCTGCCGAGTCGGGAAATTATACACTTGAGGATTATGAAATTGGGCTTGATTGATTTAATCACTGTAATCATTGGCATTGTGCAGATATGCAACCAGGAGGTTTTCATTCCAACAATTATGCATGATGAAGTCATGTTATGTGGGAGGCTCATCCTTGTGTTTATTTCTGTCTAAATGGGAAGGACAATGGAGAGTGAGGCATGATCCAAGGTACAGCACTGCCATGTGAACCCACATTAGCAGCCAGGGGGAGAATAAGGACAGGTGATGAGCTTAGTGAAGTCTCTGTGCTGTACTTGACCATGCAAAGAATTTGTATCTAATTAAATATATATTTATGCTATTATCCTTCGAAGAGGATTAAAAGGCAGAGTATCCGCTATATGATAAGAACTCCATAGATATTAGTTTCTTTCTTTATGGCAAGTCCTTCAAGGTGGTCTCAGGAGCTGTACAGAGGTGAAGCTACTTCAAATCAACCACTTTCTTTCAATATCCTGGAGGCAGTGCGGACACGGACAGAATGTCTTCCCCCTACTTGGTTCTACAGATTTATTTGAGTTACTGACCAAAGGAGTGTCTCCCCATTGGGAACTGGTACATAATTAGAAGGGCTAGTGAGTCAATCTTTGAAGAAGGCTTTGAAGAAAGCTAACAGAGCCTAAACCATTCTTATCATTATGGAACCTCAGAACTCTGTCTTGGGAAGGAGCATGTCATGGCTTGAGAAATCATGTGAGCTCATTTTCACAGGACTCTGGGCATGTGAATTTGAAGGAGACTATGTGGATGTGTGGAACTGGTGAATAAGAAGAAGCATGTTGGGGGAAGTTTGGTCCAAGATATTGTCCAAGTACAGTATAAAGGATAAAGATGTGTTATCTACTGCCACCATGCACAGAATCACAGTATGGTGGAAGGAAGCAGGGCCTTGGTACCATCTGTTCCAATCTCTTCATTTCGTTGATGAGGAAATTGAGAGCTGGCAAGGGTGATCAAGATCACACAGCTGGTGAGAAGCCAAGAGGTCCCTGCAACTCAGGCCTTCTGACATGCCCTGGGTGCATTTCCCATATGACTGTACCTGAGAAATCCAAGGATCTGTTTATAACATATAATTGGTCCCTCTCCTAACCAGCATAAAGCTTCCATTAGGGCAGAAGTTACAGGATGAATTAAAGAATATATTAGTTGTTTTCCTGTGTAATAATACATGATCTAATTTAATCCTCAAAATAGCCTTGAAAGATAGGCATTCTCATTATTTTCCTTTGTGGATGAGGAAACTGAGGTGTAAGAAAAGTTATATGACTTACAGACTAAGTATCTGGGACTTGAGTTGTGATCAGAGCCCAGGTCTTCAGACCTGAGACCATGGACCACCTGTCTTGGCTGCAAGATCTCAATCTTTTTTTTTTTTTTTTTTTTTTAGATGGAGTCTCGCTCTGTCACCCAGGCTGGAGTGTAGTGGCGTGATCTCAGCTCACTGCAACCTCCGCCTCCCAGGTTTGAATGATTCTTCTGCCTCAGCCTCCCAAGTAGCTGGGATTACAGGCACGTGTCACCACACCTGGCTCTATTTTTAATAGAGATGGGGTGTCCCCATGTTGGCCAGGCTGGTCTCAAACTCCTGACCTCAGATGATCTGCCCGCCTCAGCCTCCGAAAGTGCTGAGATTACAGGCATGAGCCACTGCACCCAGCCAAGACACCAATCTTATATGCAGTTAACTTTTATATGTTGCACTTTGACCTCTCGATACCATCTTTCAAATGAGGGCCTTGACTGCCTTTCCTCTATCTGACAATGATTTGAGATATTGCTGCCATTAAGAGGTCAGAGAGGACCCCTCCACTTCTGGAAGCACCTTTGGGGTATTTTCTACATTCACTCCTGCTGGTGTCACTCCCTGCTGAGTGGACGCCCCGTGTATACCCAGTCTCCAGTTGGACCACCTGTGGATTAGAACTTGAGTCTGCAACTAATCCTGTGCTTTCCACTAACCAGCGGTTCTTAGCTGGGACAACCTTGCTCCCCAGGGGACATCTGGCAATGTCTGGAGGCAATTGTCAAAAATTGCAGAGGGGGATGATGAGAGGTTGCCACTGGCATCTAATAGGTAGAGGCCAAGGATGCTGCTAAACAGTATCTGGACTAGGATGAGGGATTTTAGGAGGGCACATTCAGAATCACGCACATGCCAAGCCTACACTTGCAGGACCCTGAGAGTGAGTCATTCCTTAAATTCTGTGCCCTAGCATCTTCCTGGCCTCACTTCAGTCCCTGGCCTGCTGCTGCTAAATGTCCTACAATGCACAGTACAGTCTTCAGCACCAAAGAATTATGCAGCCCAAACTGTCAATAGAAACCCTGCGTGACATCATGTTGCTGGTTGCCTGACCTATACTGAACTGGCTACACCTTTCAGAGGCAGTGCCTGTGACTCCTGGCTGCCTCTGTAGGTGGCCCGTTTAATCACCTCATTTGCTTTTCCCTTTTTTCATGACTTTCAACCACCTTCCCATCATTAGACAAGCGATATAAAGTGCTTGTGAAAAAGCCCTTAGGTATTCTAGGGCAGTGGTTCTTAAAGTTTAGCTTGCATCAGAATCACCTCGAGGTCTTGTTAAACCACAGATCTTTGCGCCCCACCCAGTAGTCCTGGGAGGAGGCCTGGGAATTTGCATTTTGTATGTGCTCTGGGGTGATGCCGTTACTGTTATTCCAGGTGAGAACCACCGATTTGGGACTCGCTATTCAGAGTGGTCCAAGGAACAGCAATATCTGATCACCTGGTAAACTTAGAAATGCAGACTCTCAGGCCCATTCCTGTTGAGCCACTGTGGGTGAGAATCAGAATTTGCCATTTAACAAGATCCTGGGGTGATTCACGTGCAGGTTAAATTTTAGGGAGCTGGGATCTAAAACAGTAGTTCTCCATTCTGGTTGCATATTCTAGTGAATAACCCAAAGAAGCTCTTTGACATACTGAGTTGAATAACTTTTTACTCACTTATTTTCACAGTGTGGGCCACTTGTTGGAGTGGGGTGTGAGGCCCCAATGTGCAAACTTGAATTGTTGAGGGGCCCTCTAAGCCACTAGGCTGTCATTTAAGGTCGATGAGCCCTAGTGACCAGTAGCAGAATGGGTTTTGCTGATAAGGCTCTTTTTGATTGGCCCTGCTCCCACTCCAACTTCACTTCCCTCCACTCTCCCCTTCACTTGTGGGGCCAGCCATACAGCCACTGCCCTGCCCCTTACTGTACCCCCAACTTGCTGAGCTCACAAGCCTCAGGTCCTTTATGCTTCATGCTCACCTTTCCTGATCCTAACCTGGCTGGCACCTTGTTGACATTTCAGTCTCTACCAGATGCCGCCTCCTAAAGAACTTCCCAGAGCCAACAGAGACCTTGTCTGTTCACTGCTGTCTCCCCAGTGCCTAGAACTGTGCTGCACATGGTAGCTGTTCAATAAATATTTGTTGAATAAACAAAATAAATGAGTCTGGGGATAGCTAAGGGGGAGTGGAATTAAAATGTTCTTTATAGAAGAGGCAAGAGGACTCTGAAGTTCCTGGATGGGAAGCCTGGGAAAGGGAAGGAAAGAGACCTTCAGGGCTGAGCACCTCATGGAAGTTGGAGGGGGAAAGAAAGGGGACGAAAAAAAAAGGACCAATTGTCAGAGCACGTGGGACCATGACAAACAGAGACATCTGGTTCAGATGTTCACCATGTGAGGTATGTGGTGTTATGAATCCCTTACTCCTTCTCCCCTACAAAGTCTTCAATAAGCCTCTATACCACCCAATGATAATTTTTGTGAGGTGAGCGGAGGCAGTAGAGGATTATTTAGGGAAACTCAAAGAGGTCTTGAATTCTGCATACAGGTTGGCACAGGGCTGAAAATAGAAGAGACAGGTTTTACAAAGCAAGAGCAAGAACAGGGGAGGGTGGATAGCTAAGGGACTTTTCAAATTCAAATTCCTGCACCTTCTCTGACTCCAGGCCTACTGAACTGGACCCTCCTCAGGAGGAACCCGAGAATACGGTGAACTAAAAGCTGTCTTGGTAATCTGTGGGGAACCCTGGGTCAATCAGTTTATAGCCTCCGGGTTCACATGAATGACATCCTAATGTATTAAGAGTAGGGAGAAGAGAGACTGTTGAGCCCTTGTGAGTGTGTATTTAAGGAACTGCGGGGTGGGGAAAGGGTCAGAGATTCTGAAACCAGGGAAATATCATGCTGATTTTCAATAAAAGGCAAAATTAAAAAGTGAGATTTCCATGGAGTTTATGTTGCCATTGTGTAGTGGTAGGAGTCTGCACTCTGTAGTCAGACGGCCTGGCTTTGAATTCTGGAGTCACTAGCAAGCGGCTATGAGACATTGCACAAATTTTTTTAACATCTCTAAGCTCCAGTTTCCCCATCTGAAAGTGGGGATGACAACAGTACTCACCTCTTTGTGCTAGTGACAGAAATAAATGAGATAATCATCATGTAAAGCACTGAAATCGTGCCTGGAACATGGTCAAGCCTAGTTATGACAGTATTTTTATTATTGTGGCAGTTGAACAAGGTATTAAAAGTGGACTACTAAAGGGATGCTTCATAGGGACTTAGAAGAGGAAGCAAAAAACTACCAGCAAGAGTGGCAGTCACCATAATTAATAGCAGTTGTGGCTGACTCCTTCCATTCAGAATGGACACTGGCCATAGCACAGCATGGGTTTATGGGCAACAAGGCAGCCTGCCATCATTGCCTTACTGCCAAGAAGACTTCGATCAGGGAGATCAGGGTGACATGTTGTCTCTGGATTTAGCAAGTCATTGACAAGCACTTTTAGGATATCCCATAGACATGGAGACACATGTGCTGGATATAGGGATACAGGAATGATTTGAGCAGGTTGTGATTAACTAGCTGAATGCCAACCTGGCAGGAGTGCTCTCGCAGCCTGTTATGGCTCTTTTCTATCACTGGTCCTTTCAAAATGTTGACTGATAGTTCAGGATGGGTGCTTTGCAAATTTATTTTTGGCACCAATATTTTTCTTTCTTCCTATGCGTGGTTAATAGAAAGCCCAGGATACAAAACAGATGAAAGATCTGTTCTGACTAAATGATTTGATGACATTGAGGAGGGTTCCCCTCATTTCCTGAAGCAGCTATGAACATTTAGGGCTCTGTGTCTTGAAAACTTTGGAGCTAGATGGAACCATGAAGGCAGATCCCAACGCCGGCAGGCAGTGACTTGTTGAGCCTTGAGCACTGAACTCCAAATCCCAGGAGGAAATGAGGTCCATTACTTGATAACTTGGCTTTGAAAATCAGCAAATATAGTTATGACTTTGAGCAAGTTTAATGAGTCTTGCCAAGTGTCAAATTCTTCAACTATAAAATGAGGAGAGTAATTGTACCTACTTCATAGAGTATTTGTGCAAATCAAAATGGAATAATGAATATAGAGCTTTCGACATATTATTATTATTATCATCAATAAGGGGCAAAAAAGTGAGATTTCCATGGAGTTTATGTTGCCACTGTGTAGTGGTAGGACAGCTACACAATTATCTTTACTTGATAGAACCAAAACGTTTCTATCCTTTAATTGCCTTTACTTGATCGAACCAAATTCAGCAAGATGGCATGTAACAGGGTAAAGAAAAAAATTTATATTTGAATCTTACAAAGATATGCAGAAATATAGATATGGAATTTGTTAGCAGTCTATGGAGAAAAAAATGTAGGCAGTTTAGGTAACAGTGAAACTCAATGTAAAAGTCAACCATATGTAGTCAGCAACAACAACAAAACAGGGCTAAATGCAATCTTAACCTGCATAACTTAGAACATTTCCATTTTTCCTGCTCCTGGTCAGTTCACATCCCTCATCTCAGGACTCACACTACAGGGAACTGAGAGATTGGACCATTCAGAGGAGGCTGGTGAAGGCCCGGACAGAAACCATTACGTTAGAAGAACAGTTGCAGGCATTATGACATTTACCCTGAAGAAGAGAGGTCTCAGAGGAGGGTAATACAACAGAGGTTTTCAGATATGTGGGTAGGCTTCAGGGGTTTTATGATGTCTCAAAGGGATATTATAATGCCTCATGGAGTGAAACTAGGAGGTGGAAGCTTCAGAGAGGTAGATTTAAGCTCTATATAACAAATAACTCTCCAGGAATAAAGTTATTTGTCCAGCATTACAATGACTGCCTTGGGAGGTAATAAATTCCCTGTCACTGGATGTGTGTATAATTTGGCAGCATATGTTATGGAAGGAACTCACAGGTGGTTAAGTCTGGACAAATTTTAGAAGCTTTTTCACCCTTGAAAAATCTGTTTTACTAATAAATTATGAAATGCTGAGTAATGACTTTATTTTATGGGTGGAGACAGGGATAGAATTTCTTTATAGAAAACGTCTGTTAATGTGAATCTTGGATCTGTAGCCATGCTGGAGATGGGCTTGCTCCACTGCTGAGGGACATACGTGCATCCCAGCTCTTTTAATTATCTATGGCACAAATTTGAAAATAAAGTAATGAAAGGAGAGGAAGGAAGGAAAGAAGAGAGGGAAAAAGAAAGCATCTATTAACATATATTCATTTGATCTGAATAAACATTTCTCCAAAAAACATATTTAAATAGTCAATTAGCTGCAGAGAATAGGGAATGCTTATACACTGTTGGTGGGAATGTAAATTAGTTTTGCCACTATAGAAAGCAGTCTGAAGATTCTCAAAGAATGTAGAACAACATTCGACCCAGCAATCTCATTACTGGGTATATATCCAAAAGAACATCATCCTTCTAGGCTGGGCTTGGTGGCTTATGCCTGTAATCCCAGCACTTTGGGAGGCTGAGGCGGGTGGATCACAAGGTCAGGAGATCAAGACCATCCTGGCCAACATGGTGAAACCCCCGTTTCTACTAAAAATACAAAAAAAAATTAGATGGGTGTGGTGGCGTGCGTCTGCTACTTGGGAGGCTGAGGCAGGAGAATAGCTTGAACCTGGAAGGCAGAGATTGCAGGGAGCTGAGATCACACCACTGCACTCTAGCCTAGTGACAGAGTGAGACTGCATCTCAAAAAAAAAAAAAAAAGTCATCCTTCTACCAAAAAGACATATGCACTCACATGTTCATCACAGCACCATTCACAATAGCAAAGACATGGAATCAATCTAGGTGCCCATCAATGGTGGACTGAATAAAGAAAATATGGTATATATACACCATGGAATACAATGCAGCCACAAAAAAAGAATTAAATCATGTCCTTAGCAGCAACATGGATGCAGCTGGAGGTCATTATCCTAAGTGAATTAATGTAGGAACAGAAAACCAAATACCACATATTCTTACTTATAAGTGGGAGCTAAATCTTGGGGACACATGGACATAAAGATGGGAATGATAGACACTTGGGATGACTAGAGGACGGAGAGAAGGAGAGGGATAAGGGTTGAAAAAGTAACTACTGGGTACTATGTTCACTACCTGGGTGACCTGGGTCAATTGTACCCCAAAACTCAGCATTACACAATATACTCATGTAACAATCCTGCACATGTGCTCGTTGAGTCTAATAAGTTGTGTTGGGTGGTGGCTCATGCCTGTAATCCCAGCACTTTGGGAGGCAGAGGTGGGAGGACTGTTTGAGCCCAGGAGTTAGAGACCAGCCTGGGTAACATAGTGAGACCTCCTCTCTGCAAGGAAAAAAATAAGATTAGCTGGATGCGGTGGTGAGCACCTGTGGTCCTAGTTATTGAGGATCACTTGAGCCCAGGAGTTCCAGGCTGCAGTGAGCCGTGATCGTGCCTCTGCACTCCAGCCCTGGGTGACAGAGCAGCATCCTGTCTCAAAACCAAAAAACAAACAAACAAAAAAACCCAATTGAAATTATAAAATATGTTCAACATCATTAGTCATCAGGGAAAATGGAAATCAAAACCACAAGAGAGTATTTCACACCCAGCAGGATGGCTACAACACACTGATAATCACAAGCGTTGAGGAAGATGTGGAGAAACTGGAGCCCCTATACATTGCTGGTGGGAATGTAAAATGGTGCAGTAGCTTTGGAAAGGAGCTTCGCAGTTCCTCAAAAGGTACCATAGCACTCAGCAATTCCATTCCCAGTTATATACCCAAGAGAAATGAAGATATTTGTCCACACAAAAACATGTATGCAAATGTTTGTGGCAGCATTATTCATCATAGCCAAAAATGGAAACAACTGTTCATCAACTGATGAATAGATAAAGTGTGGTATAGTCATACAGTGCAAGATTACTTGGCAACAAAAAGTAAGAGGTATTGATACACGCTACAGCATAGATGAACCATTAAAATATTATGCTAAGTGAAAGAAGCCAGTCACAAAAAACTACATATTGTATGAGTTTATGGAAATAAAATGTAAAGAATAAGCTAATCTTCAGAGACAGAAAGTAGACTGGTGGTTGCCAGGAGCTGGGGTGAAAGGAGAAGTGGGAAGTGACTGCTAATGGGTATGGGGTTTCTTTTAATGGTAATAAAAATATTCTAAAATTGATCATGGTGATAGTAGTACAGCTCTGTGAATATACTAAAAGCCATTGAATTATACACTTTAAATTGGTGAACTGTACGGTATGTGAATTAAATCTCAATACAGCTAAAATAAATAATGAATCTCTACTTATCTTCATTTGTAAATTTCACCAAACTACTAACTTTTAATTGTAGAAGTTTAAACACAAAGAATGTAGAGATATTTACAGCATGTATAACAGAGAATGGGAAATATACTTTAATAAGGAACTCTTCCAAATCAAATAAACAAATATAAAGAAATAAGAAAAAGATGTACAGCACGGTAAAAAACTAGGCAAACGACACAATATGCAAGAGAAGTACAGATGAACAGAAAATTCAGAAAAGCATGGGATGGTGAAAAGGGGAGACATTGATTAAAGGGTACAAATATTCAGTTATCAGACCTAATGTTCAGCATTGTGACTACAGTTAATAATAATGTATTGTTAGCCAGGCCCAGTGGTGCACACCTGTAGTCCCAGCTACTCGGGAGTCTGAGGCAGGAGGATTGCTTCAACCCAGGAGTTTAAGCCCAGCCTGGGCAATATAGTGAGACTCCATCTATAAAATAATGGTAATAATAATGCATAGTATACTTGAAATTTGATAAGAGAGTAAATCTCAATTGTTCTCAGCATACAAAAAAAGTAACTATGTGAGGTGATAGATATGTAAATTAACTTGATTGTACTAATCATTTCACAATGTGTCCGTATATTGAAACATCACTTTGTACACCCTAAATATATAAATATATATAATTTTTATTTATCAATCATACCTCAGTAAAGCTGGGAAAAAACAAACTTCTAGAGATTGGTTGGTTGTATAACAACGTGAATATACTTTAGCACTATTGAACTATATACACTTAATGATGATCAACATGCTAAATTTTATGTGTATTTTGCCAGAGTTAAAAATTTTTGAAAAGAGAAAAGTGTCAAATTTATTAACACCTAAAGAAATGCTAGCGGAAAGGTTAACTGGTTCAGCCTTTTTGGATGTCATATTAGTAACATGTTAAGATAATTTTTAAAATTCATCCTTTTGGTGGAATAATTTTATATCTAGAAAATAACAAGGAAAAAGAATATGTGCAAACATACTCACTATGGCATTATTTATAATGACAAAAATTGCCGACAGCCAAATGTATGACAATAAGGAAATAGTTACATATATTAGAACGTATATATGCCTTGAAATATTGTGCAACCACTTAAATTGTGTTTTTAAAAATGACTAAATTATTCTAGAAAATATGATATTAAGAAACGAGAAAAGGCTTTGCAGACGCCGCCGCCGAGGAAAACCGTGTGCTATTAGCCATGGTCAACCCCACCATGTTCTTCGACATTGCCGTCGACGGTGAGCCCTTGGGCCGCATCTCCTTTGAGGTAAGGGGCCTGGAAACCAAGAAGTGACTGCTCATCTAATCCATAAAGCTATGTTAACAGATTGGAGCTGTTTGCAGACAAGGTCCCAAAGACAGCAGAAAATTTTCGTGCTCTGAGCACTGGAGAGAAAGGATTTGGTTATAAGGGTTCCTGCTTTCACAGAATTATTCCAGGGTTTATGTGTCAGGGTGGTGACTTCACACGCCATAATGGCACTGGTGGCAAGTCACCACTGGGAGAAATTTGAAGATGAGAACTTCATCCTAAAGCATACAGGTCCTGAAATCTTGTCCATGGCAAATGCTGGACCCAACACAAATGGTTCCCAGTTTTTCATCTGCACTGCCAAGACTGAGTGGTTGGATGGCAAGCATGTGGTCTTTGGCAAAGTGAAAGAAGGCATGAATATTGTGGAGGCCATGGAGCGCTTTGGGTCCAGGAATGGCAAGACCAGCAAGAAGATCACCATTGCTGACTGTGGACAACTCGAATAAGTTTGACTTGTGTTTTATCTTAACCACCAGATCATTCCTTCTGTAGCTCAGGAGAGCACCCCTCCACCCCATTTGCTTGCAGTATCCCAGTATCTTTGTGCTCTTGCTGCAGTTCCCTTTGGGTTCCATGTTTTCCTTGTTCCCTCCCATGCCTAGCTGGATTGCAGAGTTAAGTTTATGATTATGAAATAAAAACTAAATAACAACAACAACAAAAAGAAACGAGAAAAAACTCACTGCATATATATAGAATGACACCAATTTTGTGGCAAATAAGCCATACATATAGAAAAAAATACCAAAAATCATGGTAGGGTTACCAATGTTTTCAATTTTTTTTTTGCTTGAAACTTCTCTGAATGTCCTAAAAGGTCGACAGGACTATGTGTCCCCCCTTCCCTTTTTTTGGTATGCCTTTTAAATCATAATAAAGGTACATGTTTAATTTAAAACAGAGAAATTCAGAACACAAGCCACTTTCAACTTCATCTAAGAGCCTATTCTATCAGATACATAACAGGAAACGGAGACCAAATATTTATCTCCAATATTGAAATAAAGCATAGTAGTTCCATATTTTATTGTTCAAATATAAGAAAACTCAGGAGAATCATGTAATAAACATTTTCTAGTTTTGCTAATAATCTCGATGGAAGGAAAAGAGCCAGGTCCCGTCACTGGCCCATCAGTGATGGGAGGGTAGCTATGGTCCTGTTGAAAGGCTGCCCTGATGTTTTGTTGGTTTCTGTAAACATCTGGCTCTTGAAATCCTAATTATTCAGGATGTAAAAGTTTTGAGAATTATAGTCATCAGAATTTCCAAAAAAGTTGTAATGTTTATTGAAGGGCAGAGGAAGCTTCCCTCCCTACCTCCATGTATTCATCTAAAGCTGTGATATCAGCAAAGGATTTTGGGTGGCCAGCCTGAATGTCAGTCAAAACTCCACGGATATAGGGATAACACAAGGGCAGTCAGGGCCAGGTGTTTATATTGAAATGAGCCAAGGAAGGAAAAGCAGCATTCAGTCTGTTAAGCTGTGTGAATTGAAGCTTTCCTGCAACTGCCAGAGTGGGATTTCGATCTCTCATTAGAATAAGTAAGAATAAGTAAGAAAACCTTTTAAAGTGAGAACTGCTTTAAAAACTACTGTATTGCTCAAATATGAATCTAGTGTGAGTGAGTCTTTTTCATTCTACGGGCTTTGTTTTTCAGGCCAGCTTATTGGAGTTGCAGAAATATTTTTGTTAAGCTGAAGGTCGCCACTGGCACGGTTTTAGGCATATCCCTTCACTTCACTGAGCCTGAATGTCCCCGTTTCCAATGTGAGAGTGCTTTCAAGTTTTAAAATTATAGAATTCACTGAAACAAGCATGTTTATTCACTCCTCTCTGTGCCGCCATACTGCTCGCATGAGTATATAAATATATATCACTTTAAGTAACTACTTTAGGATCAGGGTCTTATTTATACCAAAGGTCTTTGCATGTAAAAGCCAGTTGGCTCAACCAAATGGCCAAGAAAAGATGTCCCCTTCTCTCCCTAACCTCCATGTATCTTCTCATACCAGATGGTACAATCTCTGAAATTCCATCTTCAGAGGGTTATTATTTAGGGTTAAGTTTGATCCTTTTTTTGGTCACTAATGCTTCATGGTGAATGGAGGTTGGGAATATTGCTCTGCGATAAGACTGCCTAGGTTTGAATCCTAAATTCTACTTAGTTGTGAGGCCTTCGGCAGGATATTTAATCAATCTATCCTTTAGTGTCCTCATTCATAAAATGGGAATAATTTTTGTTCCACTGTCATAGGGCTGTTATAAGATTTAAATAGATGAAACATGTAAATTCTCAGTAAACATTCATTCCTACTTCATCTGGTGGGAGAATTTCAAAGCCAAGTGAACACCTCAGGCCAAGATGTGAAAAGGTCCCAGAATGGAAATCGTGACAGAATGCTAGTGATATAAACCTCACCTACTGCATATATTAGCTTAGGCCTGGGGTGCACACTACTGAGACTCACATATTTTTGGAGAAAGGTTTAACATTATTTTCTCTATTTCATGAACTACTTCCTTCTCATCCCCAACTTCCTTTTATAATTGGCCTCTCAACATTTTCTATCACTCCTTATGAGATAATGAGAAACAATGGGCTTAACTTTCCTCTCTCAGCTGTCGTGCATCCTATCTATAGGTTGCAAAGATCCCCTCTCTGCTCCACTCCCACTGGTCTATTCCTGGGAAAACCGAAAACCAAAGAAGGAACATGCAATAGTTGCTTGAAATGATAGGGAAATTCTTTTTTTTTTTTTTTTTTTTTTGCTGTTTCCTTAGCCCTGACATGACATTCCTTTTCTGTTTTTAAAAGACACAACACTGCACATTAACTGTCCTGTGGGAGAGACCACACCCTCTTCCAAGTCATCCCAGTCCACATCAGAAATGTGTCTTCTGCAAACCTGACACAAAAAGCTCCCCATTTTGAAAAGGTCCTGATAGAATTAATATGAATTGAATCGCATTCTTTTTACTGTAACCAACTATCTGGTGTTAAAAAAGACTTTTGCAGAATTCTGGGCAAGAATTATTAATGCATGTTAATGGGAAGCCTCCAGTTCTGCTTTGCTGGGGAAGGAAAGGCCAGCTCTCACAACTTCCTCCACACCATGTTGGGACCCAGAGCCAAATAAATGGTCCATCTGTCTTCCATATGATGAGTTTCAATTTGGAAAATTCAAGGCTAGTTTGAGTTATTGGAAGCAAGTTGGTGGTATAGCATGACAATTAAAAGCACAGGTTTTAAAACTGACAAATCCGGGTTCAAATCTCCATTTAACTACTTACTGCCTTTGTAAGTAACCAGTCTCTTAGCTCTGCAAGATACAAATAGAGATACATCCTTCATATACATTAAATGAAGTTATGTAAGTAAAGCATCAAGCATATAGTAGGAACTTAATAAATTATACTGCTGTAGGTTGGCTAGTGACCATGTTTTTGACCACTAAATATAACACCGTAGGAAAGGAAGCAAGTGGAAAAGGGACAGCCCATACTTACAGAAGCCCAGGTTAAAGCCCTCTGCTAGGATGCATTAAAGAATCTCATCTTAGATAGGCTCCTCAGCCTTGAATATTTAATGCAATCCAAGTTTTCTCTGCCATTCCATAAACTCAGCACTGTTGCTTCTAGAGCCATTGAGAAGCTGCTAAGAATCTCAATAAACACCATGAATGACTTTAAATTACTCTCCTTTCAGCTTTGTCCAGATTCAGAAATTACAAAGCAATAATGTGCTTCCCGATTTATCTACTGAAGTGATATGAGTTGCGCCTGTTATAGTGGGAAAGCTTCCTTGGACATCTATATTTTCCCATATCACCAAGAGGGAGTGAAATCAAGACACCTGGTCATCTAAAATGTGACCTAACATACTCTTTTACAGATACATGCATTTTTATATAAATGGATTTTTAGAATAGTACTGTGTATTCCCTGATGTGAAGATAAGTTCATGAGTAAGCCTGTGGTTTCCATCTCTCTCCTTGCTCTTGTCAGAGCCGTAGGTGCAACTATGGTTTGTGAATTAGGAAGGCAGTTGGCCCCTCACACCTATATGGTAAAGTGTGAATGAGGAGTCATGTGTACACAGAGCTCTGTAACTCTCCAGGTGCACAGAAGCACCTGCCACATCCCCAGGTGCAAGTGGGTATAAAGGCAAGTGTGTTGTGGAGTCACAGGGGGCTTTTGGGCATTGGTGCTTTGCTCCACTCCCATCTCCCTGCCGCCAAATCATCAGAGGCTTCCTCTGGCCTGATACAGCTGGGCTCTGGGAAGGTAAGTGAGCTTATCCAGGATGGGAGCAGAGAAGGTGAGTGAAGCTGGACAGAAACAGAGGAATGGAGATTGGGGCACACATGCTTTCTCTGGCTCTCTGAATGAACACATTCATTCATTGTCCCAGTCTTCTATCTCAAATTCCTCTGCTTTACTTCTCTGTGGGATAACTTTCTCCACCTCTGTAGGAGATGCAAAAACAAGGGTGGGTCTCAAATAGTTGAAATTCTTTTCTATGTTGCCACTGCTTTTGCTCTCCTTCATTTGAACAAAAGGGTGTAGAGTTTGGATGAAAACCAACAGGGTTATAAAGAATTTTATCTTTGGATAAGGCTTTCAAGGGCTGCTTTCTATGTCCTGTGAGCCTAGAGTTGCCTCGTGGGTAAGTAGAAAGCACTTATCAACCCAAACAAATATTTTCCCAGGTTCCCTTCCCCATAGAGCCATAGTGGATACTAAAATGAAAACAGTCAGCATTAATTCTTGCTTACCCTGCGCACTTTTTCTTCTGTAAAGCAGGAGGAATTCTGAATGTAGGGGAGGAAAGAGATAAGTTTGAATGACAAAGACTGAAGCCTAATGGAGGGAAAGGCTTTCTCTCTCCACCTCTAGGGAACATTTCCTTGCCTTTGGCATCTGCTGCCCACCTCCTGACCCCCACAGCCCCCACTGCCCTGCATCTGATTATGCTAGCCAGCTAGGCCTTTCCTGAGCTTGCTCTGGTTCCGGAACTGGGAGTATAAATCTGTACTCAGTGGGCCCAGGGTCTCCTGGCCAGCCCTTCAACTGATTAAGCCTTGAGTCACCCGCACTCTGGTATGTTTCGCCTTAGTGGGTAACACTATAGACTCTGGAGCTATATCATCCAGGGTCGAATTCCTACCTCTGCCACTTGCTAATTGTGGAAGCCTGAGCAAGTCACATAACCTCTCTGTTCCACAGTGTTGTCATCTATGAAATAAAGAGTATAGTAACAGCTACCTCACAGCCTTGCTGAAGGGATTCAATGAGGTGCTACTTGAAAGAGATTTAGAAGGGTTTCTGACAAAAAATTCAATAAATGCTAATTATGTTTATTTACGCCTAACATGGCATAGAGAGGAAGGGGGCTCACCTTGTCCCTTGGCACTGCAAAAGCAGAGTTTGGCAGACCTTTCACAGACCCTGAGCTGGGCCTCCCCTCAACTTTTTGCCTTATGAGGAATGGACTGATGAAAAATGACCCTAATCCAAGGTACTTGTCTCAGTAGCAACCTTTTAAAGATTAATAATGTTTTAAGAATCTCTAACTTCTAAGAGATCTCTTTTTTAAGTAATAAAAGAAAACATGTTTGTGGTAAAAATCCATATATTTTGTCCATAAAGTATAGAAAATGAAAACCAAAAGCATTTCTCAAAATTCCATTTTCCAAAGGCTGTTAACAATCATTGGCTTTGTATAAAGCAAAATAAAGGAATAATAGTTTTGTTTGGTTGTTCTACTTCCAGGATCCACATTCTTTTAGTTCTGCTGTCTATTCAAACAAAATGAATTATTCAGTAGTTTGTGTGACTGAATGTGAATGAAATTAATTTAGTGCAGATTTCTTTTTTAGTTTCTAGGTGACTCAGCTTGCCTTGTAACTATTGCCCTAGTAAGATTCATTCTCTGCTGATGTTTCATTTTGCTAATTACATATTTCTGAGGACAAGTGAGCTTATCACTTATTCAGGCACCAAATATTTATTAAGCCAAGAACATTTTTTTCCTTATATTTGAGCCCAATGACTTGCTTACTTTGTGGCTTCCTAAGAATCAAATAAAAGTAGTTGGCTTATGTGCCTATGCTTCTCTACATATAAAATGGGTACAATATATTCGTTTGTCAGATAGTCATAATAAGGTCCTAATAAATGTGAAATACCTCCACTAAAAACGATCTAATATTAAGAAAAGAAAAATAGCTCAGAGCAGGCTGCATTATGTAAGGTATGCAAAATTTACCTGGCCCAGAGAGACAGGAGTATGGGATTTCAGTTACACTGGGAACCCCTTTCTTTGCCTGGGGAGCACTTGTTTAAAGACATGTTGTTATTTCTTTTCTTCCCTGCCTCACTCATTGTCTTCATGTTTCTGGAATTTGTGATACTAAGACCAATGTACAGCCAATCAGTAGCTTAGGTTATTTTAATGTGAATTCTTGGTAAACAATTTAGGAACTACCTCTTCTTTTTTCCTTTAAAAACCTGCTTGTAACTGCTGCTAATTGGAGGATCTACTCAGGGGACTAGAATCTATGCTCCTGGGTTGTTGCAGTCCGCAAACTTGGCCCAAATAAACTCTCTACTTATGTTAATTTTGCCTCAGGTTTTTTCCTTTAGGTTGAACACGTACACACACACACACACACACACACATACATATATACACACACACACAGGCACACACATATATATACACGTATACATATATATGTATATATGGCCTCACTACTGAGGCTGTATTTCCAGAACTTCATCTTTTTAAACAAAATGACTAATCGTAATATATGTGTATACACAAGGCAAGTATCATACAAGCTTTGGAATCTGATCTGGGTTCTAATTATGGCAAAGACAGCTAGTTGTCCCCCAGTACCCATTCTCCACTTATCCCTTAATATTAAAGCCCTGAGGCCAGGCGCGGTGGCTTACGCCTGTAATCTCAGCGCTTTGGGAGGCCTAGGCGGGTGGATCACCTGAGGTCAGGAGTTCAAGACCAGCCTGACCAACAAGGTGAAACTCTGTCTCTACTAAAAATACAAAAATTAGCAGGGCATGGTGGCAGGTGCCTGTAGTCCCAGCTACTCAGGAGGCTGAGACAGGAGAATTGCTTGAACCCGGGAGGCAGAGGTTGCAGTGAGTCAAGACCGTGCCACTACACTCCAGCCTGGGCAACAGAACGAGACTGTGTCTCAAAAAAAAAAAAAAAAAAAAAAAAAGCCTTGAGTATTTGTGGAGCAGCTGAGCACCTGGCTGCCTGGAATAGAGACCAGCCTTTTCTGAGCCTCTGCAGCTAGGTGTGGCCATGGTTAAGTTCTATCCAATGGTATAGAAAGAGAAATATTACGTGGGACTTCAGAGAAGCATCCCTAAAAGGTGGAGCACCCCATTTTTTGGTTTCTTTTCTGCTGCTAGAATAAGGACATGCTAGCTCCAAACTGAGTGGTCCTCAAGGACCATAAGGAAGAAGCTACATGTGGACAATAGTGGGTGACAACATGGAAGGAGCTATAGAACTTGACACCTCGGAGCACCAGGTCAGCCCTGCACTATTTACTTCTAGTCTTTTTATACATGAGAGAGAAAAAGAAATAAACTTCTACATTTTGTTTGTTGTCTCACGCGTCCGTGTGAAGAGACCACCAAACAGGCTTTGTGTGAGCAACAAGGCTGTTTATTTCACCTGGGTGCAGGCGGGCTGAGTCCGAAAAGAGAGTCAGCAAAGGGTGGTGGATTATCATTAGTTCTTACAGGTTTTGGGATAGGGGGTGAAGAGCCATGTTTTGCGGGCAGGGGTGGATCTCACAAAGTACATTCTCCAGGGTGGGGAGAATTACAAAGAACCTTCTAACACACATATCTAGGGCTAATCCTACCGGATACATTAGACAAATTACTCACAATTTTCTAATCTGTAAAACTGGAATAATAATTACTGTCTTAAAGAGCTGTGAGGACTAAATGAGATAATGCATTTAAAGCACTTGGAGCTGGGCCCGGTGGTGCACGCCAGTAGTCCTAGCTACTTGGGAGGTTTGAGCCCGGGAGTTGGAGACCAGCCTGGACAACATAGTGAGACCCCGTCTCTCAAAAAAAAAACCTAAAAAATAAATAAAGCACTTGGCATTGTATCTGGCCCCACAATAAATGCTCAATAAAATGTAAGCTTCAATTATCATTATTATTTACATGAATTCACCCATGATTTAGGAAATATCATCAGCCCAAGAACTGACAGGACATGTTGTAGTGATAGAGGAAAAGAGGGCCTTATGGTCCTCCCCTTTTCCCTGGTACCCTGGTACCCTGGAACCCAACAAGGCAGCCTGGTTGAGGTTCCTCTTGGTGTTCTGTGTATCCCATCATTGCTGCTGAGGCTGGCACTGGGGCCCTGAGAAGCCCTGCGAGCCCCTCTGCCACCTGCCAAATCAACTTAATGGATGCAACTCCAAATGCAATAAAAGAGCACTGGACTTGGGTCCCCTCCTCAGGAAATGTGCCCTATGCGCAACTTTTGTGACTGGCAATTGACTTTTTTACCGTAAACAATTCCAAACTGGAGAGATCTTAATTTTTTCCAGTTGGTAACAAAGAACTGATCAACAACCATGAGGAAACAGCACTACTTAAACCATTATCAACTAGGATAGAAAGGCAATTTTGGTGGGAGAAAAGGGGCCAGTTACTGCTTGGAGTTCAAAAGCTTATTCTCTTCTAACACTGCCAGAAAATAACCAGGGACAACAGTTGAGGTAAACTGGATTCTGAAAGGCAAGAGGTGGGACCAGGGGCTCCATAGACCAAGTGATTTTTTTTTTTTAACCAGTAAAATAAAAGAGAAGGCTGCAAGTGATCAAAATCTCTTGACAACAACAAGTTGCTGACTGGCCCTGAATGTCTCAGCAGGAGCACATTGTTTCTGGAAACCCTAACCCAAGTGGATTATAAACCTGAGAATGGAAGGCAGTCAGTTACCCAGGACATCCAAGCTGGCTTGCCCTGACATGTTCTTCATGAGGTGATGACAGGGACATTGACAGGATGAATTTCTATCCCCCGCTCCCTTCACACTTCCCATTACGGCAACTTGAGAATGAGCAGTAGGGAATTCTGGGACCCCCCTAGACCCCTGGTTGATGTAAATCCTATAACTATCCATGGGTCCTAGGTGAAGAAACACTTGGGCTGATGTACAGGGTACTTGCATGTAGCCAACTGCAAACTAGATTTACTGATAGCAGTAAGTCACTCAGGGAAATTTACAGTTTATTTTATATGATTTGGAGTGGTAGTTAATAGAATGAATGACAGAATCAGCATTCCAGGGGTATAGAAAGACTGGAATAAGGTACTGAAAACAGGGTGAAATATAATAGTACAAGTGACAACATCCTGCATTTGGGTTCCAGGTATCAGCTGCATGAACAGAGAATGGGAAAAGTCTTGATAATGGTTCAGTGTGATAAGGACCTAGGGAAGCACTGTTCAAACTTCTTCCACAGAATTCTCTTTTAGAAGATTAATACTGTGTGTTGTGTGATATTAGTTGATATTTTCCTGAGTGTTTACTACATACTGGGCCCTGTTTTAAGGCTTTCATGTATGTGCACTCATTTAATCTTTATAACAACCCTCTGTGATAGGTATTATTATTATAATTCCAGTCTACCTACAGGGAAGTAGAAGCACAGAGTGGCTAAGTAACTTGCCCAAGGTCACACAGTTGGCAGAACTGGGATTTAAATCACTGTCCATGCTCTTAACCACTGTGTCTTGATACTTTTTGGAGGACTCATAAGTAAAGAAACTTGTTGAACTTTGAATTAGGATTAGACATTGTTGTTTTAGCACTGAAAACTTTTTAAAAAGGCAATTACATCTGGTAGACCAGTGTTTCTTGAAACAATAATTTAGGAACTAGTGCAAAACAGGTTATTTGATGCTAATAAAGACCAACCAAATAATGTAGTTGCCAGAAAAAAAAAAGAAACTGAAATATTGCTGTTTCACAACAGGAGAAGCATTCTGTTCAGGAAATGTAGTTGTCCTGCTGTGTGCTCTATCCTTTCCTGACCTCACCTGAAACGCTCTGCTTGGCGCTGGAGATCACGTCACAAACCAAAGACAATGAAAAATCTAAACACAACTACCATGTGAAGAATAGCTGATGTTGCTGGAGATATGTAGTCTGGAGAGGAGTTGAGAAGATTAAATTGTTCAAATATTTGAAGGACTTCTTTGTGTTCCTTTAGAGCAGGGGTGTCCAATCTTTTGGCTTCCCTGGGCCACACTGGAAGAAGAAGAATTGTCTTGGGCCACACATAAAATACACGAACACTAATGGTAGCTGATGAGCTAAAAAAAAAAAAAATTGCAAAAAATCTCATAATGTTTTTAAAAAGTTTACAAATTTGTGTTGTGCCGCCTTCAAAACCATCCTGGGCCGTATTGGCCTGAAGGCTATGGGCTGGGCAGGCTTGCTTTAGAGGATAGAAGTAGAATCAACAGGTCAAAGTTACAAATAAGCAAATTTCAGCTCAGGATAAAGGAGAATTTTCTAGAATATAACTGGCTGATAGTGAAGTCTTGAATGCCCAACTCTCAACTGACTGAGCAAGAATCATGGCTGGCTGGCACAGCCAGGCGGACAAGTGTGGCTTGGTGGAAAGAGTATGGTCCAAAGACCACAGTCAAGTCCTGGCCCTGCCCCTTACCAGCTATGTGACTTACATGCCAGCAAGTCTCAGTTTCCTCAGCAGTCAGATAGAGGTGATGATACACATTGCATGGGGTTCTATAAATCAAGTCTAGAGTAGAAAGAGGTTTAATGACATATGACTGACGGGTGGTGCCATGTGGAAAATTACCTTGATGCAACAGAAGCCTCCAAGTATATGCTGCAAGACAAGCTGTCCCAGAGGTCATGGAACAGAGAGGCTCACAGGCCAAATTAAAAGGCTCAAATCACATATTTGATTAAATTATTTTGAAACACATAAGGAGATGAAAGAGAATAAGATGGAGTCCATTAAGATGCTTACAACAGGGTTACAAGTGAGGTGGAAGGTCCACACTACGTAAAACCGGGGCTGTGCAATGTTCACAAAACAAAGACTGACACTAAACTGCTAAAAACCTGATTGTGTCCCTATGTATAAATGTCCTTGCCGTTTAGTCATTTACATATGGCATATACCACATGGGATAAATCAGAAGACCTCAGAGATTTGTCAATGTATTCAGTGTTCATAATATTATCTCTAAATAGAAGATTCTAAACTCCAAACTGATAATGCCGATAATAAAAAATAAACCAGGCCTATACTGTCTTGTCATCAACAGATGGTTCCTGTTTTTCCCTCATACTTATCTAAGGGGCCTTGCTACAAACTGCAGCTCTAAAATTGTTTTAGAAGAAGCATCAAAGAATCTCAGTAACAGATGATACCTAACTCCTGTCAGACTCTACTCAAAGACTGAATTGGGATTTTCAAGACTCTTTCAGTTCAGAAGTAGACTTCATGAAGGTAGAGCTTAACCCAAGATCAATAAAATAAGAACTAATTAACCCAGGACTAAAATAACTGACCACACTATGGTTAATGTTCTATTGTGAATAGCTTCTTTTTTTTTATTTTATTTTTTGAGACAGAGTCTCTCTCTGTCACCCAGGCTGGAGTGCAGTGGCACAATCTCGACTGCAACCTCCGCCTCCCAGATTCAAGTGATTCTCTTGCCTCAGCCTCCCAAGTAGCTGGGATTACAGGTGCCCAGCTAATTTTTGTATTTTTAGTACAGACAGGATTTTGCCATGTTGGCCAGGCTGGTCTCAAACTGCTGACCCCAGGTAATCTGCCCTCCTTGGCCTCCCAAAGTGCTGGGATTACAGGCATGAGCCACCACGCCCAGCTATTGTGAATAGCTTCTTAATCTATCTTTATCTTTCAGTTGAGCACACTTCCAATTGGTATCTTGTTTCAACTGACCCACTGGATTTCAAATAAATATCTTATAAAAGATCTGATAAACTGTCAAGAAAACTCAAAGAATAATGATTGTGTAGAAAAGACATCATATATTGGCTTGACTTTTTTCCCAACATCTGGTTGTGTGTGTGTGTGTGTGTGTTTATCATGCTTTTAGAACTTCCCTCCTATCTCTCCATCATGCCTTGTCCTTGCCATGTTTATGTTACAATCATCCAGAACAGGGGTTGGTTAGCCTGCTTCTTCCTTTAGTAAATAAAGTTTTATTGCCCATTCATTTACATATTATCTATGGCTGCTTTCACACTACAGCAGCAGAATTGAGTGGTTGGAACAGAGACTATATGGATCAAACACTGAAAATATTTACTATCTGCCCTTTTACAGAAAACATTTGCCAATATCTAATCCAGATTTTAATTTGTGTTATTAATTTTAAATATATAACATATTTAGACAAGTCAACTAGTTTCTTTCCTCTACACTGATTCTTGAACCCTACATCTTCATCTTTCTTGGATTCATTATTTATTTTGTTGAAGTTTATGCTATTGTCATTCTTTCAAAAAGATTCTATTGGTGATATATATCTGCTGAGTTTTTAATATCAAAAATCATGTTATTTAATTTCTAGGATCATTGTTTGCTTCATTTTCATGGATATAATATCTTAAACAAATTTGAGGAAAATTATTATATTTGTAATACTTATAAGTATATATTTTACTTATACTAATTGTACTTGTCTTTTTCTTTTTTTTTTTCGAGACAGAATCTTGCTCTGTCTCCCTGGCTGGAGTGCAATGGCATGATCTCAGCTCACTGCAACCTCCGCCTCCTGGGTTTGAGTGATTTTCCTGCCTCAGCCTCCTGAGTAGCTGGGATTACAGGCAAGCACCACCATGCCTGGCTATTTTTTTGTATTTTTAGTAGAGATAGGGTTTCACCATGTTGTCCAGGGTGGTCTTGAACTCCTGACCTGGTGATCCGCCCACCTCGGCCTCCCAAAGTGCTGGGATTATAGGTGTGAGCCACCATACCCAGCCTTGTACTTTTCTTAAAATTATAAGATTTATAAAATGAAAAAGATATCACATATTGATTGATTTTACTCCTTAGAATAGCAGTTAAACACTATGCAAAGTGCATTTACTAAGTTTCTTTACTTTTTGTGTGGGTGTAGTTATTTGCATAGGTTTAATATTTAATACCCTGGCTGGGCGCGGTGATCCCAGCACTTTGGGAGGCCGAGGCAGGTGGATCATGAGGTCAGGAGTTCAAGATCAGCCTGGCCAAGATGGTGAAACCCCATCTCTACTAAAAATACAAAAATTAGCCAGGCGTGGTGGTGGGCGCCTGTAATCCTAGCTACTTGGGAGGCTGAGGCAGGGAGAATTGCTTGAACCTGGGAGACAGAGGTTGCAGTGAGCCGAGATCATGCCATTGCACTTCACCCTGGGCTATAGCATGAGTCTCAAAAAATAAAAATAAAAAAAAATAAAAAAATACCTTTTGTTGTGTCAATATAAATAAAATAGGCCAAATGCAACAAAACATACTATATCAAAAATAAAATCCTCACTTTCAGTTCCTGGACATTTTCTCAAATGAAAGAGTTGGCTTATCCAAAATGATGTTTGTAGTCATATTGTAACATGTGCTTTTAGGCAATAACGTCTCAGTGTGCTGAAAAGATAAAGGTCTTAGTTTCTGGACGTGTCAAAGGACAAGACCAAATCAACTTTAATAGGTGGATATTTGCAAAAACATCATTGATAGTGCTTCTAATGATGTAGAAAAGATAAATCAGCAAATAAGAAGTCAATACCAAAAGAGGAACTCCAACATTGCAGACAATTAGAGCTGATGACAAAGATGTGATACCTGGATGCTCAGAGCTTCATATGGCCTCATGGTCTCAAGAAGCCACAATCGTGAGTCGTACCCTGGGGCTTCTGAAAAAAGTGGACTGATTGGACTTATGTTGATACGAGTGAATAGTTTAAAAGCCGCTGTTTCAATATTGTCTACTATGACCATGATGGTTTATAGTTTAAACTTATCTGTATAATGTATTAGAATGAGAGGACTGAATACTCAAAGGGTGACTCATAGCGTGCATTTGTTGCATTGTTTGAGAACATTCAGCTATGCTGTAGAAGGAAAAAAGAAATGGGATATGTCATAAGCTCATAAGAGGTGTTAAGTAAAGTACTTAGTAGAGCACGTGTATGTTAAATATAGATAGAAAAGAATGGATGGGCCAGGAGAATCCTAGTATTTTATGAGATCATAAATATACACGAGGCACTTGGGCACTAAATGTACATCAGACATATGAAGCTCTAAATACACAATAAAATCAAAATGCTCAGGATACGTAAAATATGCATGCGCACTCAATGTTCATAACACTTTAATTTGGCCAGCCATTGGTGGTACCTATCATGACCCACATGTTCTCTGTCCAAGGCACAAATAAAACCCATGGCTGTTCAATAGTCTAATCAATGAGCTACAATTGCAGCCAGGCATACATGGCCCTGTTCCTGTGTCTTTCTAACAAGCATGCGTCATTAGCCCTGGGAACCTTCTGCTTGTAGAGCTCTTGCTCAAACCTCAGGTAGGTCTGGTCTTTATAATCACAGCTTCAGTGTTGAAGGCTGATGCAGCTGAGAGAGAGGACGTAAAAACTTTGTACACTGTAGGATTCAGATAATATTATTCTTTCACCCTACTTGCTTTCTATCTTACATTACCTTACCAGATCTCTTCTTGCTATGTATTTTAAATTGTTTTAATAACCTATATAATTTGACAATTTTAATTTAGTCTGTGAGCCATTCTGTTGTGCGACTTCTTGGGTAGCTTGTCTGGTGGTATACTAGGAGGTACATTGCAACAAGGTAATTTCCCACAAGACAGATAGGATTCAGAATTCTGGAAACCTCAACCAGCTAACTGCTATGATTATGTCCCCCTGCTAGGTAACCAAGGGACATCTATGCACAGTGGCTGAACGCCATCCATGAAATCCCACCTATGGGTTTAGGTTTATGGAATTCACAACCAAACCTCACTGTGGGCCCCCAGTGTGCTGGGCCTCTTGGAGCCCTGAGAAGTCCTCTGCTTAGATTAGGTGGCCACCAAAACTGGCTAAGTGGCCTCTGTATCTCCCAGACCCATATCCAAACCTCAGCTTAAAGGGTTTTAATGAAACCCTCAAAGGAAAAAAAAGAATAGCCTCCTAGAGACAGCTGGTCAAGGGAAGAGTTAGGTGAGTTGGTCCAACCTGCTTACTCCAGACCTTCCGAGGGAAGCTAACCCCATCCAGGCAGGAAGCAGCCCCACATCCCTCTTCTTGTACCTGATTTCTGAGATAAGAGAGCTCCACAGAGAGAGTTCACCACGTGGACTCAGAGTTTCAATTCATTTTGCATCCACTGTGATATTTTAAAAGCTTTGACTCTTGACACCAAAGCCCTAGGGGGCAAGACAGGGAGCCTGACACTCCACCTGGTGGTCAGAGTGTTGTATTAACAGGTCTTTGCTAAGAATCTGTGCACTGAGTTAGGAAAGCATTTGATAATGGTTTTTTCTCAAGAGCTCTGCAAATGGTCACAAAACAAGGTACTATAGGAGGAGATCCTTCCTTTGGAGTCCACTTGGCTTGAGTGACC
Organism: Homo sapiens; assembly: GCF_000001405.40. Classification (NCBI taxonomy): domain Eukaryota; kingdom Metazoa; phylum Chordata; class Mammalia; order Primates; family Hominidae; genus Homo; species Homo sapiens. Next base: position 24,992,229 of record NC_000006.12, read on the forward strand.
TTTATAGTCCATTCTCAATCTTAGCTGTCATGAAATTTTCATAATTTGTCTTATCACGCAGAAGACATTACAGGTACTCCTCACTTTGCATGGTTCCAATATGCACGAATTTGCTCCTCCACCTGATAAACAACTTCAGCAAAGTTGCAGGATACAAAATCAATGCCCAAAAATCACTGGTATTCCTATACACTAGCAACAGCCAAACCAAGAACCAAATCGGAAAGGCAATCCAAGTCACAATTGCCACAAAAAGAATAAAATACCTAGGAAAACGGCTGACCAGGTAGGTGAAAGATCTCTACAATGAGAATTACAAAACACTAATCAAAGAAATCAGAGAAGACACAAATAGAAAAAATCTCATGCTTATGAATAGGAAGAATCGATATCATTAAAATGGCCATACTGCCCAAAGCAATTTACATATTCAATGCTATTCCTATCAAACTGCCAATAACATTCTTCACAGAACTAGAAACAACTATTTTAAAATTTATACAGAACTAAAAAGAGCCCTAATAGCCAAGGCAATCCTAAGCAAAAAGAATAAAGCTGGAGGCATCACATTACTAGACTTCAAAATATACTACAAGGCTATAGTAACTAAAACAGCATGGTACTGGTACAAATCTGGATTTACATGTAAAACCTCATGATTTTAAAACAACGACAGCAATTCAAACTTAAATATCCTATGAGCCAAGCAAACAAAGTGCCACCAGGGAATGGCCTTTATTGTAAAACATCTGCAATAAGGATATCTTTGAATGGAAGACAAATTTGTTTGTTGTTTGTATTTCTGTCAGGTCAATAGTAATATTTTGTTGTTTGTATTTCTGTCAGATCAATAGTAACATTTTGTTCAGCATTTCTAATTGTGTTTATTTGATCTTCTCTCTATTCTTTATTAGCCTAGCTAGTGGCCTACTTTATTAATTTTTCCAAAAAACCACCTCCTAGATTCATTGATCTTTTGAACGGTTTTCTCTTTGTAGGTCTCTAAGAACTTGCTTTATGAATCTGGGTGCTCCTGTGTTGGGTGCAGATATATTTAGGATAGTTAGACCTTCTTGTTGAATTGAAGCCTTTACCATTATGTAATGCCCTTCTTTGTCTTTTTCTCCCCTTTCTTGGTTTGAAATATGTTTTGTCTGAAATTAGGGTTGCAATCCATGCTTCTTTTTCTGTTTTCCATTTGCTTGGTAGATTTTCCTCCATCCTTTTATTTTAAGCCTATGAGTGTCATTATGTGTGAGATGGCTCTCTTAAAGACAGCATACCATTGGGTCTTGCTTTTTTATCCAGCTTGCCACTCTGTGCCTTTTAAGTGGGGCATTTAGCCCAATAACTTGATTTTCATGAAAGAGGTTAATGGTGTGTGTGTGCGTGCACACATGTGCCTGTGCACATGCTCACTTTCAGTAATTCAAAGAAGTATCCTATATCAGAGGTCTTCAAACTGTGACCTGAGGGCAAGGCCAAATTCAGTCTGCCAATTGTTTGCTTGTTGTAAATAAAGTTATATTAAACAGTCATGTCCATTTGTTAATGTATTTTCTATGGCTGCATTCACATTACAAAGGCAGAGTTGAACAGTCTCACAAATTGCATATCCCCCAAAGATGACAATATTTACTATCTGACTCCTGAGAGCAATTCTGCTAATGCTTGCTTTAAATTTTGATTTGGTATCATTTTTAAAATCTCATTAAATTTTTAACAGACTATTTAATCAATTAATTTGCAGTTGAGCCCAAGATAAGAGTTGATTCTTGAGTTAACTGGTACCTAACATTTCACTCACAGTGCCATTCCTTTGGCTAAATGTATTGTTCTTTGTTAAAATGTAAGCTCCCAGACAAAGGTATGACACACAGTAATTTCTGAGTTATAGTAATTGGGAAACAGATAATTTCCAAAGAGTAGGTTTTTTAAGGTGATAGGAATAAGAGGATATGAGGAACTGGACTCTTTGAGACTGAGGAAGATACATCAAGCAAAAAGGTAAAGGGATATAAAGGGGATGTTAAGAAGAGAGAAGACTAAGCTTCTATTTTGTAAATTAGTGAAGGTCTGGACCAACACAAATCAAAGAAAGTACAGGTCAGGTAATACCATTTGAAGGTCTGATCACGTTTCTTTGCAGCATCTTAGAGTGTATCACAATATAGCACCTTATTTCCATCAAAAACACCATGTGCTAAGCCATGAGGAGACTGGGATGTTGAAAGCCATTTGCAGGTAAAGTGGTGCTGAAAGCATTTCCGATCTGTTGTAATGGCTCTGATCACCATTGCTGCTCCCTAGCCCACTTTCGATTTTTCTACCTTTATTCTCACCTGTAGAAGAGCAAAGAAGAAGGGACTTGAAGGATGTGGGAGAAGACATTGGGGTACTCATGAGAGCGATGGGACATGGTTTGGGGTGTCTGTGGCCACCATAAGGCAAAGTTTTGGGTTCTGAAACCTGGGGTGGAACAATGTTCCCTGGCTCCCTGGGCCAGTGCTAATGACCAATAGCACCATGAAACTTGCATACCAGAATCATACTCCAAGCATCCTAATTTGGTCTACACTTGCCCCATCTCTACTTGAGCTTAAATCTTTATCTTAAAATGAGGATTATCTCTGTCTCTCTCTTCCCATTTCTTGGATGTATTGATTCACAGTGAACTCTGACAGCCAATGGAGCTCACATTTTGTTTAGACATTATACTGTGATGTATATGGCCCCAGTGTCTGTGGCCAACCATCCTCTCTGCCATGCAGAATTTGGTTGCTGAGGCCACTAGGGGATACTCTAAATCCAGGGAGCCATCTGGTTCTGAGGAAGAAGGGCTGGGAACTAGGCCTGAGCTACCAGCGTGGGGACTTTTCCTTTCCTTTCTGCATCATCTTCTCTTCTTATTATGAGGGTTTTGTGCTAGAGAGCAGGACCCCAGCCTTAATAGGCTCCCTGGCTCTGCTGTTTGCTTTGCCTCTAAAGGGGTCCTCAGCCTGGGAGTGCACAGAGACTTTTCCTGGGGTGGATGTGGCTGCAGAGGAGGGTGAGGCTTCAGCAATAGGAGCTGCTGAAGGGGCAATGAATTGTCTCAAAGGGTCCATCAGGACAGAAGAGAAATGGTCCCAGAGGGAAGCCATTTGGTTGGATAAAGTGTGCTATTCCTGGGTGGCATCACTGGGGGAAGGGAGTAGGGGCAAGTGGCCACGGGGAGGGAGGACTCTGGACAGCCAGGCCTTGCCTGGGAAACTGCCAATCCCGGCAACTCAATCCACCCCTTCTACACAGTTTGTCATCCTCTAGATTCTGTGCCGTAGGAGCATCAGGGAAGTGAACTTGGAATGAAGGTGGCAGGGCTGCAGTCTCGCACAACTCCACAAAGCTCTGCTTACAGAGAATACAACATACAAGGTACCTCTTATATGTTCTCAAGTCATTCTTTATATTGTGAACCATTTTAATAAAGTTCATAGCAATTCCCCAAGGGATATTTTATATCTGTATAAATACAGATGTTTCTATGAAGATCTAACATCCCAAATCTACTCTCAAATCTGCAACTAGAGTGATTTTTTTTTTTTTTTTTTTGAGATGGAATCTCGCTCTGTCGCCCCAGGCTGGAGTGCAGTGGCGTGATCTCAGCTCACTGCAAGCTCCGCCTCCCGGGTTCATGCCATTCTCCTGCCTCAGCCTCCCTAGGAGCTGGGACTACAGGCGCCCACCACCACACCCGGCTAATTTTTTGTATTTTTAGTAGAGACGAGGTTTCACCGTGTTAGCCAGGATGGTCTTGATCTCCTGACCTCGTGATCCACCTGCCTCGGCCTCCCAAAGTGCTGGGATTATAGGCGTGAGCCACCACGCCTGGCCTAGAGTGATATTTTTAACCTAGAAAATAAAATTCCTTTATTTCCATGCTTAAAGTCTTTCAATGTTTCCTTATTGTCCCTAGACAAAGTGCAAACTACTTATCATTTTTCATGTGGTCTTTCACCACCTGGATCCTACATATTTTTCAGGTCTCATCTATGAACTATGGGCAGAAAATCTACGATAAACAAAAGATCAAAAAAATTAGAAAAAGACAGCCTGCTGTTATTTGATTTATGACCCTGGGTTATTGCACAACAGGAGTTGATGAATGCATCTTTTAATTACAGCCCTCAAGTGTGCAGAGGAGGTGGGGATCACAGTGAGCTCACCTCCTCAGATCACTTCTCTGTTTAACCATCGCTGGCTGCCTCTCGTCTATACAGTCCTGACCCCTGAGCATGCAGCTCTTCATGAATGGCCTTATGCCCTCAAGCCCTGTGCTGCCCCTTTCCCTTCCCTCCCACCACTGTTTCTGCTTCCTTTAACACCAGCTAGTCCAACTGTGTCCAACCACGCTGATGTACTTGACATTTCCAATCAACACTGTTTACTTTCAACACCCAGGTGAGAGGCTTCTCTAAGAACCCCTTCCCCAATTCTTCTGAGCCCTTGGGAAAAGTAAGCCACTTCCTTTAGTGTGATACTTCCTCTGCGTGACTCAGGCACTTTATACAGGCTTCTATTATAGCACTTACTGTATTGTTCATAGTTAACTTCTCCATTGCACTAGGAGGTCCCTAGAAGGCAGAGCCCTTAAACTTTTCAATTTTGTATTCCTAGCACATAGCATAATGGACAACTCACAGGCGGTACAGAACAACTACTTGGAAATTAATGACATTTTATGGGTCTAACTTGTTTTGGAATGGGTTTTCCTTAGGGGCAATCATACATACGCTGAAGCGGCTACAAGTGTTCCTTCTCAATCTCACAGTTTCAAATGTGAATTACTAACTAGCGAGGATGGAGTCCAATGATTTTCAACCTTGTCTGCTCATTGGGCTCACCTGCAGAGCTTTTAAAACTCCCAACATGCAGGCCATAGCACACAACAATGAAATCAGAATCTCTGTTGGTGGGATGCAGGCATTTGTGTTTTAAAAAACTCCCCAGGTGATTCTAATATACAGTTAAGCCTGAGAACCACTAGTTTGAGTGTTCCTAGGTAGTTAATTTAAAAAACCTTTTCCTGTATGCTCACTATGTAGTAAACACTGCGTTAGGCATTTGGAGGGGAGGTGGGGTGGGAAGGTAGTATTTGGCCCAGAAAGAGGAAGAGCCTCAGAATTTCTATATTAGACATAGTGCTTGCTTTTAGGAAACTGCAGTCCTTACAGCCTCCATGAGCAATAGCAAATGGTGATGGTATCTAAATTGTATGGTTTAAATCAAGGTTTCCCAACAGTGGTATTTTGGGTTAGATAATTCTTGATTGTGGGAGGCTGTCCTTGGCATTGTAGGATGTTTTGAAGCATCTCTGGCCCCTACCCACTAGATGCCAGTAACAAGCAAAAGCACTCCTCACTTCCTACTGCCACAGTATATAACAACCAAAAATGTCCAACATGTCCAAATGTTCCCTGGGAGTAAAGTCATCCTTTGTTGAAAACCATTGATATAGAGCTCAGTGTAGCATCCTTTGCAAGACCCCCAGGTGATCTGTATGCACATTAAAGTCTGAGAAACACGCACTGGTTTAAAGCAGTGATTCCCGAAGTGTGGCCCGTGAGCAGCATCAGCATCATCTGGGAACTTGTTGGAAATACATCCTCAGTCCCCACTCCAGACCTACTGAAACCAAAACTTTGCTTCGGTAAGTCCTTTGGGTGATTCTCACACTTAGGTTTCAGGGCCACTAACTAAAGGGGAAAAGGAGATTGGATGCACTGGAGCAATCAAAAAAGTCTTAGGAATAGAGCTTGATTTGGGCCTTGAAATTGAATAGGCGGTGGGGAGGGTATTCCAGGTGCAGAGAACAGCATGAGAGAGGATTTTCAGATGTAAATTAGCCCACACTCTTAAACTGCCAAGCCCCTCTTTTTCTCCTTTTCCCCTTAACTTCCTCAATCTGTTTGTTTTCTTGTGTTTTGGATAGAAAACGGTCTCCTCTGCAATTTATACTCCATGATGTGTTCATCAGCTTGCTCAAGTAATTCTTTGAGAATCTCAACAAAATGATCACTTGCAAAAACACAGGAGTGTGTTTTTGAAAAGTTGTGAATAATCAAATTTACCATCAGACATATGTACAAATCAGTACATATTTACAAATGTATTTCTCATTTACAAGGATTTTATATTGCAAACCATTTTTATAAAGTTAATAGCAATCCCCCAAGGGATATTTTTGGTGACTATAAATACAGATGTTTCTATCAAAAAATCTAGCATCCCAAATCTACCCTCAAATCTGCAACTAGAATGATATTTCTAACCCAGAAAATCTGATTCCTTTGTTTCCATGTTCAAAGCCTTTCAACGTCTCTCCATTGCCCCTATACAAAATGCAAACTGCTTACCATTTTTCACATGATTTTTTACCACCTGGATCCTATATATTTCTCATCTATAGACTATGGGCAAAAAAAATCTACAATAAACAAAATATCAAAAAATTAGGTGAAGACAGGCTGCTGTTATTTGTTTTATGACCCTGGGTTATTGTGGAACAGGAATTCCAATCGGCCCAAGGTTGGCCAGGACAGACCTTGTCAATGAGAGTTGACAATGGCACGGGAACAGATTGGACAATGTGGAACTTTATATGCAGTCATTTTTTTTTTTTTATTGTAGAGCTTGTATTGACTTCTTCCACAAACTATAGGAACATTTTTGGGTGAATGTACACTATAGGGATGCATATTCCTTTTGCCTCAGGCTCCAGGGTGACTCCACATAGCACTGAATCAGAGTGTTCCTTCCTCCTAATTGATCTGGGAGATCAAATGAAGGCTGATAGGGAATCTTGGGGATGTTGATTTGGATGTGAGACAGGAAACTTACAGGGTGGTTACAGGAGAATAAAAATTCCAGGCAGCAGTTTCACATAACTAGAGGCTATGGGCTGATAAGACCCTGAAAAACCAGGTGTGGACCAAGCTGACTGAGACTGACTGGACCCAACATGGAGCTGGATCCTACTTAGGTTTCACCTAGGACCTTATTATATGCTCATTAACATACAAATCACACACCTGCCAGTGCCATGACAGTTCCAAGAACATCTATACTTGCTGGAAAAGTGGGCGGCATGACAATTCTGAGAAATCTCCACCTTTTCCCAGGAATTTTCGTGAATATTCCACCCCTTGCTTTGGTTAAAGAAACCCATGAAGGTAGCAACCCCAAACCCCCTTGTGCATGACTCTTGTCTACAACCACATTCCCTTCTCTTGAGTGTGTAATTTTCCCTCTGCAACAAATCTCTGTACTTTCACTATTTTCTGACTCATCCTTTTTTTTTTTTTTTGAGACAGAGTCTCGCTCTGTTCCCCAGGTTGGAGCACAGTGGCATGATCTCGGCTCACTGCAAGCTCCACCTCCCGGGTTCACGCCATTCTCCTGCCTCAGCCTCCCAAGTAGCTGGGACTACAGGCGCCCACCACCACGCCTGGCTAATTTTTTTGTATTTTTAGTAGAGACAGGGTTTCACTGTGTTAGCCTGGATGGTCTTGATCTCCTGGCCTCCTGATCCACCTGCCTCAGCCTCCCAAAGTGCTGGGATTACAGGCATGAGCTACCGCGCCCAGCCCTGACTCATCCTTGAATTCCTTCTTGCAACAGTGTCAAGAGCCTGGACACCAGCTGGAGTCGAGGTCTCAACCATGTTTGGGGACCTCTCTGAGCCCATCAGTATCAGGTGGTGGTGAGAGAAGGTCAGCCAGCTGACTGAGATTTTTAGCTTCAAGTATGCCTTGCCCAATTCCTTGCCACCCTTCATCTTTTGCCTTCATGGCCCCAGCCACCCAGGGCCATTTGCATATCCCCAATACCATGGTCTCTCTCAAGTCTAGTCCTATGCACACATTGGCACTCTTGCCTAGAAGGTTCTTACTGGTGTCTTTTCACCTGGACAACTCTTACTTTCACTTCACTCTCCATTAGAGGTTGCTTCCTCCAGGAACCCTTTCCTGACCAATGAAGGTGTCAGGAAGTTTGGGCATCCTTCATGTTAGCTCTGTAGCACTCCATGCTGACCACTCGCGAAAACTCACACAATGCACTCCAATGTAAGAGTTCACCCATCTTCCTCCCCGACTGTACTGTCAGGTCTGTAAGGGCAGGGAGTGTATCCTGTGCACTGTTGTATCTCCTGAGCCCAGCCCTGTCCCTGACACATAGTAAGTGCTCAATTAGTCATTTATTAAATGAATAAGTGAACTCATGAATATCTGGCTTGAGGGGTTTTATATCTGTATTTTAATCTACAGTTAATGCAGCACTTCTTTTTCCCAAACTAAAATTAATTAACAATGTTAGGCTACATTGTTCATGTTTTACATACAGCCAGCCTCTATTTTCTTTCTGTACTGCTTTTTCCTTTTTTTTTTCTTCCCGTGCTGGCTTTTCTTTCTGCTCTTGGTGGGGCCTGGAGTATCTCTGTGGAAAAGTAGAAGGTTCTCACCAAGGAATCCAGCACTGAGCCTGCTGCCCCGAAGTTCCCCAGCATTGCTGCTTTTGTTGTTCCCCAGCATGCTGGACCAGCAGCAAGGAAATACTGACTCAAGTTCTTGGCTATAAACATCCGTGGAGAAATGCTTTCTCCAGAGATGGACCCATAAGTGGAGGAGGCAAAGAACATAATTCCTGTATATTGACCAGGCATCATTTACCACTTAAATGGAGGAGGGCCAGTCAGTATGTTCAGGAAAGGGGCTGCGGACCTCGATTTTTTTTCAGGTGTAATTAAAGATACCATTCCCTAGCGATGTCCTGCTTAGAATTCAATTAATCTGGTGCATGTGCACACACATACGCACATGTACATATACATGCACATATATACGTGTAAACACACATATACTCATGTATCTATATGCTTATACACATATTTATATATTTGCATATGTGTATGTATACCATACATAGGTATATATGCATATGTAGCTACATATAGGTATACACATATGCATTTATGTAATCATACAAATACAGAGACAATATACATATTTTCAGTCCTAAAATTTTAATAACTTAGGTCAGGGGTTAGCAAACTTTTTCTGTAAAAGATCAGAGAGTAGTTGGGTGCAGTGGCTCACGCGTGTAATCCCAGCACTTTGGGAGGCTGAGGTGAGCGGATCACGAGGTCAGGAGTTTGAGACCAGCCTGGCCAACATGGTGTAACCCCGTCTCTACTAAGAATACAAAAAAATTAGCTGGGCGCGGTGGCGGGCACCTGTAATCCTAGCTACTCAGGAGGCTGAGGCAGGAGAATTGCTTGAACCCAGGAGGCAGAGGTTGCATTGAGCCAAGATCACGCCACTGCACTTCAGCCTGGGCGACAGAGCGAGACTTCATCTCAAAAAAAAAAAAAAAAAAAAAATCACGGAGTAAATATTTTAGGCTTTGTGGGCCTTACTTTCTTTTTCCTTTCTTTCTTTTTTTTTTTTTTTTTAAACATAGTCTCGCTCTGTCGCCCAGGCTGGAGTGCAGTGGCGCGATCTTGGCTCACTGCAACCTCCGCCTCCCGGGTTTAAGTGATTCTCCTGCCTCAGCCTCCCAAGTAGCTGGGACTACAGGCGCGTGCCACCATGCCTGGCTATTTTTTTCTTTTTTTTGTATTTTTAGTAGAGATGGGGTTTCACCATGTTAGCAAGGACAGCCTCGATCTCCTGACCTTGTGATCCACCCGCCTCAGCCTCCCGAAGTGCTGGCATTACAGGTGTGAGCCACTGCGCCCAGCCTGTGGGCCTTACTTTCTCTGATGCAACTATTCAGCTCTACCATTGTAGTTGAAAACAGGCATAGACAAATTATTAGCAAATGAGGTTGGCTATGTTCCAATAAAACTGTATATACAAAACAGCAGTGAGCTGCACTAGGTATACCAATCATAGTGTGCCAACCTTTTCCTTAGACTATAGGTATGACTAGAGCATTCAGTAAATGGCATTTAAAACAAAATTACCTAAACGTTAGGACAACCATATAAGTATTGGGTATTTTCTTACCAAATACTATGGTAAAGTACAAATTCTGTGGACAAGAACATAACGTATGTCCTCCAACTCGTAGACTCTACATTCATAAAAATTAAGATAACAACCACCTGTTACAGAAGGACTTATCCAAATGGTATGTATTTCTTCATTGTTCATCTTTTTGTTGTTTAAATATGTTCAACATGCTTTAGGAAATAAGGTCCACTGTGAATCATTCACATTTCCTTATCTATTCAGTGAACGCTCAAGAAGTGGAAGCTTTTTTACTTCCTGCACGTTTCCATAGAAAGCAAAACCTGTATTTCATGTTTTCTCCTTACAAATACTGAAGGAACCTGCAGAAGCAACAGTGCCCTTTAAAGACAACCAGGTGTTTTAGATATACAACATGTTATTTCTTTCTGAATCACATTCAGCTTTTTGTCACAAAATCCCTGGACAAGAATGAAAGCAGGGACTCAGCTCCACCTGGCACGGTGTCAATCAAAAATACCACATGTAGAAGTGATGGCAGCCACAGGAAAGTGGCAGTCCGAGGTGAATGAACGTCATGGTGACAATTGCCTGAGCATTGTCAAGTCTGAGAAAGATTAAACAGCCATCTTGAAATGGAATGTGTGGTTCGTCCGAAGTTGCAGCCGGCAATGTGCCTTTTGCAATTTGCAAAAGATCCAAGTACAAAAAGTGATTTAAGACAAGTTCATAAGGGTTGCAGCTCCTGCGAATATTTCTGCAGTTAAAACATGGAACATTTTTATGTTTTATATTCCATGGAACATTTTATGGTTAAAACATGGAACAGGTTTTATAAAACATGTTTACGATTCACTTTTATTTTTATCAAGCGGATTAGATTGTAGAGAGAAAAGATTGGTGAGTCACTTCTCGACCGTTCACATAGGGTCGAATCTTTAAAACTTTCTAAGTAACCTTTCTCAGAGCATGCATTTCTAAAACACAAAACCATTCAGCAATCATGGAAGAAAATGCAGAAAACATATTTTGACTTCAGCCTTTGAGAGTATCATTGGGTAAGAGGTATCTCAAGATTTATTTTTATTTAACTCTTTCCTCTTTGAAAGAGGTCTACATGAATTATCAGTTTTTCAGAATTAACACATTATTATTATTATTATTATTATTATTATTATTATTATTATCATCTCCTTTTTCTTCTTTTCGAGACAGGATCTCATTCTGTTGCCCAGACTGGAGTGCAGTGGCGCAGTCATGGCTCAGTGTAGCCTCAACCTCCCTGGGCTCAAGTGATCCTTGCACCTCAGCCTCCCAAGTAGCTGGGACTACATGCGTGCACCACCACACCTGGGTAATTTTTCTATTTTTTGGTGGAGACGGGGTCTTACTATGTTGCCCAGTCTGGTCTCCACCTTCTGGGCTCAAGCTATCTGCCCACCTTGGCCTCCCAAAGTGCTGGCATTACAAACATGAGCCACCATGCCTGGCCTAAAATCTCCTTTAAAGGTAGCATTACCTCTTATTCCAAGCCTAACTTTTTTATATTTTCAGTAGAATGCGTTCCAGTCTTAGCTTTTCCAACAGGTAAGTGCAAACTTCAGATACTTACTTGTTCAAATAGTATTTTTGAATTCGTATGTTAAAAATAGTCTAATAAATCTGACCCCAGTTCAGTTATGACCATTTACCACTCTTCTTTCATTTGTCATGTCACTGTGTGAATAAAGTACAAATGGAAGCAGCTCTAGTGGTATTTTATATGTCCTAAACACACAATAGTGCATCTGGAGGGGATTTGAGCAGCCCACAGTGAAAAGGAGTAACTGAGTAGAAACAAACCAAGGGATATTATGGTTGTGACATGTTCATTGTCTCAACTTCCTGAGACTTATAGACAGTTTCTGAATACCTCAAAAAAGCACTAAATCTGGCTAAAATACCTAACAACCACAATGATACCCAAACTCAGTGAAAGATGGAAATTAAAATGGAATAACTCATAGGATCCGATTGTTGAATGATGGATATGGAAAAAAAGAACAAGGCACAGACAGGCTTTAGACCACCAAAGTCATGTAACTAAATATCACACAATCAGATGCAAGTTAAAAAAAGTCTCTGTATACCTCATAATCCCTACTGCTTGGTCACAGTGTAGCATTTCCACAGCAGTTCTCCTTGGCCTGGAGAGGGTAACAGCTTCTCCTTTATGTTCACCATTCACCCCCTGTACTGGATTTTTCTCCACCTTGTCGCCTCCTCTCCAGGTTTTCTCCTGCCAAGAAGGGAGATGAGTGCCTGCAAACAGCACTGATTTGACAGTAGCCAGCATCAGGACTCAAGAAGCCAGGGATCCCTGCTCAGCAGGCCAATCAGAGAGATCCCATTATGCAAGGGGCTGCTGAGGGACTATTTGTCCCGAACTGGAGGCAGAAAACTGAAGGATGCCCTTTTAGAGTTTGTATGGGTTGTTTTTGGAGAGAAGCCATGCCATTTTTTTGTTTTGTTTTGTTTTGTTTTACTGGCATCTAGTTTGTGTGTGTGTGTGTTTGTATGTATGTGTGCATGCGCACGTGTGTGCATGTAAATCTGCTGTCTTTGAAGGGAGACAAACATTTTTCCAGTTCCTTCCTTAAGGTACTTTAGTATTCTCACATTTTAATTCCCCATTGTTTTAATTCCAACCATCCAAATATGTTATGATCTGAATCAAAAGCTAGTACCCCAAATGTATTCAAATAGGCTACACACACACACACACACACACACACACACACACACACACACACACTCTGCTGTGTCATCCATTCTATTACCCCCAACATCATGGTATTAATTAGTGAATTCTTTCACCCTTAAGCTACAGCTGATAGCTTTGCACCAGGAGAATTTCTCTGCCTATTTCCCTATCTGGCAGAGCTAACAGGATTGGAGTGGCTACTCCTGCAGTAACACTTCACACTGTTGTGGTCACCAGAGGTTGAAGGAGGCCCTGGGGTTTTCATCTACGAGGCTGACTCTGACCGGGTTGTCCGTAGATTTAGACTAGGTTCCACCTTAATCAAACCAAATACAGCTCAAAATGTTTCTCCAGCAGATTACAAATCAATTTACCAGACAAAACTCCCCATTAATCCATAAGTGTCATAGAGCGACCTGCACAGACCTGCAGAGCATCTATACAACAATGATATTTTGTGTTCTGATTTTCCTACCTGTGCAATTGTAAAATATCCCTAAATAGCCGGTATTTATAAGTTTTCATTTGAAAGAAGCATAAGAAATCTATGTCTCATCTTAGTCAATGAAAAAAAATTATCCTTAACTGTGAACAAAGTCAGAGACATAGTCTCTCACAAGTGGGAATGAAGAAATTATGCAGGACCTATTTAGCTTCTGGTGAATGTGGCAGGTATTTCCAAGGGGTGTTTCAAAAATAAAATCCCTATGGAGATATATATATATATATATATATATATATATATATATATATATATATACATTTACCGATCAAAAGATATGCCATTATATACATCACCTTCTTCTCCTGTTTAACTTGACATTTTCTTCATGATCACTGAGCTCTGGGATCCCAGCCCTCCTACAATAGTGCTCTCCTGCCATGGTGACTCACTAACTTGTTCGTTTCAAAAGTGTTCTCAGATGATGAAAGCAATAGAACATTCAGAAAATAAAATAAAACTCTACAATTCTATGCCCAGCACAAAAGCTGCTCTAAGGTTTATATATTTCCTTCCAGGCTTTTTAAATTTTGAATCCTTACTTTAAAATATTTCTGTTAAACAGGCATGAGAAATCATTATAGGAAAATGAGACTACAACAGAAAATCATAAAAGGAAAACAATTAGAATACTCTCTAATCCCTCCACTCAGAAATAAATACTGTTAACATGTATACAGTTTTTCTTTCTCTTTCCATATACCAACACATGTTTTTAAAGGATTACTTTTCAATGCTCATGCCTCTTTCTGCCTTCATTCATTCGTTTATTCATTTGTTCAATAAACATTAATTGAGCACCTACTATAATACCAGCCAGCACTTTACTAGAGTTAAAACAATGCACAAAAAATGGCATGGCCTCTCATGGTTCTCATGATTCTTATAGTCTACAGGGGAAGATAGATCTCAAACAAATAATTACTACTTTTTCTTTGAGGAATAAATTGTATTTGTCTTCAGGCCTTAAAGTCTCATCTGTCTTTTCAAATCTCTCTTGCCACCTCACCCCCACAAATTCCAATCTCCCTCTGCTTTTGTTCATTATTAAACCTTCATCACAATTCAAGTGAAAGGTGTCCTGGAACTCTCTGTTCTTTTTTTGAAGAGTTCATCCCCTGTGTCCTCCAGGCACAGGTGAGTCACTGAGCTGGGAGGTGGCTCTGTGGAGTACGGACTGTACCACCAAGTGGCCTTGCACAAGTTTTTGATAACACCTACCAGAGCCACGAGAGTTCTGAGAATTCTCCCCACAGGAAGAGGAAGCATTTGGAATAGGAAGTAAGACTGAGCTGCCAAATATAGCACAGCTATATAAGAAGCCAGGTTGAGAAAGAGGAAACATGCACTCTTTTCAGCTGCCAGGCAGCACTTTGCTTTGGGGAAAAACAAACAAACTGTGCCATGGCTGAAAGCCTAGAGGAGCTGGAACTCAAATGCTGTGTGGTGTGCCTGCTGGGACCCTGTGGCTCTGGAATGGAACGCTGTGGGAATCCCAGTGCCAGGCTCTGGGAGGGTCTCTTGCTCAACCAAAAGCAGGGAGAGTTCTCCATAACCAAGGGCCTGCAGCAATTATTTGATTAACTTCACCAAGTTTCTGCTCTGTTTTCTGTTTTGGCTATGGTGACATGGACTTTTGTTATTATTATTATTAGTCTTCTTAATACTGCTGGAGAGAATGGCCAGTATCTTAATATCTTCAATAGATAAAGAAAAGCCTATTAAAGGCAAAATACCATGAACAGAGGCTATTCTGTGTCTACACGGTAAGCTGGATCTTCTAGTCCACCTGAGTAGTGGCCTGCTTCTCAGAGGAGGTAACTTCTCTGATATTGTTGGTCTTATCCTGTGGGTTGAAGAAGTGAGCACAAAGGACCTGCTGATTCATTTTCACATTCTCATCACTGACACTGCCTGCTCCACCACGGGCGCTCAATACTATGACAAATCCTCACTTGGTCAATTTTGTGAATGTGACATACTGAAAAATGTTACCATAAATAAAATGAGTGGGTTTTCCCTATGTACATAATAAGCAAGATATGATCAAATGAAGTTTCACTTTACCAATATGCAGGCAATTATTATCTTTATAATTGTTACTTCATTTTCCTTTGGCCTCTCTAAAAGTCCTGTGCTCTCTGACCTTATTCTTCTTCCCCAGACACCTTGCACTCTTGGCCCTTCCTTCCTGCCCTCCCCATCTTCCTTCTCGGTGATCTTAGGCACCCCCATGGCTTCAACTGTATCATCTCTGTCAATAACTCCACATTTACATCCATGCCCAGGCTTTTCTCCCCGGCCCCAGAGCTGTTCTTCCAACTGCTGTAGACATTTCTACATTGATATCCGGGAGGGACCTCAAACACAACATACCAACAAATAAGCATGCTGTAGCCCCACCTGCCCTCACCCCTAGTTTGCCCCCGACCTCTATTTCCTATCATGTTTAGTGGCATCATCCCAGGCAACCAATGCTGGAAACACTGGAAATACCTCCAATGAAAATGTCAAATGGAACTGTTTCTGCCTTATTTTTATTTTTTAAAAATATTTTAAAACTATTTTTATTAAAATCAGTAGTAAGAATCTGCCTCATGTTTTACTGTGATGCCAAGACAAGCATGGTAGCTGAATGATGGTCCCCCAAACACATCCACATGCTAGTCTCTAGAACTGCATGGTGAAAGGGACTTTGCAGATATAATTAAGTTAAGCATTTTTTTTTTCAACCATGTTGGTCAAGCTGATCTCGAACTCCTGACCTCGTGAGACACCCGCCTCGGCCTCCCAAAGTGCTGGGATTACAGGCGTGAGCCACCGTGCCCAGCTAAGTTAAGGGTCTTGAGATGGGGAGATGGCCCTGGATCATGCAGGAGGGCCTGATGTACTCAAAAGGGTCCCCATAAGAGGGGTCAGTCAGAGAAAGAGATGTGAGGACAGTGGCAAAGGCTGAAATGCTGTGGCCACAAGCGAAGGTGGCTCTAGAAGCTGGAAAAGGCAAGGAAACAGGCTCCAAGCCTTGAGGGGAATGCAGCCTTTGAGTTAAGCCTTGTAAGATCCATTTTGGACTTCTGGCCTATAAGACTTGGACTTCTGGCCTATAAAACATAATAAAATTACACTGTTTTAAGCCACTATATTTTGGGTAATTTGTTACAGTAGCAATAGGACACCAATACAATAAGAGATTTCAGATATGAAAGGGAGCAGGAGATGATTTCCAAAGAAAGTGGCCTCTCTGACATCTGCTCCAAGAATAAAAGTGGTAGAAATTGGTCAGGATGCCAAGGAAATTTGATGAGGAGATAGGCAAGATGATGGCTCTGGAGGAGCCATTGGCATTTGTGGGTCTCCTTCCATTCCCTCTAGGGAAGTGCCAGGGTTGAGAAGCACTGTTCTTGGCAGTTCAGCAGGTGCTACTTTCCACTTGGTATATTGGGAAACTAAGCAGGGAGAGGTCAATAGCTTGCTTGAGCTCATGTAGCTTGTTAGGGATGAAGCCAGGACACTGATGCAGGATGGCTCTTGTCCATGCTGACTGCTGCCTCACCTCAGAGAAGGCAACAAAAGCAGAGACTGGAGCTCTAATTGATGCAGGGTCTTGCTGGTGGCATCCCACTGCTCTTGGCTTCAAAAGCATGGGCGAGTGATGTTGGTCTCGTGGGGAAAGGCAAGCCCCTCGCAGTAGGGAGCACAAAGGGAAGAGGAGCTTACTAAGACCAGTGTCAAAAACAGGAGAAGACCTGCTTCTGTAAGCAGGTCAGACAGAATACAGTGTTCTTTATCCCTTGCTTCTCTGCCTTTCAACCTTTATCTTGATTAGCAGTTTCTCTGAATTCACTTTCCTCTTTCTGGTAACTCAATCCTAAATACTCCAGCCTGAGTTGTTAATTTGGTCGATTAAACAAGAGAAATCCCTTAGAAATCGTCTTACCATTCTGAAGTCCATATTCCTCCAGAAATATTTACTTCTGCCAGATAAATACCAATGAATTCGTAGGAAATGTTTCCTCCATTTTAACTTTGATCAAACTTCATTCAAAACCATGAAACCAAAAGAAGAAACCACAAAGCTCGTTACCACCCAGATGGCTCCCAGCTTATGAATAAGTTG
Organism: Homo sapiens; assembly: GCF_000001405.40. NCBI lineage: Eukaryota > Metazoa > Chordata > Mammalia > Primates > Hominidae > Homo > Homo sapiens. The sequence goes on from NC_000006.12 coordinate 25,009,601, forward strand.
TATTCCAAAAGTTGGCTTGTAAATCAGCGGTTCAGTATGTATGGTGGCCTTTCCCGCAGAAACCGTGTTTTAAATGGTGGTCAAGTTTCAAGCTCTCCCATAAAGTCTATCTAACTCATGAGATAACAAGTAATATTAACAGATAATAGAATTCCAGAAATTCTTTATGATTATTTTTTGGGAGGAAAGCAGGATAAGGAAAGAACGATACTTCCTGTGGGTGGAGGTGGGGACTCAACTGTCTCCAAGCAAAGAGGCCACACAGCCTTCTACTGCCCTGGGCCAAGTGGGTTTTGTGGCCAGCAGGAAAGGCCCTGTGGTGTGGCATGAGGCAGGAGAGCATGGGAGAACGGATGCCCAGAAGAACTTCCAGGAGAGAGTTAGGAGGAAGTAGTTCAGAGAGACAGAGGATCAAGAACAGCTTCAAGAGAAGAGAAAACTGGAGAGGAAGCAAATGGAAAATGTTTACAGGTATTATAGTAGGTTATGAGTTTAATTCTTTTTAATGTTTGCTATAGTTTGAATGTTTGTCCCCCATTAACCTCAGGTTAAAATTTAATCCCAATGTTGGAGGTGGGGCCTAATGGAGGTGTTTGGCCATGGGGACAGATCCCTCATGAACAGTCTCGTGCCCTCCCTGGGGATGATTGAATCATCACTATATTAGTCCCCTCTTCCCACCAGAGCTGGTTGTTAGAAAGAGCCTGGCCCTCCTTCCTCCCCCTTTCCTCCTCTGTCACCCCATGAGCTCTACAGAGCTGGCACCCCTTCACCTCCCGCCTTGAGTGGAAGCAGTCTGACGCCTTCACCAGATGCAGATGCTGGTGCGAGGCTTCGTGTACAGCCTGCGGAACCATGAGCCAGATAAGCCTCTTTACTTGACAGATTACACAGTTTTTCCTTTAGGGCAAAACAAAATGAACTGAGACAGTGTCCTTCAAGAGATTCAAGTGAAAATTAGAATTATTTTAAAATTACTTTTTCTTGTTAGATGGCATTTTTTGACTAGAACTCTATACTAGGATTGGGCTATGGGAGCGCCAGGATTTATATGGGCTTTATAAGTAGGAGCCTGTGCTATAGATCCTATATTATTCAGGCAAGCAGGAAAGAAAAGATTTCCTTCCACTTCCACTCCGTAAACGTTTCTTAAGCCAACATTTTTTTAGTGCTTGCTAGGTCTCTGGTGCTACAAGGGACACTAGACAGGATGAGATACAAAAATAAATAAGATGGACTTCTTGCCTTTGAGGAGCATATAGGTTATAGGGGAAGACACCACTGCCAACAAATGATCCCCATGCGTGCTACACTAGAAGTGTGTGCAAGTAGCATAGGGACACAGATAAAGAATGGCTTCTCTGCCTGGGTGGTTGGGAAAGGTTGTTCTCTCTAGTTGGGACCCTGCTTGAGTCTGTCCCTTATATCTTCTGCCTTCAAATATCTTCCCATGTTACTTCATCCTGTTCTTCACTTTTTCATCTACAGAATCTATGAAAAAAAATTTGTTTTTACAATGACTCATTGGAAAAGAAGAATTTGGCAATGAGCAGTGGAGGGAGGCTAGGAATGCCAACAGAAATGGTGGTTACATGTTTTAATATTTTATAAATTTTATAAATTAGGAATTGGGTTTATATATATGTCCACATATGTATATGTACATGTAGGTATATATGTGTGTGCATGTATATAATGTGTGCATATATGTGTGTGCATTGTAATCAAAAGGAAGTCTCCAGAAGGAGCAGTTTCCCAGGATCCAGTCTTCTGGTGAGACACTGGGGATGACACGGGGATTGACAGGGCTCCAGGCATCACTGCCACATTACTTTGGATCTTGTATCTGAACTCTAGAATATGTCACATAGTCATCAAACCACAGTTTAGTCTGCTTTTCCACAAAGGAAAACTTTATCTGTTGGCCTGTGTTACACTATAATGTGTGAGGGGAATTGGATGGTGTTACATCGGGAAGCCAAGCAAAGTTTATTGTTTCTTGGGATTACATTCTTATATTTTTATATTCTTTAATAAAGCACAGGCTGGAGCATAAGTAAAAGGAAGCAAGTTCTTAACTACTAAAAATTGACTGCATGGCCCTGTCTCACACCGTAGATAAATACTAGCTAAAAATGGACCGTAGACCCAAATGTCAAAGCTAAAACTATAAAACTCTTAGAGGAATCTGCAGGAGTATTCTTTGTGACCTGGCGTTATGTAATGATTTCTTAGACATGACAGTAAAAGCGTAAGTGACAAAATACAAAATAGATAATATTGGACATCATCAAAATCAAAACTTCTGTATTTCAAAAGACACTAGTAAGAAAATGAGGAGAAAATCCACAGAATGGAAGAAAATATCTGCAAATCATATATCTGATAAGGGGCTTGTGTCCAGAACATATAGAGAACTCTTAAAACTAACAATAAAAAGACAAATAACCAAATTTTTAAAATGGGTAAACAGTTTGAATAGACATTTCTCCAAAGGAGATATGCAAATGGCTAATAATCACATGAAAAGATACTCAGAGTCATATGTCATCAAGGAAATAGAAATTAAAACCATAATGAGATCCTGGTAAGATGGTTAAACTAAAAAAGATAGATAATATAATAACATATGTTCTTGAGAATGTGGAGAAATTGAAGCTCTCATATATTGCTGATGAGAATATAAAGATTCAGCCGCTGAGGAAAATAATTTGGCAGTTCTTCCAGAAGTTAAATATGGAATTACCATATGATCCACCAATTTCAGTTCTAGGTATAAACCCAAGAAAAATGAAAACATATATACACATAATGACCTGTCCACAAGTGTTCACAGTGCCATTTTTTATAATAGCCAAAAAGAAACAACCTAAATGTCCATCAATAGAGAAAATGGGTAAACATGATGTGGTTTATCCATACAATGGAATATAATTTGTCTATAAAAAGGATGAAAGTACTGATGCATGCTACAAAATAAATTAGCTTTAAAAACATTATGCTAATTGAAACAAATCAGACACAAAATGTTACTTATGATCAGATGATCCTATTTATATAAAATATCCAAAATATACAAATCCATAGAGATAGAGAGTAGATTAGTGCTTGCCTATGGCTGGGGGAAGGGGAGATTGGAATGAGGAGTGCCTGCTAATGGGGACCGGGTTTCCTTTTGCAGTGGTGAAAACATTTTGCAATTAGATAGTGATGATGGCTGCTCAACTTGGCAAATATGCTAAAAACCACTGTATGTTTTGAAAGGTCAAATTTTATGGTATATGAATCACATCTCAACAAAGTTGTTTTAAAAAAAAACAGATTGCACAATCCCTGCCTCCATACGGAGGGGATGGGGGGCCAGGATCACTAGTTATTCTCTTATCAGAGAGTGGTCTGATTAAATAGCACTCCATCTCTGGGTTTTTTTTTTTTTCCTTTTTCTTCCAGAGAGGTGAGCATCTGCAGAATGCTGTCTGGCACACTGTGTTCATTAGAATAAGCAAAAATAGCATCCCACCTACTGAACAGCTGTCATTGATGTTCAGATTGCTGTTTTGCTTTTTTCTTTTCTTTGTTTTTAAAACATCATTAAATAAGCATGGATCTCCCCAAAGAAGCTCTAACGTTTGATTGGATAATTCTCAGGATGTATTTTCTGAAAGGTCAGTGATTTTTTTTTTCTTTCAGAACAGTGATTCTTCAGTGGTGGTCTGAAGACCACGGGTGTTCCTTGAGGAGCCAGTAAGTCAAGCATCTGCAACTCCCCTGTGCACAGTGTAGGGCAGGGGGAATGAATGAGGCTATAGCGGGGTGTGGACTGTGGTATACTGGGAGGGCAGCACCTACTCTGCCTGAAGGGGGAGCACCTGCTTTGCCTGAAGGGGCGGCCCCTTGAGCATCAGGGGACTGTAGGGAGGTGAGCCCACCTTCATCAGCTCTGCCAGTTTTACAAATAGACACTGAACACCTGAATTTTTTTTCATGCAAAATCTTTATGTTTTAAATGCTGACAACCAAACTTAACGGAAATGTAAATCATATTTGTGGGCCAAACAAAACATCTGTGGGCTGATATACTACAAGTTTGTGACCTGGGCCTATAGGGGTTCTCTGCACTGGCTCTTTTGTATAATTAATATCAAATTTTCAAATCAGAAAGTGAGTGTTGAAATGGTGCTTGGAGTTCCTGTAGTTCAGTCTCCCACTCCATGTAAAAAAGTCCTTTCTACAATAGGCACACTGAATTTAAGGAAGCTAATAATTCAAGCCAGACACTTGCACTTTCTTCGTTGCCTTTTTATTTTAAAAGATTATGGAGTGAGGAGTTAGGTAAAGAGATGGAGGTAGAGGGAAGTTTTGGGAAGCAGGCCAAAAATTTAGGACTGGAAGTGGCTTCAATGTTGATTTTGGGTTTTTGGATGATTCTCTCTTACGGTTACCCCTCGTATTTTTCAACCCTAATTTATCAAAATGCATCAGCAAGGTTGGGGCTTAGGTTTTCCAGAATTCCCAGAGGGAAACAGAATTTTAGGCCTGGAGCAGACCTTAGAATTAATGTTGTCAAATTTTCTTATTTTACAGATGAGGGAACTGAAATCCGTGAGCTTTAAACCGCTTGCTTGAAGACACGGCTGACATTTGTGGCTGAATCCTAATGTAGTTAATTTTCCTTTCAATGGGTCAACTTGCAACTGGTAAGTAGGATCCAAACAAAACTACAATCACCTTGAAATATCCTGTAGCCTTTTCTACCTCACATCTCAATAGCTCTCACTTTTTGAGAGACACAAAGATTTCTTTTTAAAGAAGCAGCTGGTATTTATTTGACTTCATGAGCTACCTTATCGAAATAATGAGATAACTAATAGAAGCTATTTCGAAATAGAGCCAACTAAAGATTGCACATGATTCTGGAAACAGGGTTGGCATGAACCACAGATAATCCCCACAAGTCATTTCACTAGTTCCCATTGTCCTAATAAAAGCCTTTGGAGGGGTGCTAATAAGTGTCAAATTAAACAATGTGTGTTTCATTTCCTCTATTTGCCCTCTGAAAGAGATGCTGGCAAAATGGCAGATACAGCAGTAGTGGGAAGGACAAGGAGGAGAAATGAAGGCACCAAAGAGCTCCAAAATTTAGACAGTCCATCCCTAAATGATCGAAAGTTGTGTGTAACATGGCACAAATTATTATGAGTTGAAATTTTTTGGTCACTAGGGACAAGGACACAAAACAGAGCCCACGAGTGTGTGAGAAGGGCCCGAGGGATCATTCAGTTTGTTTGCATTGTTGGGTTTTGTTTTTCTCTTGGTATGGCACCTACACACAAATTTGACGAGCCAAAATATGAATAAGAACATAGGCAGTCACAGTGACCTTTTATTAAATGCAGAGACAGTTATGTGTCACATGAAACATCAACAAAAGCCCAGTTCTGGTAGCCAGCAAGATTTTTTTGCCACATTTATACTTGGTCCTCTTTAATTATACAGAGTTGCCCCCAGAGTACTGAAATGATAGACTAGAACACGATGACTTCAGCAGGGGATCAGAGCTTTAGAGCTTCATCATTCATGTGAGCCAAGTGCGAAATTTCAGCCTGTCTCTCCTCTAAATGCAGTTAGGAGTCTTCGAAACCTTTTGTGTGAATCCAGGAGGGAAAATTGTCTGGCAAAGTCTGATAAGCATCGTGTCAAGAGCACATTTGTACTCTGGTAAGAAGCCCAGGCCAATTGCTGCTGGGTTGTCATGGCAACAGAAATACACACCATTTACACATCAGCTTCTGAAATGAGCACAAAATAACAAAACCTTTTCGACAGGATGGGAGGTGAAGGGAAGAGCAGCATCATCTGTGCAGCCTGGTGAAACGGTGTTTACGACAGTCTACACGGCACTACTGGGTATGCTGTCTCCTTGGATTGTGTCATATTTTTAACCCAGTGGGAAATTCATAGGATCCTCTTGACTCTGTAAAAACTGTGGGACAATTCAGTCACTTTTACCAAATCCTCATTTCCTTTTCAAACCCTGTTTACTAACTGATGCCAAATAGTATTATAGTAATTGGGAAATAAAGGAAGTCCCTCTCCTGCTTATTCCTTCCAAAGTACATTTCTTTACCTTTTCATGGAGGTTTGGTAGGATACTTACATATTGTAGAGGGAGGTGGAGAAAATACTCATATATTGTAGAGGGAGGTGGAGAAGGAGGAGGAGGTCTTTCATGGACCTACAGAAAATGAAGTTAATCATGGTTGGAAAGCCTCCCCTTAAAAACGCAGGTTTTTTGGTTTTTTTTTTTTTTTTTTTTTTTTTTTTAAGGAGTCTTACTCTGTCACCTAGGCTGGAGTGCAATGGCATGATCTCGGCTCACTGCAACCTCCACCTCCTGGGTTCAAGCCATTCTCCTGCCTCAGCTTCCGGAGTAGCTGGGACTACAGGCAGGCGCCATCATGCCTAGCTAATTTTTTTGTATTTTTAGTAGACACGGGGGTTTCACTATGTTGGCCAGGCTGGTCTCGAACTCCTGACCTTAGGTGATTCACCCGCCTCGGGCTCCCAAAGTGCTGGGATTAAGGCATAAGCCACCACTCCCCGTCCTAAAAATGCAGTTCTAAAAATGAATAAAAAATAACAATTCATTCCAGTAGTTCCTGAGGCCCAGGGCATCAACAAGAGATCAGAACTATATGGAATAAGCCCACAATGTTGAAAAATTTAGGCTGAATGGAAGCTGGATCCCTGAAGCTAATCTCAGCGATTTAAAGTAGAGAATAAGGATGGAATGCATCCCCTCCATTAGTCTTGAAGTGAAACCACAGGAACTCTATTCATGAGAAGTAAAATTAGCTGTATGTTCAGTTTTCATGACATTTGTTACTGCACTTAAGCATTCCACAGCATGACTTAATTGCTGCTGAAACACCTAAGAGGAAAGAGAAGGAAGGAAAATGAAATGTTTGATCTTTGAATGACAAAATAGTCACGAATCTGGGAACATTAAGTAACTAGAGATGGAGTTAGCGTCACAAGCAACACACAACAAAAGTCTTGTGTCTGGCGATAATAAAGTTCCCTTAACTGATTCATCACTTCTTCCCTTGCTATAATTATGAACATTCTTCAAAAAAGTTCTGACATTAAAATTTCAAACTCTTGTTACTTCTGCTTTTCTATCTCATAATTAGAAAAATTTATTAATTCCAATTTTAGTTCTGGGTTTCTAAAAATTTCCAGGAATAAAACCTAGGGAGAAAGATCCTCTCATTGTATATATCTTCTAGGGGATTCACATTCTGGGTGCTTCACTTAGACATGGTAAGTTGATAACATAGGGAAACAAAAGATCTAAAGAAAGTAGCCAGCCTCTCCCAGAGATTGCAAACCAGCATGCAGCCAGCTGGCAGACACTTTGTGGGGAGGTAGGGACTGGAACAGTGTTAAAAGAAGTGGCACCGGCACGGTGGCTCACGCCTGTAATCCCAGCACTTTGGGAGGCTGAGACGGGTGGATCACCTGAGGTCAGGAGTTCAAGACCAGCCTGGCCAACATGGTGAAACCCCATCTCTACTAAAAATACAAAAATTAGCCAGGTAATCCCCGTTACTTGGGAGGCTGAGGCACGAAAATCACTTGAACCCAGGAGGCAAAGGTTGCACTGAACTGAGATTGCGCCACTGCACTCCAGCCTGGGTGACAGACTCTGTCTCAAAAGAAAAATGGCATAAATGCCATTTAGGCAGAGCAAAAGCTCGGTTGTTTGCCACAGTCCTCCCCCATTTTTACTGTCTTACATCTAGATCGCCTGCTTTTTTCTGTTGCCTGCTTACAGGCTTTGAGTTCGCAGTTTATGCACACATTTGCTGATGCTCCCCAGATTTTCTTACTTTTGGTATGTATTCAAATCAACCCATTTCTTTAAGACTTAATTCAGGTGTCCCCTCTTCCACAAAGTCCTTCCGGCCCTCTGGTCTCACCTGGCCACGCCTATCACCCCTATTCAGTGCCCTTCAGTTTTAGTTCTTACTTGTTCTCTAATTTGTTCAGGAGTAACCAAGTGGTAAACGCCCAGAGGGCCAGGTTGTGATTCACTGTTCTTGTATTTTGACCCAGGAGAGTGGTAGCTGCGGTGTGGGAGCTCAGGTTAGCTCACAACAGTTTTTTGACAGATGGGAATGCAGGAATCAGCAAAGTGAGGGAGTGTGGACCCTGGCACAGCCCAGTGGGCTTGCATTGGTTTCAAAAGGAAAATGAAAAGTTCTGTAAAGTCTTCAGGACACCTATGACAGAAATATTCTCTTGGAAGTTCAACATTGATATTTTGGTTCTTAGTAGAATAGTTAAAACACGTTTCTGCTTAAAATCTCTAAGTACTGAGGGATGACAACAGGTAGGATGAACATAGAAATACAAGCAATTTCGTAATATCACCTAGGAAAGCCATAGCATTGAGCTTAAGTATTTGGTGACTGTATCAGTTTCCTGTGACTGCTCTTACCTCCTTGCTTATTTCAAAGTCTGAAGGGTTTCATGTTGGGTTTAGAAAAGCTGTAGAGCGGCGCCACCTGATGGTTACTACCCAGAGTGCCTGAACTGACCTTGCAATTTCAAACGCAGTATCTTGGCTAGCTCAGAAGACTTCTTCCTAATGCTTTACATGAAAAGAGCAAACTGAAATACGTTCCTCTTGGAAAATCAGAAACATAAAGAAAATGTTTTAAATTTTGACAGAAGCAAACCCACTCATATACAGAATAATCTACCACCAAAAAAGAGTTTGTATATGATATTCATTGAATACTATTAGATTTCAAATAGGTAATAAATAAGATTTTATTATCCAGTTTTTCTTTCTCCATTTTTTAAAAGCAGATGTTTTTTCTATATAGAACGCTCCTTAACCAATTGTTTGATTATACCCCTCACCCCTTCCAACAAACACAATGTATTTATTTATTAAAAAAATTTATCACTTGCCCTGTAGAATTTTCCACATTTTGGTTTGCGCGAATTGCTTCCTCCAATATGTTTAACTTGTTTGTATTCCTTACATTTCCTATAAACTAGTAGTAAGATCTCGATTAGATTTTATTAAATCCCAGTTCTATTTTTGGCAAGATAATAGGTGATACTCTATGATGCTATATTAATCAAATCCTGAAGCACGTGCCTAGCTGTCCTACTTATCATGATATTAAGATTGATTTGTGGGTAGAGGTAATGTCAGTTGGAATCCTCTATTATAAAGTTCCCCAATAACTTTTCATTGAGAGTTTGGATATCTATTGATGATCATTGTCTCCATCCATTGTTTCATGAGGACTGCAAAATAGTGATGGTATAAGTTTTATTGTTACTCATATACCTATTAGCTGGGATTTTCTCATCATCTATTTAGTTAGCTTGAAATACAGTTCAAACAGAAAAGAAAGAACAAATATGTGATCAATCTCTTTAAAATATATATTTAGAATAACAAAATAGTGTCCGGCAACCTTCAAAGGTGAGCAGTGATGTTTTGTGTTTCATTAGGAATTCATAGATTTTTATATTTGATGTATTTTAATCTATTGCAAGCATTATTCTTGTTGATGCCCAGATGGTCCCACATTTGACAAATGCATATGTTTTTAACATAAATACTCTAATATGTGGCATAGTTGTTAAGAAAGCAGGCATACTGTAATGTTCTCAGGAGAAATTATTACCACTCTCAAGGAAGGCGATTTAGCAATATGTATTAGGAGCCTTAAAAAACGTATGCCCTTTGATTTATACTCTAGGATCAAACATAAAGCAGCCTTTTCTATGAAAATAATCAGGAACATAGCTAATAATTGTATAAAGATATTAATTCTAGTGAAAAGTTAGAAAGAGAGGTCGGCGGGGCGCGGTGGCTCACGCCTGTAATCCCAGCACTCTGGGAGGCTGAGGCGGGTGGATCACGAGGTCAGGAGATCGAGACCATCCTGGCTAACACGGTAAAAAAAAAACCCCTCTCTACTAAAAATACAAAAAGTTAGCCGGGCGTGGTGGCACGTGCCTGTAAGTCCTGGCTACTTGGGAGGCTGAGGCAGGAGAATCACTTGGACCTGGGAGGCGGAGGTTGTAGTGAGCCAAGATCGTGCCACTGCATTCCAGCCTGGGCAACAGAGCAAGACTCTGTCTCAAAAAAAAAAAAAAAAAAAAAAAAGAAAAGAAAGAAAGAAAAAGAAAAAAGAAAAAGATGTCAATAAGTATGATAATATACTGTAGCTACCATATTAAAAATCCAGTTTTTTGAAGAATTCTTGTTATCATGGGGATTTTTTATATTACATTAATTGAAAGAAGACTACCAAAACTGAATACATGGTGTGATCCCAGCTATTATATATAATATGTATATAAACAAAAGACTAGGAAGTCATACTTCAAAATATTAATAGTTATATCTGGATAGTGGGATTACAGGATATTTTTATGTCTCATTTGTATAGTTCTTTACTTTAAAAATTATTTCCAGTATTATGTATCACAATATGTCTTATTAAAAATCAGCTAGTATTAAAGGTTTTTCTGGACAATGTTAATTTGCTATTGTTGGAATAATAAACCAAGTAAGTCATTTATAATAAACAAGTAGAATGTCTCCTTATGTGTTAGTGAAAATTGTGCAAGAAAAAAAAGAACACTTTTCCCTCAGCCAAATGATCCTTCTGATTTAGTTAGAGAATGAAAACAGAACTAAGCAGGATTTGAAATAAAACATGCAGGAGCCTTCCTGAGATAGGTTATATTTTTCCTTCTAGAATCTGCTCATTGCAATTAATTAGGCTTCTCCAAGAGTAAATTTTCCCTGTACTATCCAATAAGTCAATGTGATATTCATCTTGATTCTTACTGTGAATGAGAGCATCAACATAGATTAAGATGGATGTATCTGCCATTTGTAATGAGATTCCACAAGGTATCTCCACCCACCAGTTCCTTTCTGATACTGGCAATTTCTGATTTTTGATATCCTAATGTCTAGTTGTCACTTCCAAAAGTCTGAAAACCTCTAGTCCAAACCATTTATTAATCCTTAATCTCTGCCTTCCCCTCTTATTACCAAACAGGTATTCAATGTCCAAAATTAGATAGCCCCAATGAGATAAAAGAAAATAAAATTCACAAATAATATTGTCAAAACAACTTTTAACATGCTATTATAAGTTCTATTTCCTGGAAGCTCTTTGGGGACAAGGTTCATGTCTAGTTTAATTTTTTTCTTTTCTTTTCTTTTTTTAGACGGAGTCTCTCTCTGTTGCCCAGGCTAGAGTGCAGTGGCGTGATCTTGGCCCACGGCAACCTCCGTCTTCTGGGTTCAAATGATTCTCCTGCCTCAGCCTCCCAAGTAGCTGGGATTACAGGTGCCCACTACAATGCCTGGCTAATTTTTTTGTATTTTTAGTAGAGAAGGGGTTTCACTGTGTTGGCCAGGCTGGTCTCGAACTCCTGACCTCAGGTGATCCACCCACCTCGGCCTCCCAAAGTGCTGGGATTACAGGTGTGAGCCACTGCATCCAGCTAGTTTAATCTTTATTTCCTTTGCATATAGGACAGTGCTCATTTCGTGAGTATTTATTGATGATAGAACTGAGATGAGGAGGAGGCAGAAGAAAGGGAGAAGGAATGCATTTCTGGACAGGGTGACTATATGAAAAAAGGTATGAGCTTTGAGTGCTAGAGGCAGTGAGGAGACCAGCTCTAAGAAGAAGGATGATGCAAGGGGATTATAGAAATTAAGGCTGTGGCACCCAAATGCCCATCGATCAATGAGTGGATAAAGAAATTGTGGTATACATTCACGATGGAATACTACTCAGCTATAAAAAGGAATGACTTAATGGCATTCACAGTGACCTGGGTGAGATTGGAGACTATTATTCTAAGTGAAGTAACTCAGGAATGGAAAACCAAACATTGTATGTTCTCACTCATAAGTGGGAGCTAAGCTATGAGGATGCAAAGGCATAAGAAAGACACAAAGAACTCTGGGGATTCAGAGGGAAAGGGTGGGAAGGGGGTGAGGGATAAAAGACTGCAAATTGGGCTCAGTGTATACTCCTCGATTGATGGGTCAAAATCTCACAAATCACCACTAAAGAACTTACTTATGTAACTAAATCCCACCTGTTCCCAAAAAACCTATAGAATTAAAAAGATCTTTTAAAAAAAGGAAATTAAATTTGTGGCAAATGTGACAAGACTGTGGAGGGTCCCAACATTTAGCTGAGGAGTTTGTCTATAGTCTGAGTCAGTGAGAGACCAGATTGAAATCCACCCTATTACATGAAACATTCCTAAATTCCTTAATGCTTCAGATCAAGTAATTGGTTTATAAGAGAAACTTGGTGCCAAGGGAAAGATAAACATTAAACTTAAAAAAAATGGTCTGTAATTATGTAGAAATGAACCCATCACTTTGATGGGATTAGATACATTTGTTTTTAGGTATAATTTACATGGAGTAAAATTAGCCCTTTTTAGTGCATAGTTCTACCAGTTTTAACAAATGTATACAGTAGTGTAACCACCACCACAATCAAGATACAGAAGAGTTACATCATATGAAAAAAGTTTCCTCATGCCTCCGTAGTCAACCTCTCTAACCAGCCCTTGGCAACCAATGATTCGCTTTCTGTCCTAATAGTTTTGTCTTTTCCAGACTGTCTTATGAGTGGTATCATACAGTATGTAGGCTTTTGAGTCTGGCTTCTTTCACTTAGGATAATGCATTTGAGAATAATCCATGTGGTTGCATGCCTCAGTTCATTCATTTTTATTGCTGAGTCATATCTCATTGTATGGATATACCTACAGTTTGCTTAATCATTAATTCATAAGTAAAGGACAAATATTTCTTTTTAACGTAACACATATAACTAATGTGGTACCTTCCATTTTTTTTTTTTTTTTTTTTTTTTTTTTTTTTTTTTAGACAGGTTCTTGTTCTGTCACCCAGGCTGGAGTGGGTTGTGTTCATGGCTCACTGCAGCCTCAAACTCCTGGGCTCAAACTATCCTCCCACCTCAGCCTCCTGAGTAGCTAGACTACAGGTGTGTGCCACCACCCCAGCTAATTTTTTGATTGTTTTGTAGAGATAGAGTCCCACTATGTTGTCCAGGCTGGTCTTGAACTCATGGGCTCAAGCAGTCCTCTCCCCACCATCTCCCAAAGTTTTGGGATTACAAACATGATGGTGCAACCATGGCTAGCCCAAAATAATATTTATAAGGTTTAGGGATTTATTTACTAATTGTCAAAGACAGGTGAAGACAGGAAAAAGAGAAAATGCAAATAGAGTATGCATTAATTTCAGAAATGTGAATGTCACTGCCCAGTAGACTCGTTTTCAGAGCAGTCAATTTTTTTTTTTACTAGTGTATCTTTTAATTGTCATTTAATAGCTACCCACCACAGCTGCCCCCCACCCTTCCCTTTAATGACGACGTTTGCAGGCTTCAGGGGACCAGGGAACAAAGCTGGGGCCTGGTAGCCCCACTACGCTGCCAGCCGGGAAGAACAAGTCACAATTACAAATTATCACAACAATTAGCGCCTGTACTTGGGGGATCTGCAAATTGAGGAGGCTCCAGCTCCTCATTGTACAGGGGTCTATTTGGCAGTGACCTTGCTCTGCAGACGATGATATTCCTATTCCTTCAGCCTGAGGGAATTGATGTTGATGAACCCGGTGGCATCAATTGGCTCATAATCACCCTACACGTTCATGCTCACCGGCTCCTCGTTGTAGGGAGAGAGTGGGGACTCCCAGCCAAGGATGTACACCCGGCCCTTGAGGACGGACACCTGCGCTTTCCCTCCCACTTGCCCCTAGGACTTGGCGATGCAGTGGCGGACAAATTCACACTCAGGGCTATGCCAGAAAGCGGTGTACACCAGCTCAGCAAATTTCAAGCCCAGGCCTTGTTTGATTTTGCACACCTCCCAGTCCATGGTGAAGGCCTTGATGTCTAAATGAGTGTGGTAAAGGATGGTGCCTGCTGGGGTCTCATAGATACCTCGGGACTTCATTCCAGTGAAGCGGTTCTCCACGATGTCAGTACAGCCCACACCGTGTTTGTCCGCGACTTCGTTCAGGTACATGAAGAACTCCAAGGAGGTCGGGTGGGTGGAGCCATCGTTGACGTTGGTCACCTTCACGGGGACCCCTTTTTTAACTCGATCTCGAGGATGTCAGGGGTGTTGGGGGCTTTGACCGGTTCCTAGGTCTTCGTGTAGAGACCTGGAGGCACTTGGTTCTTGGGGTTCTCCAGGATTCCAGCCTCGTAGCTGATGTGCATGAGGTTCTCGTCCATGTTCCACGGGTTCTTGGGAGTGACCGGGATAGGAATCCCGTGCTGCTTTGCGTATTCCATCAGGTCATTACGGCCCTTGAACCGGTTGTAGAACTCGGGCATCCTCCAGGGAGCAGTGCCCTTTATCTGGGGGACCAGCGAGTACCAGGTGAGCTCAAACCGGACCTGATATTCCCCTTACCGGTGGCGCCGCGGGACACCCCCTCCTGCTGGGCGATTTCCACTTGTTTGCTGGCAATGCAGGGCCTGGCGAGAAAGGTGCCCAGGAGGTAGCGGTCCTCATACAGTGTGCTGGACTGGATGGCCGGCCAGATGAACTCTTCCACAAACTCCCTGATGACATCCTCAATGAACACCTTTTTGGCCCCAAGTTTCAGTGCCTTCTTCCTGGCTTCCTCGAAGTCTTCCTTCTGGCCAGTGTTGGCCAGGTAGGCAATGACATCATAGCCTTGTTCCTTCACCCACACGAGGATGCAGGAGGTGTCCAGGCCGCCACCATAGGCCAGAACTCTCATGGAGCCTTTGCTGGACATAGTGTCTGGGATTGGAGGCGCGAGTTCCCAGCGTCTGGAATCTGTCTTCAGGGTGCAGTGAACCACTCGGGCTCAGGCAGCAGTGGCAGGCGACAGAACAAGAGCAGTCAGATTTTTTAACCATTGTTAAAGGTTTCCAGTTCTGTGCCCTTCTGGAAGCAGTGTGGCCCCAGACTGACAACTGACCCTCAAAGAGGAAGGAAAGCCCTCACCTTGCTCCCCGACAATACTGCAGTGCTGTTTCTCCTAACTTGTAACTGATGCTTCCCTACTCTGTCCTTGGAGCTGGTGAGTATCGGACTTAGCTGAAGCTGATAATCATTTCTAGATTTTGCCAATGCTTTGCCTTCAGTTTCCTCTTTATGCCTGTTTTAATCCATTAATATCCTTCTCACCATGGGTTTTCTTTGATGACTTGGAAAGCTATTTTCTCTGTTTCTAGTTATTTATTGAAAATTGAAGTTGCCATCCTTTCAGCTCCACAACATTCTCTGAAGCCAAATTTGTGACTTCAGGTTGGATGTCGATGGGTGAGTAATCAGACATGTGGGGCCATGCCCAGTTTAACTTCAAATATTCACACTAAATGGAGGGAAGAAGAGTCAAGAAAAAAAGAGAGGACAGAGTTTGATATGTAGCGGTCTCTTTATTCATTTAATGGTAACAGGAAGCCCTCTCTGTCTCACGCCTGCTCCCACCCACAGGTCCTGGTGTACATGTGGGTGGTGGGAGTTCTAAAAATTTGATCTAAGATATAGTCAAGGGGGGAAAAAGGTAATTTAGAAGCTTCTATTTATTTAGCTTTAGGATTCTTCCACACAAATTCTAATAAGTGTCTGTGGTGTTACGGTTTCTGCTATTTGGAGATAGTACTTTGGATTTCTATAGAAACTCTCTGTTGAATAACAGTGCTCTGGAAGCCCAGAGCTAGGGGAATGCTGGGTGCGTGACGAGGCTTTTTTAGGGTTAGAAGTGTAAAAGCAATAGGACCTTTAAAAAAAAATGACAGTGACAGATAAAGAAGTTTACCCTCACCCCCTCCCAGCACTATTTGTGCCTTAAAAAGAGAAAAACAAAAGTTCTTTTTAATTTAAAGTGAATTTCTAAGGAGAAAAAAATTTAATTGTTTTTAGAATATAACTGATTAAAACGAAAACTGAATGTTGAACTTGAGAAAACCATACAAATTAAAGAAAATGCACATAAGGTTTAAAAGAAAAACTTCCTGTGATATGATGACTATGCATATTCAACACAACTTTGGAAAACATTGTTTTTTCACTTTAAGGAGCAATCTTTCCCTTCACTTAGTGCTCTAGTGAGCAATTGTTCAGGAAGAGTAAGAGGGTGGGTTTTCTTAGAGGTCAAGAATCAGAGCTGTAGGAGACTGAATTATGGGCTTGACTGGAAGACTGTGATACATTGATGAGCTTCTTCACGACTCCAAGGGATGATTTGTTTGTGCTTTGATACATGGTATTTCAAAACCAAATTGTACGTGTATTCACCAACAAAAGAAACTGAAGAAATTGCATGAGATTAAAAGTTACAAAGATTGTTGTTTTTTTTTTTTGTTTCTGAGTCACAAGCAAGTCATTTTTGAAAGCACTGTGCTCAGCAAGACAGGTTTATAAATGAATGCTACTCACAGGTGGAAACTAGAATGAACAAAACCACTAAAAGCTACATAAAAGGTTTCTTATTTTTCTGTACTGCATGATTAATTAGAGCCATTGGGTGAAAAAGAGAGGAAAATTGCTTCTCTTTGTTGTATTTAGCTGTTAGGTAGTTTTTATTAGATATTTATATAGGTATACCTTTTGTCACGTGTATAAATGAGAGCCAAGTTCATTATTTGAGGTCTCACTGATTGGGATTTATGATAAGTCACATAGAGATGGTTTTAAGTTTACCTCTGCTTAGCAAATGAAAAATAAAGGACTGCGAAGGGCGGATTGAAAAGATGAACCTTCTAAAGCATTTTGGAAGCTCAATATGCAAACAACCAAGACACTAATTAGAAATGCTTCCTGTTTATCCTTAAAGACAAGAAGCCTGAGAATTTCTAGAAGGCAATACTTTGTTACCCTGAGCAGCTGTACATTTTTCTTTTTCTGTATATTTTAAGAGAAAAGAGTTTTATGTGTACTTATAAAGAAATCATTTATATGAATTTCAGAATAAGAGTCCTGCAATTTCTTTGAATTTATGACCATTCATTGTCAAACGGAGATTACGGTGGTCTAAAATTCAAGACCATGACAACTTTAAAGGAGGTAAACAGAGGAAAATCTTGGGACATATGGCAGGAATGCCTCTGAAAGGAAGTTGGCAGGAGCTAAGAGGCTGAGGCCTGGGGGAAATAAATAATAACTCAAGTGCCCTCCAGTGGAGAGGAGGCTGAGAAGAGGCCACTCTGCCATGCTCCACAGGCCCTAGACCACTCCCGGGCTCCTCAGGTGTGAGTCTGTGCTGATTTGCTGACATCACCTCACAAGCCTCACAAGTCCTGACACAGCAAGGCCAAAAGAAACCACTCAGGCAAACGGCACATTCTGGGATCTACAAGTCTCCTATAAGTAGCTGTTCCAATTTCCAAATATTAAAACAAAAAAGCAAGCTCATTAAGAACTTGCTGATGCATTCTATTTTTAAAATAATAATAAAAAATAATTTAGGTGATACTGCATAGCTCACAAAATATTTCCACGTGCATTATCTTACTTAATGCAAACGACAATCGCGTAGGGGTGGATTCGATTCACCTAGCTTTGCTTACAAGACGGCCCAAGCATCGAGAAGCGAAGAAAAGCACTTAGCACACAGGACTGCACAGCCACCCAGCCCTCTGCGGGTTCCCAGGGGGAGGCGCTCGAGGGTGAAGTACAAACCCATCCCCAGGCTGCGAAAGAAAAGTCTACGAGCTGGCCTCTGTGGGAGGGTCAGGGCCCAGGGTATAAACATAGACATGCTGTGCAGCGGTTTCTGTTTCTTTCACGCACGGCACAGAAGGAAAAGCGTTTGGGGTTCAGCTCTGCCAGGAAATAAATACATAACCGGCCTCGTGGTGGCCATGCTGCAGGTGGCACACTCCGAGCAGGCCCCTTGGGGGATGAGAGGGGCATCTTCTGCTAAGCATGGGAACAGCCTTGGGCGCCCCCAGTGCTGGGGAGAAAGAGGGCCCCCCTCCCCTCGTGTGAGTCACCAAATCCCTGAGCGACTTAGGTGCTCCTGCCCCACCCTCTTCTCTACCTCAGCCCAGCCTCTCAAACACCTTGATCCGCAGACGCCCCCAGGTTGGTAAACCGACTGAACAAGAGGGAAGAGGCAAGTTCCGTGGGTCAGGGCATCACCGAACAGGAATCCCCGGAGACACGCCCAGGAGCCGAGGAGGGCAGAGGTGCTCCAGTCGGGCCGCTGAGCCATCCTTCTTGGCTGGGCTCTGAGAAGAAAGGGGAGTGGGCACTGTCCGCTGGAAGTGAGCTGGCTGCCTATGACCCCTAACAGCTCTAAGCCCGAGGGTTCTGCGTGTTCAGATTTCTTTCTGAGTGGCCCCTACCACCCTCGTCCTGCATAAAAAAGTATTCAGGGACTCAAGCTAGGCATTCTGTAGAGATTTGAACATTCGGTTAATTTTCCTTCACTGTATTCTCAGATACCTGGACATCTAGCACAGCGCAGGAAGATGCAGTTTCCAGTAGATTTCCAAATATCTCCTTAGCTGCCCTCAGACATCGCCAGCCCTTGTTCTGCCTCTAGGAGACTCCCAGAGCTGTGTGCATTTCAACCGGGCCCATGTTTTGAGATTTGGGGATAGGTGGTAGGGTGCATTTTCTGAATAGAGAGGGTGGCCACTGGAAGAACCATAAAATTAGGAGTTGATTGATTTGAGCTTGAGTCCTAGTTCCAGCAGTGAAAACCCGCTCTGGACTTGTACACATGTGTCTGAATGTTGGCTCTGTTCTGCCACACTGTGGCCTGTGACTTTTAATAAGTCCTTTAACTTCTCTGAGCCTCAGCCTCCTCATTTGCAAAATGGATACAATTACCAACCTCATAGGGTTGGACTGAGGATTAAGTGAAATAATGCCCAATAGGGGAGCTGGCACAATGCCTGATACTAATACTACCCCAAATAAATGACAGATGTACTGTCTTACTCCTTTCTCTCTGAGCTTCAGTTTCCACATAAGAAAAAAATTGGGGGGCAGGGATAGTACAGATCCTTCTAGCTCCTCAGGGTAGTTGTGAGTCTCCAATGAGATAATGCATGTGAAATCACTTCCACCACTAAGAATGTGAAGTTTTAATCAATTTTATCAGGTTGACACATTAGGGCCCTTCATCTGGTCCACACCAGGGTGGGAAAGTATGGGGAATAGTGGATCTGATTTGATGTGGGATGAGGTAAGGAAAGGCCCTGAGAATGGAGCTCTGTCTAGGACTGAGAGAAGGCACCATTGTTCAGTACAACTGGAGGCAGCAGAGTGCTGGGAGAGGGTGCCCTCAAAGAAATGACGAGGGCCGGGTATGGTGGCTCACGCCTGTAATCCTAGCAATTTGGGAGGCCGAGGCAGGTGGATCATGAATTCAAGAGATCGAGACCATCCTGGCCAACATGGTGAAACCCCGTCTCTACTAAAAACACAAAAAATTAGCCGGGCATGGTGGCGCGCATCTGTAGTCCCAAGTACTCGGGAGGCTGAGGCAAGAGAATGGCTTGAACTCGGGAGGTGGAGGTTGCAGTGAGCCGAGATCGCGACACTGCACTCCAGCCTGGCGACAGAGCAAGACTCCATCCCAGCTACTTGGGAGGCTAAGGCAGGAGAATGGCGTGAACCCGGGAGGCGGAGCTTGCTGCAGTGAGCCGAGATCGCGCCGCTGCACTCCAACCTGGACGACAGAGCGAGACTCCGTCTCAAAAAAGAAAAAAAAAAAAAAAAAAAAAAGAAGAAGAAGTAATGAAAAAAGGGGTGGATAGGAAACCAAGAACAAACTCTGGCCTGGACACAAAGGAATGTTCA
Organism: Homo sapiens; assembly: GCF_000001405.40. Classification (NCBI taxonomy): domain Eukaryota; kingdom Metazoa; phylum Chordata; class Mammalia; order Primates; family Hominidae; genus Homo; species Homo sapiens. The sequence goes on from NC_000006.12 coordinate 25,029,509, forward strand.
TGTATTGACTGTACCGAGAGAGTGAGTGGTCTGACTGATGCCTCACAGATGAGCAGGGGCAAGACCAGGAAGCAAGTCCCATACCCTGAGCTGGGACCCTCCGTGCCCCACATCACTTCTCAGATGACACAGAAATAGAGACAGCACTGGGAGTGAGGGCGAAGGAAAAAAACTATGTAGCCTTACCCTGAAGATTATGCTTCTCATCTTAAAAAAACCAGATATCTTCATTTTGTAACTGCTGTGGGGAAATAGAAGAAAATTGATTTTTTTGTCCTTTGAGGGAATTATAATGATGTCTGGGCTACTCAGTTAAAAGCTGGGTTAAAAACATGAAGTTAAACTATATGCTTTTCTTAAGAGATCAAGATATTCTTTCACTCTTTCCCTTCTGTGTGCAGGATGTTATTGTTTTAGATTGAAAACACACTTTTAACTCAAGGTAGGGAAAGAAAATGGAGTGGGAGAACTAGACAGCCAGAAAGCTCTTCAAACCTAGTGGGACTCGTGGTTCCTCCATAACTTGGTCTTAGCATGACAGGACCGTTACAGCCTCCACTATAGTGTCTCTCCCCTCTCTCCCATCCTTGTTCTTCTGTATCCTCCTACCTCTGCTTGTCTGTGTCAGCCTGGCTGCAGGTCTTAAATGGGGGGAAAAGATCTCTGTTTTCTGTACAGGTTGTATAATCATATACAATGTCAAAGAAAAAAATGTAGGGTTGACGACTGGCCTAATACATTCTGAATCATAATCATTTACTGCTGATTGAATAAACTGTCCCTTCGTAGTTGCCACTGATGATATTCCCAGGGTACACATGAGGTGGAGTGGGATTCAGAGGGTTCAGAGTCCCTCGTTTGCTCAGAGCTTCCCCTGAGAGAGGACCAGAGCTATGGATAGAATTGGGGTGCCCCAGAACTTGGGGGTTGTCCCCTCTGATGATCATGTTTACTCATGCTTTTTGGTGATTAGAGTTCTTACCACTTGCAAATAACTATACTTTATAAGAATACATCTAATAATGGGATACTACTCAGCAATGAAGAGGAACAAATGTGCATGCAACATCTTGGATCATGTTAAGTGAAAGAAGCAAGACTCAAAAGGCTACATACTGTATGATTCTGTTTATGAGATATTCTGGCTTTTTTTTAAAAGGCATAGGGTCTTGCTGTTTTTCGTTGTTGTTGTTTGTTTGTTTTCTTTGAGACGGAGTTTGGCTCTTGTTGCCCAGGCTGGAGTGCAATGGCGTGATCTCGGTTCACTGCAACCTCTGCCTCTTGTGTTCAAGTGATTCTTATGCCTCAGCCTCGCAAGTAGCTGGGATTACAGGCATATACCACCATGCCCGGCTAATTTTGTATTTTTAGTAGAGGCGGGGTTTCTCCGTGTTTTCAGACTGGTCTCGAACTCCTGACCTCAGGTGATCCATCCACCTCTGCCTCCCAAAATGCTGGGATTACAGATGTGAGCCACTGCACCCAGCGCCGGGGTCTTGCAATTGCACTTGCCCAGGCTGGAGTGTAGTGGCTATTCACAAGCACGATCCCACTACTGACCAGTACAGGAGTTTTTACCTGCTCTGTGTTTGACCTGGGCCAGTTCACCTCTCCTTAGGCAACCTGGTGGTCCCTCGCTCCCAGGAGGTCACCATATTGATGTTAAACTTAGTGCACACACCCGGTCAGCAGAGCACACTATACCCCAGAACTCCTGGGCTCAAGCCATCCTCCCGAGTAGCTGGGACTACAGGCCTGTGCCACTGTAACTGGCTTATGAGATATTCTGGAAAAGCCAAAATGATAAGGACAGAAAACAGATCACTGGTTGACAAGAGCTGGGGAAAAGGATTGACTCCAAAGGGGCATGAAGGAATGTCTGGGGTGATGGAACTCTTCTATATCTTCATTGTTGTGGTGGTTACACGACTATAGGTGTTTGTCAAGACTCATAGGACTGCTCACTAAAAAGTATGCTGTGCTCTATGTAATTACACCTCAATAAACATGACTAAAAATTTTTTTAAACTATGAACAAAGATTGACTGATATATATATATATATACATATATATGAGTGTTTAGAATAAAGTATACAGATGTCTGCAATTTATTTTTAAAGCATTAAAAATAAGATTTATCAAAGGATTGATAGATAGGTATATGGTTAGGTATGTGATGTAGGTGGTAGTTATATATATATATATATATATATATATATATATATATATATATATATATATAAAATATCCATAGAATATATATATATTCTATGGATATCCATAGAATATATATAATATCCATAGAACATATATATTATATATAATACAAAAAGGTTATATATATATTTAGTATATTCACTGTATAATTATTTCAACTTTTCTATATGTGAAACGTATTAATAATAAAATGTTGGAAAACATTTGAAAATACATCTAATGTATTTTCTTCACCACCTATGCCATTTAGAGGGTTGCTTGTAGACCCATACACTTGCTTTCATACTCTCTGATGAGTTCAAGAGTACTCTCCCTCTCCCCTTCAAACCATCCTAATAGGAGTAAAGTTTCCCTTGGTCCAGAGGGGAAGAGCTGAGCTCTTGGGGTTCTTTGCCGACTCACTTACATGAATTTACTGTCCTCCCTTTGATGCGGTATCAGCAAGCGAATCCTTTATGGTGTTTTTTTTTTTTTCACTTGCTTGAAAATTGAAGGATTGGATTAATTTCACTCAATTTGTAACAAACCTCAGGGAACAAGCTTTGGACAGCAGCAATTCAAAGTGTTAGCAAGTATCTCAGACTCCGTTTTTCTTGATATTGCCTGGTTCTTTCTGCAGGCTCAGGCTTTGTGTGCCTCTTTCCATCCCACCCTGTAATGGAGATAAGAACTAAGCCACCTGCTCCCAAGCACAAGAACCTCTCTGGTGCCTCAGAAACCAGGCACCCCTGGAGCCAACCCTTGATGGGATTGGAAATGGTCTTCTTTCCAAATCGCCCTCTGTTTGGTGGAGGATGAAAAGATCTCCCCTTCAAAGAGTATGTGAGGCATAGTTTTTTGATAATAGATATGCATACCTTCTCCCGATTACCCTGACCTTTAAAATAGCCCAGTTTCCAGCTGGAAACAGAAAGAGCAGCACAGCATGGCTGGAGAGTCACAGACATCAGGCCTCCATAAGTAAGTACGTGGACGGTTCAATTCCCAACCAATACAATCCGCTTTACAATTATAATCATTTTTTAATATTTAAGTGGTTCAGATTAGATACACTTAAAGTGTCCCAAACTCTACAAGCTTTCATTTGGATTTGGGTATATGGATCCTGTTTGAAGAAATGTATTGCTATTTATTGACATAAAAAGGTACCCAAGTTATGTTGTGAAATGAAACAGTAAGTTGTAGAACATGGTATTATTCTGATCCCACTTAAAAATATATTTAGCTCAGCACTTTGGGAGGCCAAGATGGGAAAATTGCTTGAGCCCACAAGTTCAAGACCAGCCTGGGCAACAGAGCAAGATTCTGTCTCTACAAAAAATTAAAAATTAGCCGGGCATGGTGGCACATTCCTGTGGTCCCAGCTGCTTGGGAGGCTGAGGTAGGAAGACGGCTTGATCCCAGGGGTTCGAGGCTGCAGTGAGGCTCCAGTGAGCCGCGACGGCGCCACACGCCTGGGTGACACAATGAGATCTCATCTCAAAAAAAAAAAAAAGTTTTATGGTTTTAGCTCTTATTTTTAACATTTAAAAAATGGATATTTAACTTAATGGGCTATAATCTATTAACATCATTGTTTATTTGATGCTCACAGTGTCCCAGTTTTGCCAGTAGAAGCCCCTCCAAGGCAGCTCCCCAGTCCTTTTGACAGATTCCCTTAATTTTTTGAGCACTTCTTTATTTTCTGGCACAAGGTGTTTCAGCCTCATCTTGTAATTTAACTGCTGCAGCCCTGGTATCAGCATTTTTCCAAGAAGCCCTCATTCCATTTGGTGTGAGTGATATTTAAAAACCAACATCTGGGTACTAAGTTGCTCATTGCTATTGGGTATTACTGCTTCTAGATCCTTTTAGTGGACAGAGCTAGGAAGTATCTGTGTCTGTCTGTCTGTCTAGATTATTCTAATTCCAGGGCAACAAATAGGATTCTTTTTTGTCTTCACTCATTTTATATTTGTATCTGCCTTCTCCCACAATGAGAACTCCCAACACATCCTACAGGCTCCCAACACATCCTGTAGGTACTTGTTTGCTTAGTTCTACAATACACAATATAGTTTTAGAATTGTTATAACTGTGGTCTACAAAAAACAAATCTGCTAAACAGAGTTTAAGATTTTTTTATTATTTTATTCTCTTTTTTTTGGTTTTTTGACTGAGGATATTTAGCCAAAGTATTGTGTTCAAATGTTACTTGGATTAATTCTTTTCTTTTTCTTCCATGTAGTTGTGCTATTCATTTGAAATACAGTTCATTGGTTTCTGTTTGCATTCAATTTGCATTTTTTCTCATACTTGTTTATTTAATTTTATTTTTGAATGTATAGAGAATTGGTAACGTTTTAAAACAAACTACAAAAAGGTTTTATATATATATATATTTAGTATATTTTACAAAAGAAATGGGAGTGCTACGCTGTACGGGGTGAGGGCTGGGAATTCTAGATGACTTTCTCTCTGTTGTATGTTTCTGTATTGTTTGATTTTTATACAACATGCGCATATTAGCTTTGTATTAGATGAAAACAAAATCAAGACATATTTTTCAGTGCTACTGCCCAAGTTTACAGTTTTGACAACTGTTGGGGGGGTGGGTAGGGTAGGAGGGGGTAAGGGGTGTGTATATAGTTAACATGTTCTTACGCAGTGAAACAATTTCTTGGATCTTGCTATTTCAGAGGAAAAACTGGTACTCACATAGTGGGTTGAATCTAGGCTAACATATTTCAAGATGCTTTGCATTCCCTAAGATCCTCCTTACCCCCAACTTGATACACTAGCTTAATGCTTCTGAGAAAATTTGCTATTCTGGTAATTTTCTGTTACCAACCAGAGACCAAGTTATCATTCTAGTGATTAACTTTTGGGCTCTTTAGATCCTTCATCAAACAAACAACCTGAGAATTACAGACTTCAGAATCCATCGAGGCTCTGAGTTCTCTAATCCCTCTGCTGGTTTCATTTTCTTTTTTATGTTTGTTAGCTGTATTTGTATTTGCTGCTTCTTCCTCTCCTTTCCTTTTCCCTCCACACCCTCTCTTTTGTCCATCCTCGGCTGGAGACAGCTAAAATATCTGTCCAGATCATGTACATACAAAGAGAGCACTTTCTCAACCAACGGACCTCCCTGAATTATTCAAAGTACCTTCCATTCTCCAGTTTCCCATCATTTTTCTTCCTTGACAGTATAAACTGGAATTGGACATTTGGCAATTGTACCCATGGATTTAATCATTCAGGCAGGAAGGAAGAGGGTAAGCCTTCTACAGAAGCAAGTATTCTTCTGAATGATGAGAAAATAGGTAACAACATGTTTGAAGGTATATAAATAATTTTTATGCCAGTATAAACACTAGGGTCCCTAAAACAAAAAGCATTCTCTGTAATTGGCAGAGCTGTTGGTAAACAAGATTCAGAACTGGGGAGAAACCCAGGCTTTGTGGGGCCCAGCCGCCTGTTGTCTGGGATGAGGCTGTTAATGGATAAACTTAGCAGGTGTCTAGACTGAAACCCAGGAAAATATGTGACCTATGAATTATACAGAATGTTCTAAAAGGTTTCTTTCTTTTTTATACTTGGGGTAAACTCCTCACTGACCTCCTCTCAAATCTTTAAGCTTGTAGCTTAAAAGAAACAGAAACCAAGAGAGGAATTTTCCTGGTATATCCTTCTCCACTTCAGAGCAGAGAAGCCCAGCCTGAAGCCTAAAATCGCAGCACAAGGGATTTGTCAGTCAGTAGCAATTCTGTTGGTCAGAACGGCAGCAAGAGACCAAATCAGCAGGTTGGAAACGGCAGCAACACGGTTTCTGCTGTGGTCTGGGACACTTGGGTGCTTGTATCCACGCTGAAAAGCTAAATCTGCAACCGTAGTGCCTCCCCATACCGGTACAAAATCCCAGAGTGGAGGAGGCCGGGGGAGAAACATGAGTGTGGTCAAGGCCTGACCCTTGCCAGATAACAGGTGAGCCAGGACAGAAAGCTGATAGGAAGCTGGGCTGCTCTGTAAATTGACGCTGGATCTCTCTGCAAGCAGGGGCCATCTGCAGAGTGGGTAGCCTTGTGCAGATGGAGGACTGTGGGAGAGGTGCCCACATATTCTTCCTATCCCGGGCCCCTCTGTCTCCCTGAGATCTTGCCTTCAGGTTCTCATCTGAAGACAGTGGTATTTAGAAGAAAATCTAAGACTGTTTCTATGAATCAGAGTGCCTTCCAGAGCTGCACGTGCAGTGAGGAATAGCCAGCTGGGTTCTTACCTCCTTGTGTAGAATTGTCAACCCAGGATGGTGGCAGACAGGAGAGCCCTCCTTCGAAGTCCCACAGCCCCAACCACAGTCCAGGGCATCGTCTGTGGGATTCAGACTGCTGCTTGACCAGGTCCCCTTGCCCAGTCACAATTAAGAATGCCATCACACTGAGTCAGGAGAATGGCCGGCGAAGCAGAACAAGACAATTAAGTCACATTGACACTGGGAGGAAGTCGCCAGTGGTATCTCTGAGACAGCAGATTCCCTAATCTCAAGTGCATATCAGCTTTGTCACTGTTGTCTTTTCAGTGGGACAGAGAAAACTCATTTCCATTCCTCTGATTGGAGTCCACAAAAAGTGCTAACCAGTGGCTGCCTCCATCAAAGCTCTACCTAACAGAGTTCAACGGGTTTTTGTTTTGTTTTGTTTTGTTTTTTGAGACAGCATTTGCGCTGTCACCTAGGCTGGAGTGCAGTGGCATGATCATAGCTCAGTGTAACCTCCAGTTCCTAAGTTCAATCAATCCTCCTGCCTCAGCCTCCTGAGTAGCTGGGTTTACAGGCACACACCACCATGCCCACTAACTTAAAAAAAAATGTTTATAGAGACAGGATCTTGCTATGTTGCCAGGCTGGTCTCTAATTCCTGGCCTCGAGTGATCCTCCCACCTCAGCCTCCCAAAGCATTGGAATTACAGGTGTAAGCCACCACGCTAGGCTAGAGTTCAACTTTTTAAAGAGGCGAAACAAGTTCCAAGTGGGCTCTGTCATCTGGTTGCATTTACTTGTACTGAAAATAGCCTGGAGATCCTCTGTGGGGGCAAACACTCCATTTTCCCAGAAGAACAGGAGTCACACCCCTAGGGGCCAAGATCAGTTTTTCCCTAGTGTATCTGTGTTGCCTCCTGTGTGGTGTGGTGTAAGCCAGCTGAATGTGAGGGTAGGGTGCCTGGCTGAGGAAGATGGGGATGCCTTCTCCAGTATGACATGTCTCCCATTATTTTGGGAAAAAATGTGGAGGTGGCAATGGTAAGCCCTTCATACTGCCTCAAATGCCACTATTACCATTTTTAGGCCCTCAGCTCCCAATAGCTACATTGCCAGGAACTGTGCTAGGCACTTGACATATTTTATGTCTTTTAATCCCCTCCAATAACAATGGGAGGTGGGTGTTACTGTAATAAGCATTTTAAGGTTGAGGAAGTGGGCATTCAGGGAGGTGGAATAAATTGCCCACAGGCCAACAGCTAAGAAGTTGTAGAAGCAGGATTTGAAGCCAAATCTCCTGGTTGTCAAAGCTTATATACTTTTCAGGGTTTCTTTCCTTTAATCGCCCACCCCAACTGTGGCAGACTAAAGGAAAGAAAGGCTCTCGGGGCATTCAGTTATCTGTGCCCACCCCTCATTCCCGTGCCCTGCCCTGACCCTGCTGTCATCATGTAGAAGGCCCAGGCACCCACGGGCTGTTGCTGTGTCTATACTCCTCTTTACCTGGGCAGGTCACAGGTAAGCAGCTTGACAGGGTTTACAGGACACCAGATAGGTCCTTCTCCCGAATGTCTGCTCAGTATCACACATGTGTGTCTTTGTAGTGACCTTTGGCCTCTTTTAAAATTCAAATATCCCTAAGAAGGGTAACATATTACCGTTCTCATACCTTGGTTTGATTATTATTATTATTTTTTTACTACACTGCTATGGACTAGAAAAGAAAATAAATATTTCATTACAGATTCTGGGGGTGAAAGGAAGAAGTGAGGAAGGCTTAGGGAAGATGAACTTTGGGATCCATTGCTTTACTATGAGTTTAATTTTGATGGAACCCAAACGGTTATTGAGTAGATGAGGTACCAGGTATTTTACTAAGGGTTACAGGCATGCAGAGCTTATTAAGGATTTGTTCTCACCTGGGGAGATTTGAATATGGTCCGGGTATTAAATAATATGTGGGGATCATTGTTAATTTTATTACGCAGTTATGTAGAAAAATGTACTTATTTTTTAGAGACGCTCTTACTAAAATGTCATAATGTCTGATTTATTTTTAAATGTTTCAACAGGAAATTAGATGAAGCAAATATGGCAAAATGTTAATAATTGTTAAATTTAGGTGATAGATATATAAGATTCATTATACTATTTTCTCAACTTTACTGAATGTTTGAAAATTCTCATAATAAAAAGTAAAACAAAAACAAACAAATGAGCAAACAAAAAACCTAAAGCTTTCCAGTAGCTCAAAATCGAAGTTCTATTGCAAAGATGACAATTAGGTTTTGTAGTAAGCAGAATTTGAAGATGGCCCCACGATTCTTGCCCCTTGGCATACAGGTTCTGTATAGTTCTTGAACCTTGGGTATAAATATGATGAGATTTTACTTCTGTGATTAGATTATGTTATATGGCAAAAATGAGGGATTTTTCAAATGTAATTAAAGTCCTTGATCAGTCAATTTTTAACTAATCAAAAGAGAGATTATCCTGGGTGGGCCTGACCTAATCAGGTGAGCCCTTTAAAGAAGAGTCTATAAGCAGCAAAAGACCCTTGTTGGCCTTGAGGAAGCAAACTACCATGTTATGGAGAGGGTCATGTGGCAGAGAACAATGGGTGGCCTTTAGTTGCTGAAGGCCTCAGGCCTACAACTGCAAGGAACTAAATTCTGCCCACAACCATTGAGCTTGGAAGGAGACCCTGAGCCTTAGATGAGATTGCAGCCCCAGAGAACACCTTCATTGCAGCCTTGGGAGACCCTGAGCAGAGAATCCAGCTAATTCATGCCCATGGAAGCTGTGAGATAAAAAATGTATGTTGTTTTAAGGCAATAAACTTGTGGTAATTTGTTACAAAGCACTAGAAAACAAACATAAATTTCAACCAGTGAGGCAATTCTAATTGATTAGACATGGCAGCTTAAGGCACTATATTAGAAAGGATTCCAAGCCAGGGCCTGGCCCCCGTGGGGAAAAAGGAGAGAGCTGTGGTTGATTACCAATGTCTGCATGGGCATGGAAATGGACAGTGGTGGCACATGTCCCTCCTATCGCCATTCAAGGTCCCTCTGTGTATTTAAAGAAAAGGGGTTTACTAATTTATTTTTCTTAATGACAAAATAACCCCAAAGGATTATATAACTTGAGTCCCCAAGTTGGAGGAAACGCTGACCTATGAGAAAAGCTTCAGAGAAAGAAGACAGGAAACGTTATCAAAGCAGATTTTAGCAGCTGCAAAATATTGTTGAGGGCCACCCTTGCAGGCTGACATTTGCAGTGATAAGCGTCCTTCCCTCGCAGGTGTCTTCACTCTTTCTCCCTTTCCACTTTCTCTGATTCGCTGCCTGCAAACATGCACAGGTCTTTTGTGAGTTGGAAAATGCAACCCTCCAAAAATGTCACTTGATCCTGTTCCTGTTTCTAACTCACACTGACTCTCATGCAGCAGGGCTCTTGACCATCCTGGAAGAATATCAGAATTCCCTCCTTAGGCATTATGCCAAAGAGGTCAGGACCAGCCTGCTTAATGTTGAGCTTACATTCAACATCTATTAATATATCATTTCATATTAAAACCATGCAGAAATCAGCACAGTATTCAGATGTTAGTCTCAAAATTTAAGTGAAATTTCTGTAGTAAAGCAGGCTTTTCTGATAACTCTTATTTTAAGAGTATAGGCCGACTTCCCATCCATACTAGTGAAACCATGCAGATCCATAATCCAGCTTTTCTCAGTGACGGATTCCATAACGGAGGTATTGGATTAAAACTTAGGATCACAACTAATTTCCTACAGATATAGAATGAAGTTTCATAAAAACTGGAATTTAAATTTAAGGTACGCGCAAGTAAAAGAAACATGATCAAGAAGGTAAAGGCCCAGAGAAAACTGATGGCTTCTTCAATTATATCAAAGAAAAAGAAGTATTTTGCTTGATGCAAATTGTTTGCTTGTCTTTGAATTGTCATTTGGAATCCAACCAGCTCAGCTTGCCTCCGAAACTAGTAGACTGTGACTATTTTGGATACATGTTCCTAAGCCACTCATTCATCTTAATTTAATTGTCTATACCAGGGGCTTTTAACACATAAGGAAGAGTTGCCAACATATAACTAGGCATCTAGGCATAAAGAACACTGTGTGATAGACTTCTACTTTTTTTTTTTTTTTAGATGGAGTTTCGCTCATCGCCCAGGCTGGAGTACAATGGCACAATCTCCGCTCACTGCAATCTCCGCCTCTTGGGTTCAAGCGATTCTCCAGTCTCAGCCTCTTGAGTAGTTGGGATTACAGGTGCCCACCACCACGCCTGGCTAATTTTTGTATTTTTAGTAGAGATGGGGTTTTACCATGTTGGCCAGGCTGCTCTTCAACTCCTCACCTCAGGTGATCTGCCCAACTCGGCCTCCCAAAGTGTTGGAATTACAGGCGTGAGCCACCGCGCCCGGCCTGTGTGATGGACTTCTAATGAGAACAACACCTAGCACATAAACCAGGGCTTGGCTACTGGTGGTCCACAGTTGTCACACGTTGCCTCAGAACATTGGTATTACATATTTAAAATTCAAAGAATAAACTGCCAACATTTAAACTTGAGAGCTTTCACATAGAAATTAGTGTTTCTTGCTTTTTTTTTTTTTTTTCGAGACAGAGTTTCGCTGTTGTTGCCCAGGCTAGAGTGCAATGGCACGATCTCAGCTCACCGCAACCTCCACCTCCTGGGTTCAAGTGATTCTCATGCCTCAGCCTCCTGAGTAGCTGGGATTACAGGCGTCCACCACCACGCCCGGCTAATTTTTGTATTTTTAGTAGAGACAGGGTTTCACCATGTTGGCCAGGGTGGTCTCGATCTCTTGACGTCATGATCCTCCCGCCTTGGCCTCCCAAAGTGCTGGGATTACAGGCATGAGCTACCGCATCTGCCTGCTTTTTTTGAAAAATTGGAAAATCCACCAACCTCTACCCCATTCCTCATGGAAACAATCTGATGGCATTGAATGGTGGGTGCCCCACTATGATGGGACACATATTTCCCCATTTGCTGCACCCTCTACCACTGCCTATTGCTACCTCATATTGAGGCCAAATGTCAGTTGTCATTTATCATCATGCTTTCACTATCATTTTTCTCACAACAGAGACAGGAAGAAAGTGAACTATTCCTTACCCCTGTGAAAACAGACCCCTTTCACTCATTCTTCTTAGCAGCCCAGCCCTCCACCCATTTGAATTTGCTGACATCTGAGATAAATAAACATCTCTAAAAACAGACACACACAAATTTGTTACTTGTTCATGAGAAATGGTCTTGGCATACATAGGAAATGCTTTTTCATTCTCAGATTACTCCAGCACTAAAAACTCCCTTTTGGTTAGAGTTCCTGTCTACTCAGTTGTGAGTTTGATAATTTAAGAAGCATACAATTGGGCCCTTTAAAGGAAATATGACTCACTGATCCTTGAATTTCACCTCATCTAGCGACACTGCTGATAACCTGTTTGATTCAGATGTTCCATTTTTTTCCCCACTGTAATAAACAAAAATTCCAATTCACATGACTCCTTGACCGATGTAAATATTTATTTGTATTTTCCATCTGGTTGGAGAAATAAAGAAAAGAGGCCCTGTGGCCCTGTCTTGCTCACCACTTGAAACAAAATGTATCTAGTTACCTCTAATTAGGATAGGGCTGGGAAGGAAATAGGAAGAGAGAGAGTCGGTAAAAAAATACCAAAGTCCATTGGAAAACGGAGCACAGGAAAGTGGAAGAGAGGAGGAAGGGGGAAAGATTGGAGAAGATTTGCAGAGGGCAAGAAATGAGTGTGTTGCGGGAAAGTGTGGAAAACAAAGGCAGAGAGTAGGTAACACCAGACGGGACACTCACGGTTGAGCTGGCGCCTCCGGATCCTGTCCCTCCATGGCCTGTTTCTGATCCAGTGTAATCGCGAAGGTAACACCATGGTCCCAACAGAGCGGCCTAAAACCTGCTCATGGCAAAGGAACAAAAGGGTCTTGCAGCTATCCTGGAAGTTAAGTCCAGACGTATAAAAATGAAAAAGAAAACTTAACCCCCCCCTTTTTGTTCTTTTCTTAAAAAAAAAAAAAAGAGTATTTGAGGCTTCCGTTGACTTCTTTTATCTTGTAACTTGCCTTGCCTTTCCTTCCCTTAACTTCCGACTGGCCCGAAGGCAGCTGCTGTGCTGGGCTGCCCTAGCCTCCTGTGCCATGTTTTATGCATGAAGATGATGGGGCGGTAATTTATTCAAGCAGAGACGATCACCGGGCTCCTGTGTCTGCCCTCGCGTCAGAGGAGCCGTGCAATGGCAGGGGGAGGGCAGGTGTGTCTGACTGCACGCAGGAATGGGCTGAAATGGGAATCCCTCTCTGTAGGCAGAAATGAAGAGCAGAGCTTTGCTGCTAGAGCTGAATCAGAGCAACACCCCTTACCTTTTAGGGCGTATGATTTATTTACTGCTGGGTCTCCGGTATCTAATATAGTGCCTGGCACTTGGTAGGTGAGCAATAAATATTTGTTGACTGAAAGAATGATTCGGTGATAACCAACATAAGTGATTTCATACTTTCTTTTTCACCAGTTAATCTGCCCAGTGCACTGTCTTCAAATATGTCTATTTGAATTTTCTCACCCATTCTTTTTCTCCACCTACGATCACACTTGCCCCTCACCTACTAGTTCATACTTCAAAGCCTCATTTTACATGAGGCTTTCCTGAAGCCATAGACATGGGGCTGTCCTCCACGCACCTATTGCTCTCACCTGCAGGTGGCCCATGTCTGCACTGCCCAAATTTGTTAGGCGTTTTGTTTGTTCTCTGATTTCTTTTAAAGCACGCATCCAGGCTGGATGAAGTAGCTCACACCTGTAATCTCAGCGCTTTGGGAGGCTGAGGTGGGAGGATCACTTGAGGCCAGGGCAACACAGCAGGACCCTATCTCTACAAAAAATTTTAAAATTAGTTGGTCTTGGTGGTGTGTGCCTATAGTCCCAGCTACTCCAGAGGCTGAGGCAGGAGGATTGCCTGAGGGAAGAGTTCAAGGTTGCAGTGAGCTATGATTGCACTTTTGCTCTCCAGCCTGGGCAACAGAGAAAGACTGTATGAAGAAAAAAGAGAAAAGAAAAAAAAATTGCCCACATTCAAATACTGAGTAAGCTTCTTGGTGGCGAGAACTGTATATTCCTCTTTCTGAGCTGCAACATACAGGGGTTTACATGGGGAAGTGGTACATCAAGGGGTGGTTTGGGGCAGTTTTAGTCAGCCCCCTAAATCTCCATCAGCTCCTCCTCAAAATTCCCCAAGTAAAAATACACTCTAACTAAATACATTATGTTGGCTATAATACCACACTTAGGTGCTACAGCCTCTTCCAAATATGTGGCTGAAGACTCTCTTACATAGACATTCTAAAGCTGCCCCTGGCAGGGGAAGCTCAGTACATTGATTGCTTACTTTGTTCCAAGCTTTTCCTCTGTGCAATGTCAGATTGCTCCAGAGAACAAACAGTTATTGATCAAGGCCTCAGGAGTAGTCTTGCCCTGAGGATGGAACTGAAAAAAGTGACACCCAAGTTACCAAATTTAGCCCAAGATAACCCATAAACTTGCTGATGGCAGAAACTCTGTCATTTATCTTTTGTGTCTCTCATGGTGCCAGAAGCAGAGGGACTGGGGGAAACTACCAAGAGATGGGAGTCAAAAGGCTTGTAATTGCAACTGACCAGGTGAGTGCTTTAGGCACATCTCTTGGTCTCGGTGTCTTGTTTTCTTCACTTAGAATGGGAATGACCTACAGATTTCAGAGTTGTCAAGAGGAAATGAGATCAAGTAACTCTTTAGAAGTTGGTAGGATACTGGACTGGCACCCAAGAGCTCAGGCTCCCCTTCTGTCACTATGTCTGGTGGTAAAGAGAGTGCATTCCAGAGCAGAAATGCCTGGGTGCAAACTCGTAGCACCCTATTTAGTATCTTCATGACATTAACATCCTTATGCCTCAGTCTCTTAATCTATAAAATGTGAGGATAAGAATGAGGGCCGCTGCCTTAGGGTTATGCTGATGACTTCATGAGTAAATACATGCTAAGGACTAAGACTTGTGTTTAGCATAGAGGAATTTCTCAATGTTGTCAGCAGCTATTATTAACTAGCCATGTGACTTCATGAAAGTTGGCAAATTCCCTGGGCCTCTGTTTCCTTATCTGCAATATGAGGGGGTCTGGGATACTTTATATCACAAGTTCTGTGTATTAGTTTCCTACTGCTGCTATAACAAATTACCACAAATTTAAAGGCTTAAAACAACACAGATCTATCATCTTTCAGTTCTGGAGGTCAAAGTCTGAAATGGGTCTTATAGGGTGAAAGTCGAGGTATAGGCAGAGCTGCATTCCTTCTGGAGGCTCCGGTGGAGGATCTGTTCCTTGCCTTTTCCAGCTTGTAAAGGCCCTTTGTATTCTATAAATCTATTTGCAGAGTGTCTTTGTTTACCTGAGGGACCACCACTCTGAGTCATTACATTAACTGGCAATTGCAGGTCATGTGGGACATTCCTGGTCTAGACAATTTCTTGTGGATCCTGATCCCTCATGTGCCAGCTCCCCAAGACTCATTTTCTGAATTAGGGGGGAAAGGTAGAGACCAAAATTAAGACAAAATCTACGTAAGGTAGCCAGTGAGGTTTTCTTGACTATTGCCACTGAACACAATTCCCTAGAATGGCAAATGCAGCATAAGAAAACTATATTTGGTAAACTGGACCAAGCAGAAGAAAGAATTTCAGAGCTTAAAGACTGGTCTTTTGAACTAACACAGTCAGACAAAAATTAAGAAAAAAGAATTTTAAAAAAGGAACAAAGTCTTCAAAAAATATGCGATTATGTAAAGCAACCAAACTTATGAATTATTGGCATTCCTGGGAGAGAAGGAGAAAAAATAAACAACCTGGAAAATATATTTGGTGGAATAATTCAAGAAAATTTCCCTAATCTTGCCAGAGAGATAGACATCCAGATACAAAAAAATCCAGCGAACACCTGTGAGATACTATACAAAATGAACATCACTAAGGAATACAGTCACCAGGCTGGGTCAATGCTAAAGAAAAAAATCTCAAAGATAGTTAGAGAAAAAGGGCAAATTACATACTAAAGGAACCCCATCAGGCTAACAATAGATTTCTTAGAAGAAACCTTATAAACCAAGAGAGATTGGGGGCCTGTGTTCAGTAGTCTGAAAGAAAAGAAATTCCAACCAAGAATTTCATATCTCATCAAACTAAGCTTCATAAGAAAAGGGAAATATAATCTTTTCCAGACAAGCAAGTGCTAAGGGAATTTTTTTTCCCACTAGAACAGCTTACAAGAAATCCTTAAGGGACTTCTAAACATGGAAACAAAAGAGCAATACCTGCTACCACAAAAACAGAGTTAAGTACGTAACCAACAGACTCGATAAAGCAATTGCACAATAGAAGCTACAAAGCAACCAGGTATCAACTTCACAGTAGGGTCAAAACCTCACATATCAATATTAACCTTGAATGTAAATGGCCTAAACACCCCACTTAAAAGGCACAGAGCGGCAAATTAGATACAAAAAAAAAAAAAACCCTATCTGTCTGCTGTCTTCAAGGGACCCATTTCACACATCGTGACACCCCTATGGGTGCAAAGTAAAGGGTTGGAGAAAGATCTACACAAATGGAAAACTATAAAAAGCAGCAATCACTCTTCTTATATCAGATAAAACAAATTTTAAACCAACAACAATAAAAAAGACAAAGAAGGGCACTACACAATGATAAAGAATTCAATACAACAAGAAGACTTAACTATACTAAATATATACACACCCAACATTGGAGCACCTAGATTCATAAAAATGTACTTCTAGACCTATGAAAAGACTCATACAACCACACAATAATAGTCGGGGACTTCAATAACACACTGACAGCATTAGATAGATCATTGAGGCAAAAAGCTAATAAAGAAATTCTGGATTTAAACTTGATACTTGAGCAATTGGCCCTAATAGACATCTACAGAATCCTCCACTGATCAATGACAGAATACACATTCTTCTCATCTGCACACAGAACATATTTCAAAATCGACCATATGCTTGGCCATAAAGCAAGTCTCAATAAATTTTTTAAAAATCAAAATTATACCATACTCTCAGATCACAGTGGAATAAAAATATAAATCAATACCAAAAAGATCTCTCAAAACCACATAATTACATGGAAATTATACAACTTGCTCCTGAATGACTTTTGGGCAAACAACAAAATCAAGGAAGAAATTAAAAAAAATTTGAAATAAAACAGATACAACATACCAAAATCTTTGGGGTGCAGCAAAAGCAATGTTAAGAGGAAAGCTTATAGCACTAGATGCCTAACTCAGAAAGTTAGAAAGATCTCAAATTAACAATCTAATATCACACCTAAAGGAACTAGAGAAACAAGTTCCAAACTAATTCCAAAGCTAGTAGAAGAAAAGGAAGAACTAAAATCAGACAAGAACTGAATGAAATTGAGACCCAAAAATCCATTCAAAGAATCAGTGAAAGCAAAAGTTGGATTTTTGAAAGGATAAACAAGATTGATAGACCACTAGCTAGACTGACAAAGAAAAAAAAGAGAGAAGATCCAAATAAGCACAATCAGAAACAACAAAGGTGACATTACAACTAATTCCACAGAAATACAAAAGATCCTCAGAAACTATTATGACTACATCTATGCACACAAACTAGAAAATCCAGAAGAAATGGAAAAATTCCTAGAGGCACACAATCTCTTAAGATTGAATCAGGAAGAAATTGAAACACTAAACAGACCAATATCAACTTCTGAAATTGAATCTGTATTAAAAAATACTATCAACCAAGAAAACTCCAGACTAGATGGATTCACAGCTGAATTCTACCAGAAGTACAAAGAAGATCTGGTACCTATTCTACTGAAACTATTCCAAAAAACTGGGGAGAAGGGACTCCTCCCTAGCTGTATTTGTCAGTTCTCATAATGCTAATAAAGACATACCCGAGACTGGGTAATGTGTAAAGAAAAAGAGATGTAACAGGCTCACAGTTCCACATGGCTAGGGATGCCTCACAATCACGGTGGAAAGCAAAGGAGAAGCAAAGGCACATTTTACATGATGGGAGGCAAGAGGGGTTGTGCAGGGGAACTCCCATTTATAAAACCATCAGATCTCATGAGACTTATTCACTACCATGAGAACAGTATGGGAGAAACTGTCCCCTGATTCAATTATCTCCACCTGGCTTCATCCTTGACAAATGAGGACACAGCCAAACCATATCACCAGCTCATTCTATGAAGTCAGCATCAACTTGGTACAAAAACCTGGCCAAGACACAATGAAGAAAGAACACTATTGGCCAATATCCTTAATGAACATAGATGCAAAAATCCTTAATAAAATACTAGCAAACTGCCTGGGCACAGCGGCTAATACCTATAATCCCAGAACTCTGGGAGGCCAAGGCAGGTGGATTGCATGAGCTCATGAGTTCAAGACTAGCCTGGGCAACATGGCGAAACCCCATCTCCACAAAAAAACACAAAAACAAAAATTAGCCAGGCATAGTGGCATATGCCTGTAGTCCCAGCTAGTCAGGAGGCTGAGGTGGGAGGATCACTTGAGCCCAGGAGCTCGAGGCTGTAGTGAGCCATGATTGCATTAGTACACTCCAGCCTGGGCAACAGAGTGAAACCCTGTCTTTAAAAAAAAAAAAAAAAAAAAAACACCTAGCAAACCAAATTCAACAGCACATCTGAAAGAGTTAATTCACCATGATCAAGCAGGCTTCATTCCTGGGATGCAAGGTCAACGTATGCAAATCTATATATAACACCACATAAACAGAATTAAAAACAAAAACCATTTGATCATCTCAATAGACATGGAAAAAGCTTTTGATAAAATACAACATCCCTTCATGATTTTAAAAAACCCTCACGAAACTAGGCACTGGAACATACCTTAGGAAAATACCTTAAAATAATAAGAGCCATCTATGGCAAACTCACAGACAACATCATACTGAACAGGCAAAACCTGGAATCATTCCCCTTGAGAACTAGAATAAGACAAGGATGCCCACTCTCATCACTCCTATTCAGCATAGTACTGGAAGGGCTAACCACAGCAATCAGGCAAGAGGAAAAAAAGGCAACTAAATAGGAAAAGAGGTCAAGCCATATCTCTTTGCTGGTGATGTGATTCTATAGTTAGAAAACCCTAAGGACTCTGCCAAAAGGCTATTAGAACAGATAAATCATTTTAGCAAGGTTTAAGGATACCAAATCAATATACAAAAATTGGTAGCATTTCTATACACCAATAACGTTCAAGCTGAGAGCCAAATCAAGAATGCAATCCCATTTACAATAGTTACACACACAAAAATAAAATGCCTAGGAATACATGTAACCAAGGAGGTGAAAGAGCTCTACAGGGAGAACTACAAAACACTGCCAAAAGGAATCACAGATGACACAAACAAATGGAAAACATTCCATGTCCATGGATTGGAAGAATCAGTATCATTAAAATGGCTATATTGCCCAAAGCAATCTGCAGATACAACACAATTCCTATCAAACTACTCACGTCATTTTTTACAGAATTGGAGAAAAACTATGCTAAAATTCATATGGAACCAAAAAAGAGCCTAGATAGCCAAAGCAATCCTAAGCAAGAAGAAAAAAGCCAGAGGCATCACATTATCTGACTTCAAACTATACTATAAGGCCGCAGTAAACAAAATAGCTTGGTACTGGTACAAAAACAGACACATAGACCAATGGAACAGAATAGAGAACCCAGAAATAAAGCTGCATAACTACAGCCATCTAATCTTCAACAAAGTCAACAATAATAAGCAATGGAGAAAATTCAATACATCGCATGGGGATAGCTGGCTAGCCGTATGCAGAATAATGAACTTGGACCCCTCCATTTCACCGTATACAAAAATTAAGATGGATTAAAGATTTAAATGAAAAACCTCAAACTATAAGAATCCTAGAAGAAAACCTAGGAAGCTCATTCTGGATATCGACTTTGGAAAAGAATTTATGACTAAGTCCTCAAAAGCAAGCACAACAAAAAAAATGACAAGTGGGACCTAATTAAATTTAAGAGCTTCTGCACACACAGCAGAAGAACCTATCAACAGAGTAAACAGACAACCTACAAAATAGGAGAAAATATTTGCAACTATGTATCCAACAAAGGTCTAATATCCAGAATCTATAAGGAACTTAAACAATTGAACATGCAAATAATAATAATAACCCATTAAAAATTAACCCCTTTAAAATGGGCAAAAGACATGAACAGACACTTCTCGAAAGAAGGCATACAAGTGGCCAAAAAACATTAAAAAATGCTCCACATCATTAATTATTAGAGAAATGCAAATACAAGCCACAATGAGAAATCATCTCACACCAGTCAGCATGGCTCTTATTAAAAAGTCAAAAAACAACAGATGTTGGTGAGGCTGCAGAGAAAAGGGAACACTTATACACAGTTGGTGGAAATGTAAATTAGTTCAGCTACTGTAGAAAGCAGTTTGGAGATTTCTCAAAAACTTAACACAGAGCTGCCATTC
The DNA here is from genome assembly GCF_000001405.40 of Homo sapiens. Taxonomy (NCBI): domain Eukaryota; kingdom Metazoa; phylum Chordata; class Mammalia; order Primates; family Hominidae; genus Homo; species Homo sapiens. Next base: position 25,049,637 of record NC_000006.12, read on the forward strand.
CACCCGGCAATCCCATTACTCTGCATATGCTGAAAAGAAAACAACTTGTTCCACCCAAAAGACACATACACTCACATGTTCATCACAGCACTATTCACAATGGCAAAGATATATGGAGCCACCTAGATGCCTATCAATTGTGGATTGAATAAAGAAAATGTGGTACATATACACCACGAAATACTACATAGACATCAAAAAGTGAAATCATATCCTTTGCAGCAACATGGATGCCACTGGAGGCCATTATCCTAAGCAAATTAATGCAGGAACAGAAATCCAAAGACTGTGTGTTCTCACTTATAAGTGGGAGCTAAACAATGGGTACTTACAGACATAATGATGGGAACAATAGACACTGCGGACTACTAGAGCAGGGAGGGAGGGATGAGGGCAAGGTTTGAAAAACCAACCGTTGTTACTACACTCAGTACCTGGGTGGCAGGATCATCATACCCCAAACATCAGCATCACACAATATACCTAGGTAACAATCCTGCACACGTACCCCCTGAATCTAAAATAAAAGTTGGAAAAGAAAAGAAAACTATATTTGGGAGACCTAGAAATGGATATTGTTCTAACAGTCTCCTCTCTTCTTGGTTTTTACAATTGTTAATTGCAACACTTTTCTGTTCTATACGGCATTTAACATAAATCAAATCAGATAGCTGCCAAGGAGGCAAATTCGAGATGAGAGAAATCTTCCAGAAGCTGTCACGGTACTGTGACTATGTTCCCTCTATCACCTTCTTTTATTATATGGCGCTTGAAATTCTGTGCAAGCAATGAACTTGAATGTGGAGAATGTGATACAAAAAAATCAAGTGCTTTTTTTTTTTTTTTTTGCAATCAGCGTCAGACCTTCTTTCCTCCTCATTAAGCCACACATTTCCTAAAGCCTCTGCTGCATGAGTCACCAACGTTTCTGATGTACATAATTTACAATAGCAGATGAGAGAGAACAGCAGGCCAGAGGGGGCGGAAAGTACAGTTAGGTCTAAAATGAGAGGCAGTTGAAAAGTTTGCATTTTCTCTGCTCTTGTGAATTTAAATACAGATCTTGCCAGTTTCCTCATTATAATCATAGAAAGACTAGCGGGTGGGTGTATGGAACAAGAAGTGGAGGACTTGCCACCATCTTTTGTTGTTCTTTCCGGTCAGGTTGACAATGCTGAAGATCCATGGCTCCTACGTAGGGCTCCGTTTCCTGACTCTTCATGCTTTATATTTTCTTTTATCAGGTACACACTCATAAATGCCTGGAATAAATAGCCTTGCGGGGTGTTATTCTCCCAAGGAACAGTTTCATTTGTGTTAAGTGTACAATATCAATTTTTACTCTTTCTTGGGCTCGTGTTGCTATTAAATTTTCATAAATCGCAGAATTTCACGGTGGAAGCATGTACAGTCTGCAAGGAGCAATGTGTTTAAGAGAATATGGGGAAAAAGACATAATTATGTGATCCTTTCTTCATTTTTCCTTCAACTCATTTTTAATAAATGGAAGCTAGATGTTAGACTCAGGAGAAAAAGCATCAGCATGTCTGTTTCTACTTTAAAACCATCCTGGGGAGAAACAGACCTTCAGTTACTCAGTGGAGAATGGCAACTGCTGAGCCAAAGTACGTTGTGTGACTTTTATAGAAAGTCAACAAGGAAAACTTGGCATTATTTTAACATAAAAGCTTATCAAGCACCAGGAGGAAAACGATAGCACAGCACCTGATTTATTTCTCTTCTGTGGCAAATACATACAAAAAGAACATGAGGTCTCAGTTTGCTCTTTGGAAATTGAAATGGAAGTAGGGGTCAGGTTCTAGCTGTGGCTATCTGGTTGTCTACACACATTTATTGAGCACTTATGGAGAGATAGGCTGTGTGTTGCATGCTTTTAATAGACATGTGGTTTCACTTTATTTCCCCTACATTCTTATTCATGAGGAGTTATTAGCAATCCTATTTTACATATAAAAAAGTGAAGGTTAAACAATACTCTAAATAATAATCCAACACATAGAGTACTTCACATGTGTTAATTCATATGATTGTCATATAATAATCCCGTGACCATTTTGCAGATAGGGCAACTGAGGCACAGAGAAGTTTAGTAACTTGCCATGGTCACACGCCCAGCAAGTGGCTGAGATGAGATTTGAATTGAGGTAGTCTGGCTCTAGAGCCCAAATATTTAACCACAACCTATACTAACTCTTCAAATTAAGCAAATAAACATTGCAGTGTAACCATTCATTCATAACATTCTATTTTTAAAACATATACCATGTAACTTTGACAAAGGCAATTATTGAATAATAAAGAATTAGAAAATTGGACAACTATTAGAGAATTACCCTAGACAACCTCATATCCAAATGTCTCATTTTACAGAAAATGAAACTGACCCTCAGATTAGGAGACACCTCCAAGTTGGCACAGCAGGTTGGTAGATCAGGACCAAGTTGTACCACACCTTCTCCCCAAACCTCAATACAATGTGCTTTCCACTGCTGCTCCGATAAGATTTCAAGGCATTTTTAAGGCTTAGAACACTTTTGGGAGACAGTTTTTGTGGAATCAAGGCAGACAATTTTGGAGTATGAAAGAAAAAGCTATGAGGCTAGAAGAGAGGACAGTGTCTGCATCTTATCTGTTCTCTTCTAGTCAGACACAGCCCATTACTGCCCTCTCTCCTTCCTTCTCTTTCTCCCTCCCAAACTGGCTTCACCAGCATTTCCTGTCTTGATGACCTTCTACCCAGTTGCTCAAGACAGTGCCCTAGGTGCTACTCCTTGCTTCCTAGCCCTTATGTCCCACATTCAAACCAACAACTGACCCACCTGATTCTGCCTCCTACTTGTTGATGAAAAGAATCAAACTCTGTAAAATATTCGAAGATATGTGTTCTGAGCCAAATATGAATGATCATGTCCTATGACACAGCCCTCAGGAGATCCTGAGAACATGTGCCCCAGGTGGTCAAGGCACAGCTTGGTTTTATACATTTTAGGGAGACATGAGACATCAATCTAATACATTGAAGCTATACAATGGTTCAGTCCAGAAAGGCAGGACAACTCAAAGTTGGGGTGGAGCTTCCAGGTTACAGGTAGATTTAAAATTTTTGTGGTTGACAATTGAGTTTATCTAAAGACCTGGGATCAATAGAAAAGAAATGTCTGGGTTATGATGAAAAGTTGTGGAGACCATAATTTTATCATACAGATGAAGCCTCTGGGTAGCAGAGAATAGATTGTAAATGTTTCTTATCAGCTTTAAGGTCTGTGTTGATGTTAATGCTGGTCAGCTTTTCCTGAATTCCAAAAGGGAGGAGAGTTTAATGAGGCAGGTCTGACACCCCCTTCCCATCATGGCCTGAACTAGTTTTTCAGGTTAACTTTGGAATGCCCTTGGCTAAGAGGAGGGTTCTGTTCAGATGGTTAGGGGGCTTAGAATTTTATTTTTGATTTACAACACCCAGGAGTCTAGTTTGAGTGGCTCATCACCTAGGCATAAAAGAAAGTTCCTATGCATTGAGTTTAAGCTTCAGAAGATAGAAATCTAGACACTGCCTGGAGAAACAGATACAGAAATAACTATGATATTTCCCTGACCCCTTAATGGGCGGAAACTGGAGTGCAGGGGTGCTGGAACTAGCCAGCCACTTCAGCACCAGCAGGGGTGAATTCCACTCACTCATGGGATGGGGAGCACACAGGTGAGCAGGTGCAGGAGGTGGGGCAAGTGCTTTTAGGCACTAGCAGGAGCAAAACTCTGTGCAGGTCCCGAGGCAGCATCTGGCGCCTGCGACCTCTGAAGGCCCAGAAGGAGTGTTACAGTGCCCTTTTAGCTTTGCCATCTGCAGACAGCTTAAGTGTTAATAGCTCAGTGGAGCATCAGCACGATAGCCTTTTGCAACCACACTCATGGCACCCAAGTTCTTGTCCGGCATCCAGGAGGAACGAGGTTGCACAAACAAGTTGAAGATGGTAAATGCAGGGGACTTTATTGCCAATGAACGTGGCTCTCAGCAGGAAGGGGAGCCAAAGAGGGGATGGAGCAGGAAGGTAATCTTCCCCTGAAGTCTGGCTATCCCCAGTCAGACTCCTCTCTGAAGCTATGCCATCAAGCTGTCCCTCTGAAGTCAAGCTGCTTCTCTCCAACTTCCAACCATAGTCCTCGTTGTCCAGCTGCTTCTCCTTTCTCTGCTGGCCAAGCCTGGGGTTTTTATGGGCACAGAATGAGGGGCAGGGTGGGTTATGGGTGGTTTTGGAAAGGGCAACATTTGAGCAGGAAAGCAGGGATGTAAGTTCTCACTTTGGGCTGCAGTATCAAGAGTTTCAGCTTGAGAGTGGGGACCTACCCAGGGAACTGCCCTCTTCTGCGCAGAATTTCCCTGCTTCCTGTTCCTATCAACAGTAACTAGGTGTCAACTTACTAATTTAGCCACCCAGTGGCTGTCCCAAGAGCCCTCTAAATCTGCAATCACTGGAAGGCCTCACTGAAAAGTCTTCCTTTCTTCTGTGATTAAGGGCCTGATATTTTAACTTTTAGAATAACTTATTATGCAAATAGTGACCAATTGACATCAGTGGAGCAGAGTTGCCTTTATGAGTCAGAGTAGAGACAAGAGAGAGGTCTGTTTTCTCTCTTGATTAAATCAGCCCCAACGGAACAGCCCTGATTTAAACAGAAAAACATTTTTAAAGTAGTGATCTGTTTAACTTTTGTGGTGAGCTCCCTCTGGAGAAATATCTAGATGTAGAGGAGAAATATTTCCTTATTATACTTAGTTTTAAAAAGTCACTTTTTCTTTGACCTTAATGCCATGAGATTTGGATCCTTTTCAGTCTCGGCAGAAGAGAAGTGGGTTAAAGACTCCACCACCCGAAGGCAGCTTCTCTTCTTTTTACCTATAAGTAAACCATGAAATCAGAATCTCCCAGAACTTCAGAGCCAATGAGACCTCAGACATCACTGCCCCATACCTTCGTTTCATGGTAGAGGGAACAGAGCCTCAGGAGGAGAAATGTCTTGTCAACAGCCACAAAGCTAGTTAGTTCCTAAGGCATTATTAATAGTTCTGACTCATAGCTCAGGGCTCTTTCCATATTCACAAACCATTGCAAACCAGACTTCCCAGTTATAAAATATATGTGTTTTTCACCAATGTTTTAAACATTGTATTTTATGTGTGAGCAACCAGCATAACAAAGACCATCTTTTAAAACTTGTGCTATGAAACCAGAGATTCTCAAAAGTTTCATGCAGCTTGTTCCCAAAGGGACATCTGATTAGAGTAACATCTATTCTTATACATTTTTAGGATGGAGGAGGAAGCAATTGAAGGGAGATAAAGAAAGGAACAATAAGGGGTCTTTTCTCCTTGACATCTCTGCCAAGGCACCTTGACTCATGAGAGTGTCCAGCCTACTTGAGGAAAATTGTCCAAGAAGTCTAAAGGTTTCTTCCTTATGAGGTTAATTCAATTCACTTTTTAAAAATGTAGTAGGCACTGGGCATACAAAGATGAATGATACCCTTTATCCTGGGAGCTTAAAATCCAATGGAGAATGTAGAAGATACACAATACAGGTGGCCCTCCATATCTGTGACTTCTGCATACTAGGATTCAACCAACCTCAGTTAAAAATATTTGAAAAGGCTGGGCGTGGTGGCTCACGCCTGTAATCCCAGCACTTTGGGAGGCCGAGGTGGGCGGATAATGAGGTCAGGAAATCGAGACCATCCTGGCTAATACGGTGAAACCCCATCTCTACTAAAAATACAAAAAATTAGCTGAGCGCGGTGGCGGGCGCCTGTAGTCCCAGCTACTCGGGAGGCTGAGGCAGGAGAAAGGCATGAACCCGGGAGGCGGAGCTTGCAGTGAGCCGAGATCGCACCACTGCAGTCCGGCTGGGCGGAAGAGTGAGACTCCGTCTCAAAAAAAAAAAAAAAAAAAAAGGTTTGAAAAAATAAAAAATAATAAAACCACAATAAAAATAATACAAATTGAAAAGCAATACAGTATAAGGACACAGCATTTATATGTATTAGGTATTATTAGCAATCAAGAGATATTTAAAGTATATGGTAGGTTGTGCGCAGGTTACATGCAAATACTACACTAGTTTATATCAGGGATTGAGCATCTGAGGATTTTGGTGTCCTCAGGGGTCTAGAACTGATTCCCCACAGATACGGAGAGACAACTTGTCACTATACTACCAGATACAATGTGATTGGTGTCAGAGCAGCAGCAGTAAGTCATTTAGGCACCCAGAAGATGGAGAACCAATTCTGACAGGAGGAGGAAACTCAAGGCAGGTTTGGGGAGGAGGTGGCGTTTGAGCGATACTTTGAAAGATGGGGAATGAATCCAGGAGTGGAGAGGAGTGAAGAGAAGGGCATTCTTGGCCAAAGACACACAAGAGCAAAGGCTGTGAGGGAAGACGACATACCGTTATGAATGGGATGAAAGAAGGAGGGAAGGTTGGGAACAGAGGGTGCAGCCTGTTCCCAAAGGCAGGCCTGAGGGGAGGCCACTGCTGGAGGAAGCACAGCCTTTCTAGTTGCAGTAAAGAAAGAGAAGCTAGCCTTGGCATCGTGGGCCTCCTTCACCACTTGGGTGCCCTTCCTCTTCAGGAGACCACAGTTCTCAGGCTTCCTCCCTTCACCACAGCTGGCTTGAGCAGGAAGTATGGTAGATACTCATTCATACCACAGGGTGTTGCCATGGAAATGGATCAAAGTAAGGTGATATCCGAAGAGAACAGTAGCTGCCACTTAGAGCCTCAGAGAGGGGAGAAAGCCTTAATGGAGACTTCACACTCTAAGGTGTGGTCCAGAGTGTGCCTACGACCCAAGGCACCAAGACAAGACCTATCACCAGGAACTACCTCGCGAACTAAGCAAAATCTCAACAGAACAATGTACACCCACATCCGAAAGAAAATATGCTGGCGTGTAAAAAAGGAAGAAAAACTACCAAGAAAAATTAAACATTTCAGTTAACTGGCCAACGTATTTTAAAATGAAACAAACTTTTAAAAATACAAAAATATAAGCATTTATTGAGTGCTTACTATACACCAGACTTTGTGCTAAAGGTTTTTGAGGCATTATCTCCCACACACCTGGAAGTCCAAATCACAATCCAAAATGTGCTTAGTGAGAGTGGAATCTGAACCAAGTCTAGTTGTTGGATGCTGATGGTTCTTGTCATTGACTTAGGGTAACCAGTTTGTCCTGGTCTGCCCAAGACTTTCCTAGTCATTCCAGGAAACCCCTCAGTCCTAGGCAAACTGGGACAATTGATCACTCTACATCAAGTTATAATGGCCCAAAGTTTCCTTCTCCTCTTTTTAGGGCTTACTTGTGGAGAGGACTGCACATTTGTCTCACTGGGACATCTCTCCTGGATAGCATTGGATGAACATTGCCAAATTCCCATGTTTATATCTTACAGTGCTTTCCAATTTTCCCATGCTTCTTTTCTATATCTAATGCCATAGATTCATCTCAAGATGGTGAAGCAGAACTACAGACTGGCTTGCCCAATTCCATTCCCTCTTCTCGTGCGTCTTCCTGCCCTGTAGTAGGGGAAACTCATTCTCCACACTCACTTGCAGCTCAAGCTCCTCATGTGACTTAGGCACTGCTAAGCAGATGCAGTGATGTGAGTCTTGGAAGGAGCGAGTGAGAAAAGTCAGCTGTTGGCCTTGTGCAGGGAGAGGGGACCTTCTGACAAGCATAGTGGCAATAGCCAGCAGGGGCAGGGCAGCTACGGACCCAGAAGCTTCCTGATCATGGCAGAGGCCTGGTGCTTCCGGGGCCCTGCTGGCAACAGCTCCCTTAGTAGACCGGTTCTTTTGAGAGGTTCAGTCTAGATTGTGTACCTTCAACCCTCCCAATGATTTTTTGGAGCTATTAGTAGCCCTTTATACCTCTCCTTTTGCATACACTAGCCAGAGGATTCTGTAATTTACAACAAAAATCACAGCCTCACACAGATGGATCCTATACATAGGATGCCATCATCAACAGCCTAATAATGGCTTCCTGGAATGCTGCCTTGAAAGGAATTCTGAGACCTCATCCAGGCTTAGTGAGAAAGACTGCTCTGATGCGTTAGGACCTCTTTTATGGTCCCAGAGAGAGAAGAATTGCATTTGCATCAGACTTTTGCCATCTGTGGTTGAGACTATTGACAAAATCACTTATTTTTTCTTTTGTTTTACAACCATACTGTCATTTTAAGATGCTCTCTGCTAAGGTGTTGATAATTCTGGAAATCAGAAATTTTAGACATATTTCTTTAACCTTAATTTTAGAAATATAAACTACAATTGCCTTTGATATGAAGAACTGAATAATTGTTGATGTAAATTCTTGAAGAATGTAAATGCTCTGTTGAAAATTTATTGCTTAGTAAAAATAAAGATGATTAAAAGATATTTTACATTCTAGTGTTACATATTCACTATTACGTATCTACACATTACAGTATGTGTATATTATATTCAAAGAGTATTATAAGCAAAGTGACTAGGCAGAAGGAATGAAGATCTTACTCAAGTTTAAATCTATATATCCTATTTCCTATAATCATGATTACAACTTCCCTTTAATATTCAATAGTTTGAGAATGAAATTTTGCTTAGTCCTCTATAGAAATTGTAATATGTGTTTGTAAAAGGAAAGTATGTTTGTTCAATTGGCTGTAGAATATGAGTATTATAGGAAACTAAATCTTCTCACTTAAACTCCAGATGAGTTTGCGATCAGCCTTTTGGTATTTTCTACTCTACACATTGTTCACGTTTTCTTGTTAGAGAACACTTTGGCTGGACTTTCTTAAAGTTGTAAAAAGAAAATAAAGCCACCATGACATAATTTAAATACAACACAAAGCATGATTTCTTGAACAATTCTTAGAATCTGCGGTTCCTCATTGTACCACCCACACTAAAAAGGCTTGTCTCTCTTGAGAGAATTTTCTCTCTTGGAGGGATTTTGACTTTCACCTTCACAGGGCGAAAGGGTGAGGCTGTAGCAGAGATGCGATGGGCTGCTGGTGTCACAAGGCCCAGGCATTGCTTGTTCTGACCCTAGAGCCTAACCTGGGTGAAACCCTTGTGCATCAAACCTGGGGCGTGGGAGTGGAAAAGGAAACTCATGAAGTTGGAAAGAACTGAAAACAAATTTCCATTTCTTTCTCATTTCATCAGAAATGGTGTCCTCACTAAGGGTCTTTTAGTTGCAAGCAAGACAAATCCACTGCAACTATAAACGGATTTTTTTAGGTGGGGGGATGAAAAGGTAACAAAAGGTAAACAGATTAAGAAGAAAGAAATAATATTGCCTTTATTTGCACTTAATGTGATTGTCTATGTAGAAAATCCAAAAGAATTAACTAAGAAAACTCCTGGAACTAATAAGCAGTTACAGCAGGGACACAGGATACAAGATTATTACACAAAAGTCAATCACTTCCTTATATACCAGAAATGACCAAGTAGAAACTGACATTAAAAAAAAAAACATCAGCAGGGCACAATGGCTCACGCCTGTAATCCCAACACTTTGAGAGGCTGAAGCAGGAGGATCACTTGAGGCCAGGAGTTCAAGGCCAGCCTAGGCAACATAGTGAGACCCCGTCTCTACAAAAAATTTTAAAAAAAATAGCCAGGGCCGGGTGCGGTGGCTCATGCCTGTGATCCCAGCATTTTGGGAGGCCGAGGCAGGCGGATCATGAGGTCAGGAGATCAAGACCATCCTGGCTAACATGGTGAAACCCTGTCTCTACTAAAAATACAAAAAAATTAGCCGGGCATGGTGGTGGGTGCCTGTAGTCCCAGCCACTCGGGAGGCTGAGGCAGGAGAATGGCGTGAACCCGGGAGGCGGAGCTTGCAGTGAGCCGAGATCACGCCACTGCACTCCAGCCTGGGCAGCAGAGCAAGACTCCATTTCAAAAAAAAAAAAAAAAAAAAAAAGCCAGGCATGGTGGCATATGCCTGTAGTCTCGGATACTTGGGAAGCTGAGGTGGAAGGATTGCTTGAGCCCAGGAGTTCAAGGCTGCAGTGAGCTATGATCATGCTACTGCACTCCAGCCTGGGCAACAGAGTCAGACTCTGTCTCTAAAATCAAACAAACAAAAAACCAAAAAAACCCCACATTATCATTTACCCAAAAACAACAACAACAACAACAACAACAAAAATGAGTAGGCATATTACAACAAGGCAAACGTTTAGACAGCTATCTGCGGATGTCGATGGCCACTGGGAACCCAGGCAGCAATCTGTCAAACTTTGCCAGGCCTTCTCCTGCTCTCAGGAGCCATGAAGTCTAACCTGGGCTTCTGAGCACTCAGCTGTCTTCCTGGCTTTGTGGGCAGCACACAGCTCTGGAGTTAAACCAGAGGACTAACTCCTGAGCACACCCTTTAAAATTGTGTGACCTTAGATAATTTGCTAAACGACTTTAGGCCTGAGTGTCCTGGACCTTGGATAAGAATAACTATAGTTCATATCACATAGGATTGTGATGAGAATCAAATGAGCTCTTCTGTGTGAAAACAGGGCCTGCTGCATAGCCAGCACTGAATAATCATTAGCTACTGATCTGGTTATACACTCTTTTTGCTCTCTGGGGCTTCGTTTGCTCTGTTTCACTGGATGTCCAAGCCTGGCCACCTTACAATGGTGACCTTAGTTTCTAAGTCCACACCACCCCAGTCCAAGCCAATAGCCAGATGGAATGTGATTTTCTTGGTCTGCAAACCAAATTCTCAGGAGGAAGAATCTCCTTGGCTCAACTGTGGTCATGGAGGCAAATGAACTCAGCTGCGGAGGGTTGAATTGTGTGTGTGTGTGGAAAGGGGAGGGGTGTGGTGGCGAGGGGTAGCAGGTGGAGGCGATAGTTGTAGTCCTCAAAGAAAGAAAGGATATCTTTATGGGCTGGTTAATTATCCCAAAATAGGTAAGCCCAGCAATCCTGCATTTTGTAGTCTTCTGTGATATGTCTTTGATAAGCACTTGTGATGGTAAATTTTAAGCCTAACTTGACTGGACTCAGGGATGCCCAGATAGCTGGGAAAACATCATTTCTGGGTGTGTCTGTGAGGATGTTTTCAGAAGAGATTAGCATTTAAGTCAATAGACTGAGTAAAGAAGATCACCCTCACCAATGTTGCTGGACATCATCTAATCCATTAAGGGCCTGAATGAAACAAACAGGTAGAGGAAGGGTGAATTTACTCCCTCTGCTTGACTGGGGACATCAAACTTCAGCTCTGAGACATTGAAGCTCCAGGTTCTTGGGCCTTCAGGCTCAAACTGGACTACGTCACTGGCTTTCCTGTGCCTCTAACTTGCAGATGGCCAATAATGGGACTCTCTAATAGCATGAGCCAGTTCTTCATAATATATAACTATCTATCTATCTGTCATCTATCTACCTATCTATCTATCATCTATCTATCACCTATCTATCTATCATCTATCTATCCACCCATCCTATAGCTTCTGTTTCTCTAGAGAACCTTGATGGATACAGCCCTCTTGGTGTTCATCCTAGGCACTTTCCATCCTTCCAATGCCATAGCTGTGTGTTGCTCCCCACTCACCCCCTCTGTGCACTTTTACTGTGCCCTCTGCCCTCAGTCTCTCGAATCATTTTGCTCACAAGTGTGGAGAGCCAGAAGGACCTGGGGGTTTAGGTTTTTGTGTTCCCTTCCTCCAGGGCAGCCCTTCACCAGAGACTGCTAACTGCCAGTGCAGGCATCTGAAAGCCCAGCTCCCCTGCCTTGAGTGGGGACAACTCAGAGGCATAATTTGTCCTCCAGAGCTCCCCTGTGGGATCAGGCTGAGGCTGGCACTTTGCCTGGGGTGGCACTCCACTTGCGTTCTTCCCCCTCTCTATCTGGCTTTCCCTGGAAGTATTTTCTAAGTAAATCACTTACACCGGAATCCTGATCTCAGGGTCTGTTTCTAGAGCTCAATTGAAAACAATCCTACAGATCAAAACATGGGCCTGAACTCATGTGTGAGCCATTAATGAATGTAACTAATGTCCATGTGAAAAGGATTCTTTCATTCCTCTGAGATTTGGTTTTGTTTCTCATCCTTGCATTCTTTGGCGGGTCTCACCCACAGAGAGAGGCTTTTGGAGAGCCTGGATCTCTCGGCCTTCAGGAAATGATCTTCTTTCAAAGAAAACAAGGAGGACAGCCGCTCTCACTTAACAAACAAAAAAAGAGAGGTTAGTTTGGTATGAGACTTGATTTTCTTTGCTGCTTCCGCACCCACCACCAAGCACCCAATCCCACTTCCCCTTGTCAGCCAGAAGAGCCTTTTCTTTTTTGTATTGATATGTTTATTCCCAGACTTTATCTATTAATGTACACATAGAAATATAGATTTATGTGTTTAAACAGATGTAATAATTCTGCATATATTACTCTGCAAGCTGCTTTTTATTTTAACCCACCAAACAATGTACTTATTTCTTTTTTGCCTTCAGCTTGATTGAGGTGTAGTTGACAACACTATATAAATATAAGGTATGCAATGTGACATTTAACGCACCTATATGTTGCGAAATGATCACAATCAAGTTAGCTAACCCATTCATCACCTCACATGGTTCCCATTTGTGTGTGTCTGTGTGTGTGTGCCTGTGTGTGTGTGCCTGTGTGTGTGTGTGTGTGTGTGTGTTTGTGGTGAGAACATTTAGAATCTACTCTCTTAGCAAAATTGAAGTATACAAGGCAGTATTGTTAACTAGAGTCACCTTGCTGTACATTAGATCCTCTAGGCTTATTTAACTTACAGCTGAAGAGTCATTTTAGCTTTCAGAAAAAGAGACTCTTCCTGCTGAGTCCAGCTGCCTGCCTGAAACCTGAACTTGGATAGGCCAGCACACGGAGGCAGGATGAGACGTGACATTTCTAGGACGAGCTGCCACCGTAGCTGATTCTCACTTAGTGACACTCTTCACTCCTATCGCAGAGCTTACTCCTGTTGGTGATAAGAAGTGCTTTGAATGGATCTCAGTGAGAAATGTTTTCTCATGGAGGGAACACATAGGGCTGGCTGCCTTTTCAGGCCTGAAGCCAACCAAGAAGCTCCTTTGGGCCAACAGGGTCTGTCCTTTGAGCTGGGCAAGACTTGGTGCCAGGCAGATGAGCCAGTCACTGGTACATAGGGCAGGGTATGAGTGTCCCTAGTTCTTAAGCCCACTTCAAAATATTCTGGCCACCTTAGCTTGACATGAGTGACTAACATTCTGCCACACGAATGCATCTCTTTGGATTGAAGACCTGTCTAATGCTAAAATGTAAACCTTAGAGGGATCACACACTTTCTTGTTGCATTAACCAGACTCTTTTGGTTGTAAGTGACATAAACTTAAAATGGTATAAGCATAAACAGAATTTAATTGTCTCAATCATTATGGTAGATGGCTTGAAGCTCAGGTGGATCAGGTGTCAAAATAATGTCGTCAGAAATCTTTTTTTCATTTGTCAACTCTGTTTTTCTCAGTTGGCTTCATTCTCTGGGGACAATGATGGCCTCTCGTAACTTCTTACTCACTTAACAACCCAAAGGAAGGAGTGGCTCTTTCCCTGTCATTCCAGCCCAAATCTCAAGACTATGTCCCTTTGACTCAAATGGAGCCGTGTGGTCTTCTATAAACCAACCACTGTGACATTAATGGATGAGGTCACAGTCCTGTGCCAATGGCTGGGGTGGGAAAGAAGGGTCAGCCCCACCCAAGCCACATGTAATGAGAGTGAGAGGGGGCTGATCAGCAAGGAAAACTTCAGGTGCTCTTACCGTTAGAGGAGAAACTGGATATTAGGAAGGCAATGCCAACACCTGTCCACCACACTTAGCAGTTTTCATACCACCAGGGTAATAGCTAGCAGAGAGCAGCTCCCTACAAGATGAGACATAGTAGAGATGGTAACAAGTCCAGAGCTTGGGGCACCTTACTAGGAAAGCAGGCAGGTTGGAAGATACTGCATTAGGGCTCCTTGAAGAGCTAAGGGGAACTCAGAGGCTCTGAGATTGAACAGTACATTCTTAGAAGTTAAGAAAAACTCTCAGACCAGGCTGGGTGCGGTGGCTCATGCCTGTAATCCCAGCACTTTGGGAGGCTGAGGTGGGTGAATCCTGAGGTTGGGAGTTCGAGACCAGCCTGATCAACATGGAGAAACCCCATCTCTACTAAAAATACAAAATTAGCTGAGCATGGTGGCACATGCCTGTATTCCTAGCTACTCGGGAAGCTGAGGCAGGAGAATTGCTTGAATCCAGGAGGCAGAGGTTGTGGAAAGTAGCAGGAAAATCCTAGGTAGCTTGACAAGTGTCAGGCAGGGGGCCAGCAATGCCACTCACAATTCATACCCACAGGCTTCCCCCGATTTACATGGTAGTTTCAGCCTCCATCCCTCTTTAACAGGAGCAAAATAGTGTATTCATGCTTTTCTGTATCATCCCCCAATGATCCTTAGTCATGCTTGTGTGATTTGGTGCCCAGCAGGCACAATTTTGCTGGACTATTCCATGATCTCTTTTTTGTTGTTTTCACAAACAGATAATAGTATGACTAATGGACAGCTGACATTTTCCAAGCACCATATTATTAGAACCCCTTGAGAGCCAGCCTATTCTTCTGCTCTACAGACATGGACACTCAGGCTTAGGGAAGGATGAAGTGATTTGCCAGCCTGTCAGTGGTGGGGCCAGGCTACCGACTCCAGTCATGGGGTTCCAGCCAACATCTTTAAACCCCATACCATAGCCAAGCATCTGAAGCCAGGAAGAATTGAGAAATTATGGAGGGGAGAATTTCAAGGAGAAAAGGTTGAGGTTTAAAGCAGTCAGCCATGAGGGGTAGGGGAAAAGTCCCAGTGTACAAGACATGGCTGTTGACAGTCTGTGAACAGGACCAAGGAGGCAGCGGATGATGAGAACATGCTGCTCTACCACTTATGGGTAGAGTGGGCATATAATTGTTGGCCAAAACCAAGACCTTTTGAGAGCGAGAGGGCACTGTTAATAATTGTACCGGGAAGACTGCAATAAACCAAGACTGGTTTGGGCATACCAGAACACAGGGTCACTCTAACTAGGGCTACTAACAGTAGGGCTAGGATTGTTTTCTGATAGCAGTGATGGCTATGCATGGATTCATCCACAGCCCCTCCATCCATCATCCTTTTGGGGTTGCAGGATGGCTGGTGAGGAATGTATTAACTAGCCTTGGTCTTTGTAGCCCTGTGCTCTAACCAACAGAGTTTATCTCCAGACACAGTAGAGTCAGGGGACAAAAGATACAATTTCAATAATTAATTAACTTATTTAATTAAACCAACCATTAGCTAAGCAAGGCAGTATAGCAGAGTGGTTAGTGAATTTCACTTTGAGGTTTAGCTCTCAGTGATGTGACTCGGCACGATACTTAATTTCTATGAGTCTCAGGCTTCTGATCTGTAAAATAGGGACAAGAGCAAACACTATCTGAGCTTTTACTTTGTTTTGGGTGCTGGGCTAAGCACTTTATGTGGATTATTTAATATCATCATAACCTTATGAAGCAGGAACTATCATTATCTCCATTTTGTAGACCAGGGAACTGGAGCTCAGTGGGACAGAGTAACTTGCTTGAGGTCAGACCATCAGTAAATACCAATTCTACAGGGGCTGTTTTTGGTGATTAAATGAGACAATGCTTATTAAAAGCTTAGCATATTCCACCTAATTAAATTGATTAATTGTGGCCCCTTTTATGCAAAGTTCAATATTAGACCCTTTCTTTCTTCCTTTTTTTTTTGAGATGGAGTCTCACTCTGTTGCCTAAGCTGGAGTGCAATGGCACAATCTCGGCTCACTGCAACCTCCACCTCCCGGATTCAAGCGATTCTCCTGCCTCAGTCTCTGGAGTAGCTAGGATTACAGGCATGTGCCACTACGCTCGACTAATTTTTGTATTTTTAGTAGGGACGGGGTTTCACCATGTTAGTCAGGCTGGTCTCAAACTCCTGACCTCAGGTAATCCACCCGCCTCGGCTTCTCAAAGTGCTGGGATTACAGGCATGGGCCACCAGGCCTGGCCATCTTTATTCTTATTAAACATCCTTCCTTGGAAAAAGAGGATGTATTATTGTGACTTACGTGTGTTGACCAAAAATAAAATGAGTCACACATCTGAAGTCTGATGGCACTGGGGCAGTCTGCAACATTCAAGGGTTTTTCTGATCCCTGTACTCTTGTGTCTTCTGCTGAGAACAGAGATGTATATATTCATGTTAGTAGGAGAAAATAGGTTTAAGCCACTTTTAGTAATTGAGATGAATGTTTCATATAAAGGATGGCTAGCAGCCACAATGCTGGGTGGGGAGAAAATGGCCAAATATTTAATATTTGAAATCAAATTACTTCAGATCTGAATTCTGGGCCCCCCACTATTGTGGCTCTGGGCATGTTACTGAGCCTCCTTGAGCCTTCGTCTATAAAATGGGTTGAATAATACATATCTTTCAGAGTTGCTATGAGGATTAGAGATAATATATGCAAAACAGTCACATAATGGACACTCAATAAACACTAGTCATCATGACTGTTAAAAAGCTTAGCATGGCCAGGTGCGGTGGCTCAAGCCTGTAATCCCAGCACTTTGGAAGGCTGAGGCGGGTGGATCACTAGAGGTCAGGAGTTTGAGACCAGCCTGGCCAACATGGTGAAACCCCGTCTCTACTAAAAAATACAAAAATTAGCTGGGCATGGTGGCAGGCGTCTGTAAGCCCAACTACTCAGGAGGCTGAGGCAGGAGAATTGCTTGAACCCGGGAGGCGGAGGTTGCAGGGAGTCGAGATCACGCCATTGCACTCCAGCCTGGGTGACAAGAGTGAGACTCCATCTCAAAAAAAAAAAAAAAAAAAAGCAAAGCATATTGACTGAAAGCCAGTAGAAAGCCCAAATGTAAGTCCTTAATAATAATTTAACATTCAGTATTACTGTTTTCTTACATTTGTAATTTGGATACTTTGGATCATATTTCCAACCCACCACATGTCAGGAGAACCCTCTGAATGAAATCCTTTAATACTCTTTAATATCCTAAGAGAGGACAGCATTGTTGACATGACCCATCTCTGAAAGCCCCAAGAATCTGAAACATCCAGGCTGTTCTTGCTGCAGCTGGGAAAATAAAATATCCACATGTATACTTAAACCCAGTTATTTTATTTTATTTTTTAAAGTGTCCTAAGTGGAGAAAAAGCAGCAGATACAGGATGGAGAGGGAGAATTCCTCCTAAACCAATTCCGAATTCCTCCTAAACCAATGCTTGTGTTTTGGGAACTTATTTCCAGGCCTCCTGAGCCCTTCCCCTCCCACCTAGCCACTCTCATGTCTCCAGAAATGCCTTTAGCATTGCAAAGCACAGGTTTTGTGGGCACACTGGGAGTATGCTACGAACTTGCAAAGGTCCTGGGGCCAGATGAAATCACCAGAACCACCTTCCCCTACACCCATGCAGAGGGCATAGGAGAAACCTGCCTCACGTAGAGGAAGACACGAGTGGATTCATATGAATAACGTGACACTGGGCTGTCTAGTTAACTAGCTCTTTGAGCCTTAGTTTTTTCATTGACAACACAGAGATAACAAAATCTTTGTATCTTGAAAGAAACAATGTATGTTGTATGCTTAACAAAGCACCTGATACATCATAAAACTTGATAAATGCTAGCTGTTATTGCTAAGGATTAACTGAAAATGTCACTGTGTTAGGCAGTATGACCGCAGAATATAAGATGTAGTCCCTGACTTCCAGCGCTTGCAGAGGAGTCAACACTAACTCACCTTAAATGGCCAGCCATCAACTGGAGGCTCAGTTGTATGGTGTGATGGGGGTTTGGAGAAGGAGAGGTGCAGGCTGGGGATGCCACGGAGGTAAGCATTGAGGATGGTGGAGGTCTTGACAGATGCAAAGAAAGAAGAAACTTAATGGGAGCTATAACTGGCTCAGAGGAAAGGAGTGCTGTGGAAATGGGGTGTGTGACGCTCCAGAAGGAACAGGAGCTGCTGCTCACCTCACCTGATCTACTCTGTCTGAGACCCAGGATTTTTTTTTTTTTTTTTTTGAGATGGAGTCTCGCTCTGTCTCCCAGGCTGGAGTGCAGTGGCGCTATCTCGGCTCACTGCAACCTCTGCCTCCCGGGTCCACGGCATTCTCCTTCCTCAGCCTCCTGAGTAGCTGGGACAGGGTTTCACCGTGTTAGCCAGGATAGAGACCCAGGATCTTGTCTCAGTGGCGAGTCAGAGCCCCCTAAAGGAGTCATCTCATCCACCACCACCCAAGGGTTCTTCAAATCCTGAGCCTATAAACACAAGCACAGGAGTTGAAATCAAATCCACACTCTAGAATGAGAATCAGTTGTAGGTTTCCTTACAGTTACTTTGAACGTTATACATGGTAAACTGTAAATGATACCATGAGTTTTTAGTATGAATTGTTCATTCATTTCCAATATAAATTGATGAAAACCCTTAGCTGAGTATGGCGATAAGAATGACCTCTGCTCTGTTCTGATTTGTGTTTCTATTTATCTCTGGCTATCCAGTTCATATCTCCTCTGTGTCCAAAGTTATTCTTATTCTACAGGGGACTAAATTTGGATAAATGCTAAAACTAATCATGCATCAAAGCAAATTCTTCATTTTGGTGTAGCACTATAAGTTCAGAGTGTTTTTGCAATTATATCCCTAAGGAGTTTTCGCTTTCTGTAATAAGCTTTACAAAATATAAGCCCAGGATGAATTATTATCCCGGGAAGGATTTCTCCCTTTATTTGCCCAATTTTGTAGTACTGCTCTTTCTCCTTAATCAGGACACTTTTTCTCCAGTTACCTCTTTTCTGCCCCAAGTCACTAGCGAGAAATAAGAGTAAAGTTTAGTATTTTGTCCTTTTAATGGGAAAAGTCAATTCCAGATGGGACCCAACCAAGCTCAAAATAGTTCTCTTCTGGGCGGGAACGCAAATGCTACATTTCCTAGGTAATGTTATTGAAGCATGTCTGTCTTCATAAACACTTTGTAAAAAAAAAAAAAGTGTACAATGATAACATAATTATTATTAGGCATGTACCATTTCCAGAATTCACTGTAAGTTCTACAGAGATGCACCAGAGCTGTGGATACTTTAGCTGGTGGGGTTCGGGCAGCTGGGACTCACTGTTGCAATGGTCACAAATGCCCTAATCATTGAGTCCCAAATGTCTAGTTGAACTTAATGCTTAATAACATCTATCTACCCAGAGGGCAACAAAATGTTTGTTCCTGGCTTGCGAGGCCACTGATATTTTCATTTTTTTTTCCTACAGAACTATTGGCCTGAGGCCCCTGGAAACATTGCTTCATTGCTTGGCCTTATAAGAATTTACTTGACCTATTTTGTGGAAGCACATTTACCCCAGTCTTAAAGGTTTTTCCATGCAAAAGAGATAAATGAAAATTTTTACTGCTAAGTTTCATTCACCTGAGCCAATCACAGCTACTGAAATGACCAGGTTGGTAAATGCTGTTTTAATGGAAACAGGCTCTCCACAGGTCCAGATGGGGTAGGTCCATGCCTCAAAAATGAAAAATTCTCTTTTTAGCTCCTTAGCTGGATTACTGGGCAGGGCTACCATTTTGTGAGTAGCAGATAATTATTAACACATGAGACTCTCTCATTCGGACTGCACCCTTCAATGGCGTGATATCTGTGGTTACACAGAGCGTCCAGTCCTCCCATCTTGGTTTTTTAGTTATGTAAGTGAAAGAACAAAACTACCCAACTCCCACCTGCCCACAGGCTGAGGCTGAGGAGGACCCTAAGAACCTACCCCCTACAACATGGCATTTCAAAGTTAAGGGAGTCTAGCTTTTGTGTACTGAAGGGAATGTTCATTAAGAAATGAATGTCTTAGACATAGGCCCCTTTCCTATTCCTGGTTGGCCTAAAGATGCATAATTTGAAAAAAAAAAAAAAAAAAAACGGCTCGGGGGGTGGTTGGGGAGAAGTGACTTCAAAACACAAGAAATAACATTGCTTTGCCTAATAAAGTGACGTTTGAACTCCTCTGCTTGGCAAGTTAGGAAAATATCCCTTCCTTCCTAAAAATGGAGACAACTTTCTGGGAAAATAAACATTTATTGCTCAAAGGTCTGTGGGTTTGAGTCCACCTTCACCTGCATGTTTAGCCATGGGAAGATCTCTAAGACAGCCATACTAAGAGTGTACCTGCCTGCCCTGGATGCCAGGAGGCCTTGAAGTCCAAAGCCAGCAGGGCTCCCTCCCTCTCAGCCATGGACCCCGGGGTCTTGCAGTGATACAGGTGGTGGCTGATTGCATCTATGAAGCCATTGAGGAATTATTAGTGTGAATATTTCATTTGGAAATGCACTGCCTAGGAACAGGCATGGTCCTAGGATGAGTTCCTATGAGGTCCTAGGATGAGTTCCTTTGAGTGGAAGAGGTCTCCTAAATCTTGGGTGAAGAATGCCTGGGTGAGATAGGAAGGAGAGATACATTTTTTTCCCTCTCCCTATAAAGAGGCCTGGATTTGAGAGCAGGAAATAATGATTAGGAGTTGTGTGCATCCCAAAGCACCCTCCTGTGAAGGGAGCCTTAGAGATGGGTGTGGTGGGGCATGCTTGTAGTCCCAGCTACTAGGGAGGGTGAGGTGGGAACACTGATAGAGCCCAGGAGTTTGATGCCAGCCTGGGAGACATAGTGAGATCTTCCATCTCATTCAGGAAGGAAGGGAAGGAAGGGAAGGGAGGGAGGAAGGTAGGAAGGGAGGGAGGGAGGGAGGGAGGAAGGAAGGAAGGAAGGGAGGGAGGGAGGGAGGGAGGAAGGAAGGAAGGAAGGAAGGTTAGTTTTTCACCAAAATAAGAGGAAGTCATACTTAGCATAAAACTTTAATTTTTAACCTTCTGCTCTGTAGTGTCCTTAAATACCCAAAAGCTTCGGTGAAGCGTGCCGCACATCAGCCTGCAAGGCAGTGGGGTGAACAGGACGCTACAGGGTGGAGGGGGTATCTGTGTGAAGACTCAAGGGAGAGCTTCCAAGGGACCACTGGGACCCCAAAGGAAGCCCCTCTCTTCCTAGATACATCAGATGAAACAAACTCTTGAAAAGGTGAAAGGCAGCCGCTTTAATTACTTTGAAGTCCTCATGGAGTCCACAGCTACAGCTTTCAAAGGGGCAAAAAGGAACTAGTGTGCCGGCCGCAGGGTTTTGATGTGGTCCTCTTCCGCCACCTGTCGACAACATAGGCTCATTGCAGTTTCCTAATGTACCTACTTGCAACTGTTCAAGGTAGCATTTTCTCCATTCAAATTAAAATTGAGTCCACAGGGAAAATACTTATTCTTACAATTCTAGTTTAACTATTTTTTTGGTTCAACTAACCTTGATTTTTAGCTGTTAAAATAATAACATGGCCATGACAAGAAGGCAAAGTTCTGATATCTTTTTTCTTACGTTTGGTTAATGCTTTAGAATATATGGAGGCACTGAATAAGGTTTTCGTTGTTTCTCAGAAAACATTATCCCCTTAAAGGTGTTGAAGGCATTTTTGGAAAAGAAAGAGTGCACGAGTAACATTTGCAAACAGCAGAGTGGTAGTTTCTGCAGAATTAACATTGTGGAGCACCGTGGGAAATATATGTTTAGGTAGAACACAGAAGACTGTCCATGTTACATGGGCCTGCACATTCACTGGAAGACTGAGATGCATCAGAACAATTGTTCATATCCTTTGATTCCATAATCCAATTTCAAGAATTTTCTTGCAAGAAAAGAATTTAAAACATGAAAAATGTAATATGGATGGTATCTTCATAAGATTGTTTAATAGTCAACAATTGAAGAAAAGTTGAAGCTATGGCTCATTCAGAATATGGAATATTATAATTATTTTAACATGTAGTAATATGAAAACATGATGTCTAAGAAGATATAAAATATCTAACTAAAAATAGAAATATTTAATAAAGCTAGAAAAGAATACTAAAAATATTATAACTGAGTTACAGCGGTAGAGTTAAGGGTTTACAATGTTATATATACTAATGTTTTTGTTTTTCTAATTCCACAACAAATATAAAAATGCTTTATAGTAATACATTTAAATGGTACAGAAGCATATAGAGTAAGAGGTAGAAGATTCCATTACCTTCCTGTCTTTCTTCTCCCTGTTAATAGATTGGTGTAAGTGCTTCACATCTTTGTCCTTGGAGTTACACACACACACACACATGCACATGCATGCACACTTACACCCACACATGCATATATACATTATATATTATTTACAGGCATACCTCAGAGTTATTGTGGGTTTGATTCCCGACCCCCGCGAGAAAACAAATAATAAAATGAGTCACACAAATTTTTTGGTTTCCCAGTGCATATAAAAGTTATGTTTATACTATACTATAGTCCATTATATGTGCAAGAGCATTATGTCTAAAAACCAATTATATATGTTAATTTAAAAAATGGTTCATTGCTAAAAAACATGCTAATGATCATCTGAGCCTTCAGCGAGTTGTAATCTTGCTCGTTGAGGGCCTTGCCTTGATGGTGGTAGTTGCTGAAGGCTAGGGTGGCTGGTGCAATTTCTTAAAATAAGACAGCAATGAAGTTTGCCACATCAATTGACTCTTCTTTTCACAGAGGATTTCTCTGTAGCATGTGATACTCTTTGATAGCCTTTTAATCACAGTAGAATTTCTTTCAAAATTGGAGTCAATCCTCTCGAATCCTGCCACTGTTTTATTAACTAAGTTTATGTTATATTCTAAATCATTTGTTGTCATTTGGACAGTGTTTACAGCCTCTTCACCAGGAGTATATTCCATCTCAAGAAACCATTTTCCTTGTTCATCCATAAGAAACAACTCCTCATCTGTTAGTTTTGAGATTGCAGCAAGTCAGTCACATCTTCAGGATTTACTACTAATTCTAGTTCTTTTGCTATTTCAACCACACCTGCAGTTACTTCATACACTGAAGTCTTGAACCCCTCAAAGTCATCCAAGAGAGTTGGAATCAACTTCTTCCATACTCCTGTTAATGTTGATATTCTTACATCCTCCCCATGAATCAGAGATGTTCTTGGTAGCATCTAGAAAGGTGAATCCTTTCAGAAGGTTTTAAATTTACTTTGCCCAGGTCCATGAGAGGAATTACTATCAATGGCAGTTGTGGCCTTATGAAATGTATTTGTTAAATAATCAGGCTTAAAAGTTAAAATTACTTCTTGATCCATGGGCTGCAGAATGGATGTTGTGTTTGCAGGCATGAAACCTTAATCTCCTTGTATATCTCCATCACAGCACCAGAGTGACTTGGCACATTGTCAATGAACAATAATATTTAGAAAGAAATAATTTTTTTCTGAGTAGCAGGTCTCAACAGTGGGCTTAAAATATTTAGTAACGTATACTGAAAACAAGTGTATTACCTGAAAACAGGCTTTGTTGTTCCATTGATAGAGGACAGGCAGAATAATGTGACATAATTCTTAAGGGCTCTAGGTTCTTAGAATGGTAAATGAGCTTTAGTTCCAACTTAAAGTCACCAGCCGCATTAGCCCTGAGCAAAAGATTCACATTGTACTTTGAAGCCAGGCATTGACTTCTCCTCTCTAGCTATGAAAGTCCTAGCTGGCATCTTCTTCCAGTAGAAGGCTGTTTCATCTATATTGAAAATCTATTGTTCAGTATAGCCACTTTCATCAATGATCCTAACTAGATCTTCAGGATAACTTGCTACAGTTTCTACATCAGCACTTACTGCTTCACCTTGCACTTTTTTTTTTCAGCACAATTTTTTTTTTTAATTTCAATAGGTTTTTGGGGAACAGGTGGTGTTTGATTACATGAATAAGTTCTTTAGCGGTTTCTGAGATTTTGGTGCACCCATTCACTTGAGCAGTGTGCACTGTACCCAATGTGTAGTGTTTTGTCCCTCACCCTCCTCCCACCCTTTCCCCGAGTCTCCAAGGTCCACTTTATCATTCTTACGCCTTTGCATTCTCACAGCTTAGCTCCTGCTTATAAGCAAGAGCATACGATGTTTGGTTTTCCATTCTTGAGTAACTTCACTTAGAATAATGGTCTCCAGTTTCATCCAGGTTGCTGTGAATGCCACTATTTCATTTCTTTTTATTTTATTTATTTTTTATTATACTTTAAGTTATGCGGTACATGTGCAGAATGTGCAGGTCATGCCATGGTGGTTTGCTGCACCCATCAACTATCCCTCCCCTATCCACCCATCCCACAACAGGCCCCAGTGTGCGATGTTCCCCTCCCTGTGTCCATATGTTCTCATTGTTCCATTCCCACTTATGAGTGAGAACATGTGGTGTTTGGTTTTCTGTTCTTGTGTTAGTTTGCTGGAAATGGTGGTTTCCAGCTTCATCCATGTCACTGCAAAGGACATGAACTCATCATTTTTTGTGGCTGCATAGTATTCCATGGTGTATATGTGCTACATTTTCTTTATCCAGTCTATCATTGATGGGGATTTGGGTTGGTTCCAAGCCTTTGCTATTGTGAACAGTGCTACAATAAACATACGTGTGCATGTGTCTTTATAGCAGAATGATTTATAATCCTTTGGTTATATACCCAGTAATAGGATTGCTGGGTCAAATGGTATTTCTAGTTCTAGATCCTCAACCACAAAGGTTGAACTAATTTACACTCCCACTACCAGTGTAAAAGTGTTCCTATTTCTCTACATCCTCTCCAGCACCTGTTGTTTCCTGATGTTTTAAGGATTGCCATTCTAACTGGCATGAGATAGAATCTCATTGTGGTTTTGATTTGCATTTGTCTAATGACCAGTGATAATGAGCTTTTTTACATATGTCTGTGGGCCGCATTAATGTCTTCTTTTGAGAAGTGTCTGTTCATATCCTTTATCCACTTTTTGATGGGGTTGTTTTTTTCTTGTAAATTTGTTTAAGTTCTTTGTAGATTCTGGATATTAGCCCTTTGTCAGATAGGTAGATTGCAAAAATTTTCTCCCATTCTGTAGGTTGCCTGTTCACTCTGATGGTAGTTTCTTTTGCTGTGCAGATGCTCTTTAGTTTAATTAGATCCCATTTGTCAAATTTGGCTTTTGTTGCCATTGCTTTTGGTGTTTTAGTCATGAAGTCTTTGCCCATTCCTATGTCCTGAATGGTATTGCCTAGGTTTTCTTCTAGGGTTTTTATGGTTTTAGGTCCTACGTTTTAAGTCTTTAATCCATCTTGAGTTAATTTTTATATAAGGTGTAAGGAAGGGTCCACCTTGCACTTTTGTGTTATGAAGACTGCTTCTTTCCTTAAACCTCGTGAACCAACTTCTGCTAGCTTCAAACTTGTCTTCTACAACTTTCTCACCTCTCTCAAACTTCATAGATTTAATAAAGTTAGGACTTTGCTCTGGATTAGGCTTTGGCTTAAGGGAATGTTGTGGCTGGGTTGATCTTCTATCCAGACCACTAAAACTTTCTCCGTATCATCAGTAAGGCTGTTTTCTTATTTGTGTGTTCACTGGAGTAGCACTTTTAATTTCCTTAAAGAACTTTTCTTTTGCATTCATAACTTGCCTAACTCTTTGGTGCAAGAGGCCTAACTTTTGGCCTATCTTGGCTTTCAACATGCCTCTCTCACTAAACTTAATCATTTCTAGCTGTGGATTTAAAGTGAGAGACATGTGACCTTCTCTTCCTTTCACTTCAATACTTACAGGCCATTGTAGGGATCTTAATTGGCCTAATTTCAGTAGTGTCACATCTAAGGGAATAAAGAGGCCAGAGGGAAGAGAGGAAGATGGAGGAATAGCATGTGGGTGGAGAAGTCAGAACCCACACAATATTTATTAAGTTTTCTGTCTTATATGGGTTTGTGGTGCCCCAAAACAATTAGAATAGTAACATGAAAGATCACTGATCACAGATCACAATAGCAGATATAATAATAATGAAAACATTTGAAATATGAGAATTATCAAAATGTAACACAGAGACATGAAGTGAGCCCCTGGTGCTGGGAAAATGGCTTGATAAACTTGTTCAGTGCACAGTTGCCACAAACCTTCAATTCACACACACACACAAAATGTAATATCTGTGAAGTACAATAAAGCATAATAAAACAAGTTGTGCCTGTAAAGTGCTATTTAAACATAAGTGATATTTTTATAACTTAGTTCTTTTTAAATGTGCATTGTACGTCTTTCTGGATCAATAAACATAGAGCTACCTCATTGTTTTTAACCACTACATATTAATATAATGTGATTTACTGTAATATATTTATTTCCTAATTGATAGATGCTTATTTCTTCTAAGCTCTAAAATGATACATAATTTTGCCAGTGCCCTCTCTTGTACATTTATCTCAGTGCATCATATTAGTAAATTAAGCTTCTTTTCATTTATTCATTGGCCATTTGTATTTCCTTAATTTTCTCTTAACTCCTGGGTTCAAGTGATCCTCTCATCTCAGCCTCCCGAGTAGCTAGGATTACAGGCCTGCACCACCATGCTTCGTTAGTTTTTTTGTGTCAGTTTTTCTTTCAAAGCAAAACTGTGTTCCATGAAAAAAGATGGCCAGTGTAGTTCATGGCTCAATAACGTAGGCTCCTTCCCTCGGGACAGCCGTCACACTTGAGTATGGAGCAGAAGTGCTGTGCTCACTCTTCCTATAAAACATGTACTCAAGATTCTTACTAAATTTATACACTTAATAAAATCAGTGCTTTCTCTTTTTTTTTTTTTTTTTTTTTTTAGACATAGTCTCGCTCTGTCCCCCAGGCTGGAGTGCAGTGGCGCGGTCTCGGCTCACTGCAAGCTCTGCCTCCAGGGTTCAGGCCATTCTCCTGCCTCAGCCTCCTGAGTAGCTGGGACTACAGGCACCCACCACCATGCCCAGCTAATGTTTTGTATTTTTAGTAGAGACGGGGTTTCACCATGTTAGCCAGGATGGCCTCGATCTCCTGACCTCCTGATCCACCCGCCTCAGCCTCCCAAAGTGCTGGGATTACAGGTGTGAGCCACCACGCCCGGAAAAATCAGTGCTTTTTCTTGCAACATCATGGATGTTAAATAAAACAAACTTTTTTTTTTTTTAACTGTAAGCACCTAATACAATGACAGCATGGTTTGATGCCTCTACCTCCGTCCAGAATAAGGTGTCAGTACTTATACACACTACAATGTAAGGGTCAACAAGTGGAGGAAATGGCAAAAAAATTTAGTATTATTTTGAAAATAGTTCTGACCTCAAGGACTTTGCAAAAGGGTCTTGGGACCTCCATGGGTCTGTGATCATCACTTTAAAGAATTGCTTCAGGCTGGGTGCGGTGGCTCACACCTGTAATCCCAGCACTTTGAGGGGCCAAGGTGGGTGGATCACAAGGTCAGGAGTTTGAGACCAGCCTGACCAACATGGTGAAACCCTGTGTCTACTAAAAATACAAAAGCCGGGCATGGTGGCGGGTGCTTATAATCCCAGCTACTCAGGAGGCTGAGGCAGGAGAATCACTTGAGCCCAGGAGGCGGAGCTTGCAGTGAGCCGAGATTAGGCCACTGCACTCCAGCCTGGGCAACAGAGTGAGACTCCATCTCAAAAAAAAAAAAAAAAAAAAGAATTGCTTCAGTGGAGAATTCCATGGTATGAATATACCACAATTTAATCTTCTCCTGACGGGTATTTGGGGGTGCTTCCAGGTTCCTATTAGAAAAAGGGATGCTATGAACATTCTTACAGATAACATGTGTTTTTGTGAATACATGTGTACATTTTTGTTGGGTATATACTGACGAAGGGGATTATGGAGTCATAGATTACACGTATGTTCACTTTAGGGGTGCCTAATGATTAACCAAAGGGATTGTACTAATTTATACTCCCACCAGCAGAGTATGAGACTTCCTATGGCTCCACATCCTCAGTGACACTTGAAGTTGCCTTTTTCATGTTAGCCATTCTGGTAGATGGGTAGTGGTGTCTCAGCGGAATTTTAATTTGCCTTTCCCCAGTGAGTAATTAATTTGAGCATCTTTTCAAAGCTTCTTTTGTGAGTGGTTCAAAATTTTCTATTACTATATTATTGGTCTTTTAAATTTGTAAGAGCCCCTCTGTGGCTTACCTTTTTATTCCCTTAATATCATTCTTAGTGAATAGGTTAATAGTAGCTTATGAATAGGTTATTAAGAGCTTAATAGGTTATTTTGAGATTTACATATCATAAAATTTACGCTTTTAGATGTACAGTGCTATGAGTTTTGTCAAATGCATAGAGTTGTGTATCCTCCACCACCATCAAGATACAGAACGGTTCCATCCCCTGCAAAATTTTACTCATGCTGCTCCTTCATAGTAACTGCCTCTCCCTCCCACTACACTCTGGCAACCATTGATTTGTTCTCCATCTATATATTTGTATTTTGAGTCTGGCTTCTTTCATGTGCTGTAACGCATTCAAGATTCATTCATGTTGCATGTGTCAACAGTTTATTCCTTTTAATTATGAAATAGTATGTCATTGTATAGATGCACTACCTTTTGTTTAGCCATGTGCCAGTTGACAGGTATTTGAATTGTTTCCAGTTTAGGAGTAATTCTGAATCAAGCTGCTGCAAACATTAAGTTTTTTGTGAACATATTTCCATTTCTCTTGGGTAAACAGCTGTGAGCCATGAATAGAGTTTATATTTACTGTAGTCTAATTGTTCATTTTTTTTCTCTTGATGGTTAGTGCTTGTTTGTGTTCTGTTTAAGAAATCTTGTCAGCAAGGTCACAAAGATATTTCCATATATCATCATGTAGAAGTTTTATTGTTTTGCTTTTCACATTTAGATCTATAATTCACCTCACACTGATTCCTTGTTTCTGTTATAACATAGGGGTCAAGGCTCCCAGCATATGATATCCAATTCAACTAGCATATTTATTTAAAAGACTGCACCTTCTCCACTGATCTGCAGTACCATCTTCGTCTGAAAGTAAGTCTCCATGTTTGCCTGAGTTTTTGTGCTTTCCATTATGTTATATTGATCTATTTGTCTCCCTTGAGCCACTACCCTACTGTCAAATTACTATAAGTTTGTTATCCTGTAGAACACATACCATCTTCTTCTACTCCTCCCTCTCCACCTCCTTCTCTCGTTCTTCCTATCCTCCTTATTCCTCATCTTCTTTAAAGAGTGCCTTGGTTACTCCTGAAATTTTCTATTGCTATGTAAATTTTAGAAACTGCCTCTTAATTTCCATAAAACAAATACCTGTTGAAAGGCTTAAAAGTTGTTGGGTAAATTTGACTTTAAAAAATATTGAGTCTTGGCAGGGCATGATGGCCCACACCTGTAATCCCAGCACTTTGGGAGGCCAAGATGGGCGGATCACCTGAGGTCAAGAGTTCGAGACCAGCTTTGCCAACATGGTGAAACCCCATCTCTATTAAATATACAAAAATTATCTGGGTGTGGTGGCAGGCACCTGTAATCCCAGCTACTCAGGAGGCTGAGGCAGGAGAATTGCTTGAAGCCTGGAGGTGGAAGTTGCAGAGAGCTGAGATCGGGCCACTGTATTCCAGCCTGGGTGGCAGAGCAAGACTCTGTCTCAAAAAAAAAAAAAAAAAAAAAAATTGAGTCTTCCAGTTCATTAGCATGACATGTCCCTCTATTACGTCTTTGATATTTAGGTTTTATCTGAATATTGTTTTGTAGCTTTTGTTTAGAGATAGTGCACATACTTTATTAGATTTATTCCTAGGTATTTGATATTTTGATGCTGTTATAAAAGGTATCTTTAAAATTTTATTTTCTGTGGATCACTGATAAATATTAGTTTTTTTCTGTATATTGACCTTATATCAGAAACCTTGCTAAACATTATTTCTACTTATCTGTAGAATGTTTTGAATTTTCTGTGTTCACAAGAATATTCTCTGCAACTAATCTATTTCTTCTAATAATTACACTTCATATTTCTTGCCTTATTGCACTGACTAGAATTTTCATTATATTGCAAAGAAGTGTTGATGGCTGGTCTCCTTGAAATACTGCCAATCTGGGAAGGTTTAAACATTTCACTGCTAAAATATTTGCTGTAGTGTTTCTTTCAGAGAAAAATCTTTTCTATTCCTAGTTACTATGAATTTCTTTATTCACTTGTTTACGAATGGCTATTAAAGCATTTATCAAACTTTTTTGTACATAAATTGACATAATCCTATACAATTTCTTCTATTTATAATCAGGGTCTCACTGTTGCCCAGGCTGAGTGCAGTGGCACGACCGTGGCTCACTGAAGCCTCCACCTCCTGGGCTCAAATGATCTT
Organism: Homo sapiens; assembly: GCF_000001405.40. Lineage (NCBI taxonomy): Eukaryota > Metazoa > Chordata > Mammalia > Primates > Hominidae > Homo > Homo sapiens. Next base: position 25,080,049 of record NC_000006.12, read on the forward strand.
CCTGCCTCAGCCTTCTGAGTAGCTGAGATTACAGGTGCATGCCATGAGGAACAGCTAATTTAAAAAAATTTTTTTGTAGAGTCTTTCTATGTTGCCCAGGCTGGTCTGAAATTGCTGGTCTCAAACTCCTGCACTCAAGTGATCCTCCCACCTCATCCTCCCAAAGTGCTGGGATCACAGGCGTGAGCCACCATGCCGGGACTAAAATTTCTCCTTTATTCAGTTAATGTGGTTGATTTTCACATGTGAAACTAACTTTGCATTGAGATTAAAGCCAACTGAATTGTAATAAATCATCCTTTTTATAAATTGCTAGGTTGGATTTGTTGATACTTTGGAATTTTGCATCTATGATCATTTCTGAAATTGTCCTGAAATTTTTGTTTCCCCACATGGTCTTGTCACGTGTTGGTGTCAATATTTTTGCTTCAAAAAACAAGTTAGGGGGCCAGGTGTGGTGGCAGCACACAAGAGCTAGCAGCTTCCCTGTCACTCTTTAGGATGACTTCATACTAGGAATGTGTCGACCACGAGACATCTCCCAGTAAATGGCTTTGAGCAAATTTTGAGGCATTCAGTTTCTTGGCCTTTTCTGGAATTGGCGGGTGTCTGTGGAGGAAAATCAGTCCCTAATGCCAAGATTATCGTACCTTTGAGTTTCCTTCCTCTTCTGATCTTGGTAGCAGTGGAAGTGGTAGAGATTGGTCAGACCCTGGGTATATTCTGAAGATGGAGGTGACAATTTGTTGACAGAGTGGATGTGAGAGCCAAGTAGAAAGATGATTTCATGGTTATTTAAGTAATGGAAGTGAGACATGAGATACTGGAGATGGGGAGACAGCAGGAAATGTGGGGTATATGCGAGAGGAGTGCAAAGGGAAGTGAGGACATAGGAGCTGATATCAGGTCAGTGAACTGGTGGTCCTGGTGATGTCAAAGAACTGGTGGTATCAGGATATCAGAAGGAGAGAACTGGAAAGATAGCAGGAGAATAAAGATAGACTTAGTATGAGAAAAATTCATATTTTAAAATAATCTTTTATTTGCTCACCATAGACATTCTGACCTACATTACATTGATATACATTATATTTATTTGCAGTGAGAACTGAATAATTTACCACACAGTATAAATCACAAAATTATAATTCCTGAATTTCTAGCATTATTGTTATGCATGTGAGCGGTTAACCAGAATAATCAAACATCACTGATGTTAATCTAAGTGAGAAGTTGGTAATAAACACTTCTAATTATGAATCTAGAAATTTCAGGAGACAAATTCCACCATTGAATTCTTGTATCTTCAGAATCAGACCTAGCATATATAATCAGAAAATAAATTTTGAAGTTCAAATCAGTGGTGTGTGTGTTAGAAATGTCAACATGTAAAACAGAATGCTAGTTAACAATCACATTTTCCTAAGAAAAAATTTGCATCTTAATCATACGAATATCACGAAAACAGACCATTTCCAGTTTTCACTGTAGTCTTGGATGTTTTTCTCTTCCTGTTTCCTCTGTGATTGGATTCGTATCTACTACAGCTATGCTTTGTTTTCCACAGAGAATTTGTTCCTATTGGGTTCATTGGTTCTTTCTGTAGAGAACTGTGGATGGAACAAGTAAAATATTTTTGAATCTGGCTATGTAGTGATCCACAAATGTAAGCTATATATACAAATCACAAAGGCAACGTGGAATTATCTATTGCTGACGTCATAAAGCATAGTCTCTTTGCTGTAAGCTTCCTGGGTTCAAGATGTAATGATAAATTTTTATTTTGCATCAGATCAGTGAATTCTTGAAATTTTCATGTGGTTTTGCATTCCTGTGAAATGAAGATATTATTAATGAACAACAGTATGAATCTCATTTCAATGCCTTTTCATTTTCTTACTGCACTGGGGCAAATTTTTATTCTTATTTAGTTCAAGGTCTATAATGCTTTAAGATAAGCGAGAATCTAAAACTGGAATGTGAACTGGAATATGACCCTCCTCCCAAGTCTTAAGGATTTACCAACTGACTGTGGGCCACATGGTATTCCTGTTTATTTCATGGGGCTGATATGGTCAACATCTATTGTTCACTTACCATGGCATGTCACTTTTCTAGACATGCCTTATACTATGACATAACCCTGTGAGGTAAGTGCTATTACATTCATTTTACAGATGGAAATCTGGAACACAAAGAGATCCAATAATTTGTCCAAGGTCATATGGTAGGTGACAGAGCTGGAGTTTTAACTCAAAAGGTCGGACTCCAAGTCTCCTTGAGACAGCAATGTCCAAATGCACACAGTGATCTCTTAATTTCTATTGCCTTCATCTCTGCTCTGCTTCATTCACCCACTTATACAGAAACACCTTTAATTTGTCTTCCTTCAAAACTGCTCTATCTCTAAGACCTTGGACTTATTGCTCTAGCTGCTGCCTCCTTAGCTTTTATTCCTGTTGCTTTTTCACAATGGCTAAACCTGCTCAGCATCTGCATTGAGCCCTCTTAACTCTCCTTATTCTCCCAGTTCCCACTCCTGCCCCTTTCCTGGTTTCCCTTACTTCGGTGCCATATGAGGAAGACTTGCCATTGCATGAATTCACCTTGTATTTTTCCACCTTTTAACCTCACCCACTCTCTCTGTCTGGGATATTCTTCCTCTCTCTCTGTTTTAGCTTGTTTAAAACTTTTCCCAATCTTTAAGCCAATCCCCTACCCCTTACTCCTCAAATGCTATCTCTCTACAACGTTCTTCCTGGTCATCTCAAAACCTCACATGCAATCCTTCTTTCCTCAGTATTCCCGACAATCAGTTTGTACAACAAATACAGTGCTCATGAGAGTCTACCTTGTAATAAAGTTGCATGTGGATTTCCTTAGCATCCCTTCTAGCTTATAATTATAACTTAGAAGTTCTAGCCCAGTGCTTTATGCTAGATTAGAATATGGAACAAGTAACTTTACAACTGGAAAGTATGTAAAAGATATTCTAATTCAAACCTTAATTTTACTGCTAAAGACATTGAAGCCTATTTTAAGAGGCGACTCATGCTGACAATGGGAAAGAGAAATTCACTTGTACCTTCCTTCCTTGAATTCATATTAGGAATAAAACCATACGTGTGCTCAGCACTGTGCTAGGCACTAGGTCTACCCAGGTGACAGTTCCTATTTTTAAGAATCTCAGTATCTACTGGGAAAAACAATTAATAGATTATTATAACACAATGGGATGGGATACCTGTTTGAGGAATAAATAAATGCATGAGTCAAGGAGTTTACTGTCTTTGCAGTCATATTATGTGGTCCCTTCAATCAGAAGCATGAGGAGACAGGTTTTTTTTTAGACAAGAGTTTCCCTCTGTGGCCCAGGCTGGAGTGCAGTGGCACAGTCTTGGCTCACTGCAACCTCCGTCTCCCTGGCTCAAGCGATTCTCATGCCTCAGCTTCCCAAGTACCTTGGACTACAGGCACCCACCACCATACCTGGCTAATTTTTGTATTTTTAGTAGAGATGGGGTTTCACCATGTTGGCCAGGCTGGTCTCAAACTCCTGACCTCAAGTGATCTGCCCACCTCAGCCTCCCAAGTGCTGGGATTACAGGCATGAGCCACTGAGCCCAGCTGAGACAGGTTTTATAATTCACTTAATAAAATCATATCTCAGGCTGCAGGAAAGGAATGTCAAATCTGATTTGTGCCAGGCAAGTTCATCGTCATTAGTCCAAAAGAGGAGAGAGGTCTATTGGAAATGAGGAGCTGCTGCTTTCCATCTCACCCTCGGTTTTTAGTTTGTCTCTCTTCAGTTTTTGTTGCTGCTTTCCCTCGTGTACTCAGGATTATGTTTTAAACACTCACAACCTGGACGATTTTGGTTTTGTTTACTTATTGGCTGTATGTTTACCTCAACCAGGCCAAAGGTTCTATGGACTCTGGACTGGATGCACTACTGATTTACTTTTTTTTCTGATGGTGGGGGTGGGGAGATGGACTTTTGCTCGTCTCCCAGGCTGGAGTGCAATGGCATAATCTCGGCTCACTACAACCTCTGCCTCCCTTGTTCAAGCAATTCTCCTGCCTCAGCCTCTTGAGTAGCTGTGATTATAGGCAAGCACCACCATGCCTGGCTAATTTTTGTATTTTTAGTAGAGACGTGGTTTCACCATGTTGGCCAGGCAGGTCTCAAACTTCTGACCTCAGGTGATCCACCAGCCTCGGCCTCCTGAAGTGCTGGGATTACAGGCGTGAGCCACCACGCCTAGCCTATTTACTTTTTAAAACACTTGAATGGTCTTGTAATGTTAGCTGTTCTCAGTCCCGCAAAAGTCGGGTTTCTGTCAGGCAACGCGTCTGCTTAATTTAGGTGTCAAAGAGAGTGTCACGGGATGCACGGTAGGACAGCTCCCAAACCCACAGGATATTCCTTACTTGCAAAATCACAGGCCCATTCTGCTCACAGCACATCAGGAATGACTTCCAGTTGGGTGGTGTGAGGGGGAGTTTTATTTGAAAATGATTCCAAAACCTGTAAGAGAGATAAAGCATGGGAATGTGCTCTGGAAACTTCCATGCCTGTTCCTTTGCCAGGATCTATTTGGTACCTGGTACTCTGTCCTCCCTGAGAGATAGTGTTTCTGTACTGTTCCAGCTGTTGATGTAGCTCAGAACTTTCAGGGTGTTGAATACAGACAGCTCCTTGAACGAGATTTTGTCTTATTTTTATTGTACTATGATGTTCCTTGCTTTAAGGAATCCTTATATGTGAAAATCTAGATCTATATCTTGTACACAAAAGCAACAGAATCTAGTATTAGTGAAGGTACAGGTAAATGTATTCTCTCATACATTATTTTTGGAAAGGTGAACTGGCTTCCCGAAGAACGATTTGGCAGAGGGCACTAAAAGCCTAGACGCTGTATTCATAGAATCCAGCAGCCCCGCTCCTAGGAATTTAACTTACAGAAGTCACTATGAATGTGTGCAAGACACATCCACATGATTATTTGCCATTGTTTCAAATAGTGAAAAGTTAGAAATGACTTACAGGTCAAAGAGGTTAAATAAAGTGCTAATATAGGTATGTGGTATCAGGTAAGCAGGCATTAAAAATGATGTAGGAAAATACAATACTGTGGAAAATCGCGTTGATAAACACACAGGTAGAAAAGTATGTATGGTATATGTGCTTGGAAGCAAAAAAAGAAAGATTAGCTAGACACCAAAATATCAATTATTATTTCTGGGTAGTGGGATTATTTGTAGTTTTTTCATTTAAAAATATTTTTTCAAATTTTTGACAGTGGATATGTATTATTTTTATAACCAGAAGAATGTTTAGTAAATTCACAAATCCCATTTTCAGAGCAACAAGATAAAGTGGACTGTGACTGCTTCCCAATATTTATGATGACATCTTATATTTGTGACCCTTGTTACCAAAACACAATAGAACAAGATAGAGTTTAGCGATTTCTAAGATGGAATTATTTTCTTAAGAAAAAAAAAATCCCCAAGATCCCCTCAAAAGTTGCCAGATTCCTTTCTTTCTAGAACAAGAGTTACGTATATGATCCGTTGAAAATGAAAAAAACTTGGAATGTCTTACAGCTGTTAAAAGATTTGAGGTTGACCTGGATGTCCCAATGTGGAAGGCTATCTAAAATATATTGATGAGTAAAAAATGCAAGTTGCAGAATATCTGTACTAGGATTTCATTTAAAAACAATAGCAACATCCCAAAGGTGGTGTGTGCTTTGCCAAAATTAAAAAAAAATAAAAACAACGGCAACAATAACACTCCCTCACTACCAACTATGTGGGACATCTTATTGAAAACAAATATATGTAGAGAAATGTTGCTATGTCCAGAAACAGGCCTGGGAGGATACACACTGAGCTATTATCAAAGCTTACCATAAGAGTGGGTGGAGGGAAGGGCAGGAAACAGGGTTTCCTGAGAGGTGCTTGGTGGGGTTACTTCCTTTTTATTTTACATAGCTCCACATTCTTAAGCTTTTTCATATCATTTAAAAACATTCAAAAGGAAATAAGTAAAAAAGAAATTTTAATAAATGCCTCTGCTTGCAAGCTCAGAGTACAAACTTTTGCTTATACATTTTAAATAATTAGAATTTTAAAATTAAATTTCTGCATTTTTTTCAGAGGATCTGTGGTAATGAGAAAAAGTACTCTTTCCTTTGGTGATTATTTTGCAAATATAAAAATGGCAAATTGCCCTTTCTGAATTTCAGTGCAAATATTCTAGATATGATCCTAAAGACTTAAACAGTTTTGAAGTGCAGGCAGACAGAAACTCAGTGGGCCATTCCCTTAAACCAACTAGCCCACCAAATTCTTGCTCAGAGGTGAGCACAGACAAAAATGTGATGCAGGAATTCACTAATTCAATGACCATGTCTTTGCCACACAAATACTCATTCTTGTCTTGGCAAACATACCCTTTCCCTCTTATAATGTATTTCTCTTTCTTATACCAAAACCCACTTCCAGAAGGGTGCAATAACACATTCACATGAATGTATAAATGACTCTTTAATGTTATACCTTCCTAACCAGATTTGCTTTTTAACAAACTAACAAAGGAATGAAGCTCTAATGGTGGAATCTCACACATTAGTCAGAATCTGGGGGCTTCGGCAGTCACTGACTGCTTATGCATATCCACAGCGTCCTCAGCAATGGCCTGGGGGCGCCAGGTGCTTCCAGACTTACAGGTGATGGTATATGTCAGGATCCCGCTGGAGCCGTGTTTGGAATCCTATATACAACTCATCCCAGAGTAGACCATTCTTCACCACGTGTCTGATGACATCCACCCGGCTATGGATCTGAAATAGACATGGAACCACTAGCAGGGGCAACCCAGGAAGCAGAGTATGGATCCCTCCTGTCCCTGGGAGGAGCAGCTGCCCATGATGGCAGAGGCACGGAGAGCCAAGGAGAAGAGTCTCTGGGAGCAGATATCACAGGCTGAGGAGAAAAGGAAAGATGCTAAGTGCAGCAGGACTCGAAAGAAGGAAAACAGGAAATGGATTAAGAGCAGGGGGAGCATCTGACTGAGAGCACAAACTGCAGATTCATGGGTTCAAATCCAGACTCTAGCTGTGTGATCTTGGTCACCGTTCTGTGCCTTGGCTTTCTCATCTATAAAATGAAGACAATAATAGAACATGCCTCATAGGATTGTTGTGAGGATGTATATAAAATACTTAAAGCCTGGCACATAGTAAGCACTCAAGAAATCTTTGCTGTTATCGTCATTCTAAAAGCCGAGTGTTCAAGTCTCCACCTGAACATTCAGAGGCAAAGCAGAGCCTGGAAGCTCACAACAGTCTATAGTTTCTGGCCTGTCATAGAACAGGATTACTTTAAATCAAGTGGTCAAGATCCTTATCCTTAAAGAATCCCAACTTTTAAACTGTTGAAGAGCCAAAGCAGCACAGGATTAGGAGACAAGCAGAGATGGTCTTGAGTCTCAGCCCTGCACTTACTAATTATGTGACCTTAAGCTTGCTAAGCCTCCGTTTCTCTATTATGAGACTGTTGAGAGAAAAAAATGAGATAACTTATATAAAGAAAATAAAGAGAAGTTATCCTTGGTTGCACATAGTTTTAACAATCCATCGGCACCAATGTTAGAGTTTAGAGGAGCCCTTTCAGTGTCTGCAACAAATTTTCTCCCGGTAAATATCATGCTAATATCAGTAGAGGCAAACTTTCCATAAGTGACAGGCTATTAAATGACACAGAATGATTGGAAGTTTGGCATTTTTAGATCTATTTCTCTTTTTTGCACCATTTGTATAAAACAATTATATCCATCGTGAACTGAGGTTACAAACATAGGGCAGAGTTTTGCTAATAGAGGTTTAGAAACATGATTCTACAATTTGGTCAGGTTAAGGTCGGCCTGGCTAAGATGCAGTACCAGGACCTGGTTCCTCCCAATGCAGGGTAAATGGCCTTTTTTGGCCTTTTAGCTGGGAGAGAAGCACACAGGAGAATTGGAAGTAGATTTAAGAAATATTTGGGGTGTAAAATGGAAAGGTCTAGATGACTGATTAGATTTGGGGATGTAAGGAAAAGGGAAGAACCAAAGATTACTCATTTGTTTCTAGCTTGACTGACTTGGGGAATGATATTACCAACGATCAGATAGAAAAAGGAAAAAGAACATTTTAAAGAAGGAAGATGAGGAATTGAACTTTGAACAAGTTGAAAATTATGTATTAAGCATTCAGAAATTCAGACAATTATATCTAGCAGGCAGTTGACTATTAAGAACCCAAAGCTTGACAGCACTGGAGGTAGCCAGAGAGCGCTCTGGGCTGGACATATGGATTATTTTTGGAGTCATTAACAGAGAAGTGATGTTAGCAGGTGAGTTTACCCAGGAAGAGACTTGGGAAGAACAGTGGAATGAACACAGAGTCCTGGAAGGAAACAAGAGACTTAAGCAGTGGCTGGGGAAAGAGGAACTCCAAAAGAATGCAAAAGAATATTCAGGAAAACAAGGAGGTACTGTCACTGGGCTAAGGAGAAGACTATTGGTTCACAATGACGGACAAATTGCGTGCATAACCTATCTCCTCTGCATTTCCAGATCCAACTAAAATGTTGCAAAGCAATTATACAGGAATAAACTGCCACATTGAAAAGAAAAGGAAGTGATTCATTGACAGGAGAATTCAACTAATTACGTGAATCTAGAAAGCATGCAGACAAGTGGAAACCGAAGATGCAGGGCAGAGGCTGTACAATCCCAGACAGTACATGGAGGGGTGTTCAGATGTGGAGGGAAGAGAAGTAGGTACTGCGGATGACAGGAGGGCAAGCACAAAAGTTATGTCCATGAGATAGCTGGCCCCTTCTCTACCCCTATATATGGCTCCCAGGTCAAATATATTTCTACAGTTCTCTCAATACATAGAATCAATTTTGGGGTAGGGGGAGAACAAGGGCAGGTAGTGTGTTTGTGATGCTGAAAGCAAGAGCCTCCACATTTTTGCACTCGGGGGTCCCCTAGCTGGCTTCTCTCCTCACCTTCACAGCTTAAAGCATACTGATGATCCTTTGGCCAAATACAGCCTAGCTCTCATTTCATGTAGTCTATAACTCTTTAAGAACATTGACTCAGCTTTCTACATTTATAACTTTGGGTATTTCACATGAAAATCCAGATTTCCAAGTTCTCTGGAAATTTCAGATCAGCCGGAGCTCAGCAGGCCTGCCCCCTTCTCATCCCGCATTCTACTTGATGCAGTCTGCCCCAGCTTCACCAGTTTATGAGATGTGCCTTGCACCAGTGTGCGAGCCCTCTGTAAGTAGAGCCTACTGGATGACAGATCCTACACCTATACATAAGAGCCCCAAATCAGCTGAAAAAAGTCTTTTTATCAGTAAATATGGACTAATCCTGTAATTCTTAAAAGTCACCCACAAAGAAAGGAGGATCAAGCTAGCATAAGTTTTCTTTAGAGCAACCTTGTCTATAACTGGAAGCCAAAGGAGCAATGCCTTCCGGTGTCTATGGAAAATGATTAGTCACCCAGAATTACATGCTGAAACTTACTTACACACCATGAGGCAGGAGACAGTTAAGCAGAAAGTCCCACATAGAAGTGAAGCAAGGAAGGGAAAGGCATGGGTGGGGTCTGGAGGCAGTGAAAGGTAGCAGATTTGCAGCAGAGCTAGAGAGGAGCCCTTCCAGGTCGGAGCAGGAGGATGGAGAGCTACAGGAGCCATGCATTTAAGAATGGAGAGTTAGTGTGATAGAAATGATGAGTTTGAAAGGCAATTAATACCTCCAAAAAGGTGGCAGGAGGGAGGCAATATGAGAAGTCTCCGGGTAGCAAGAAAAGGAGCTCTTCCACACATAGGCATAACCTCTTTAACCAAACCTCAGCATATAGAACTCTCCCTAAAATCCTGGGAGATAAAAGCCCTCAAGCCACAGTATAACAGTACCATGTGCAGAGCAGGCATCATGATTTTGCCCCATGGTGTATTTAAATATGCAACAGAGCTGCTGCTTGCTTTATCCAGCAGATGCATTATGGAAAGCTGTGAAAAAGTGATTTTTTTTCCAAATTAAATATTTTAAATGAAGTTATTTAAAAATTTTCAAAGGTGAATCTCTTGAGGCTAAGAAACCTCAATTTATAGGTTTTGTAAATTCAGATTTGAAAGGCTACACAGTGGCTAAGAGCATAGACTTTGAGCTAGACTGCTTGAGTTAAAGCCCCGCATCACCATTCATTAGCTGTATAACCATGGGCAAGTTATTCTAACTCTTATAATCCCAGTTTCTTCCCCCACAAAATGGGGGCAGATAGTAGTATCTGTTCACAGGGTTGTTGTTGGATTAAATGTCTTAACATTTCCAAAGTGTTTAACACTGTGCTTGGCATAAAGCAAGCTTGGTAAGTATTTGATATATAAAGCAATAAATGTAAAGATTTATTTTGTCTAAAAAGATGTAAGCCTATTTATCATCTATACGGTGCCTCACACAGGATTTTCTTACCTGTAAAAATCCAGTTTTTTTGTTTGTTTTTTGAGACCGAGTTTTGCTCTGTTGCCCAGGTTGGAGTGCAATGGCATGATCTCGGCTCACTGAAACTGCCGTCTCCTGGGTTCAAGCGATTCTCCTGCCTCAGCCTCCCAAGTAGCTGGGACTACAGGTGCCCACAACAACGCCCAGCTAATTTTTGTATTTTTAGTAGAGATGGGGTCTCACCATGTTGGCCAGGCTGGTCTCAAACTCCCGACCTCAGGGGATCCACCTGCCTTGGCCTCCCAAAGTGCTGGGATTACAGGTGTGAGCCACCATGCCCAGTGCCAGTTTTTTTATTATTATTACCTATAAATCAGGTAGCAGATTATTACTTTTACTGAAGTTTCCATATAGGATTTCTTCAATAGCAAGTACTAGTCAATTTATTAAAATGTAGTTCAAGAGCACATTTATTACATCTATTAGGTGAAGGTATATTTAAACCTCTACATTTAGGACATCACACATTTAAATGGCACATACAATAAGTTTAAGGGCAGACCGTATATCCTCATAACTAATGATTCTTACATTCATAGACAATTTTAAATTACAATGCATGCTCACATATATTATGTCATTTAACTATCACGACAAACTGGCAAGGGGGGAGCAAGCCCTGTGCAAGCAAACAAAAACAAAAACCCCTAAAGCTCAGACAGCTTAAATAACTGCTCAAAGCCTCCTAATCAGGAATCATGATCAGCAGAAAGGGGCATCAGTCCCCATCTTGACACTGTCTCCAATGTCATGGATCTTTACATAATGCTGCCACTGGCGAGGGATTTGTTCAGAACTTGAATTCAATAAAATATGTGTTGCTTCATGTTGATCTAACTCCCTTTCCAGAGACACCCATTGGGAGGGGCACAGGAAAATGAAGGTAGAGATCAATGCTCACAGGTCTAATAACAGCTTAGGTTGAGCAGGTGTTTGGAAGTGAGCAGACAGAGAAGTCAATCTTTGGGAATGGCTCATAAAGAAATAAGTGTGAACTTTGATCAATAACAATGTTTTAATATTGGTTTGTTAGTTGTGACAAATGTACCATAGTAAAGTGAGTTGTTAATAATACTTTGTATTAATTATAATTATATTAATTATAATTAATATTGTATTAATTATAATTAATATCCTTGTAACTTTTCTGTAAATCTAAAGTTATTCTAAAATTATAAGTTTATTTAGGAGGAAAGGAAGGAAGGGAGGAAGGAAGGAAAGAAAGAAAGAAGGAAGAAAAGCAGACTTCCACCAGTGTTGCTGCTTACTTCCTCATAGGGATGTTCTCGTTGTGGTCTTTCTTTTGGGAAGGATAAATCTAAAAAGTCAACCAAATAGTCATATCCTCCAGGAAAAGGATTGAAGTCCTCATCTGTCTCAATCATCTGTGCAAATGACAACATGGTAAAGAGAAGAATATCAATCAAGTGGTCAAGGTCTTTAAAAATTCTAAGAATGTGTAAGACTCAAATGCTCTTAAATGATAGATGATAGGAATGAATGGGAAATTAAGAGTCTCTTCTCTCACCTGAACTGCAACATTCAAATCCTAGTCTATATTAGCAAAACTGCTTCATGTCACTAACATCAAATGTATACAGCTGGTTATCGCTATCTGAAGTACTATTAGTAATGAGACATCAAATCCCACCATAAATTTGCAGGTGAGGAAATAAATGTGAGATGTTTCTCATTGTCATATAGCAGCTAAATAGAAATGGTTTCACTGAAAATGTTTTATAAAAAACTGTCAAAAGTTTTTCTCTTTTTCATACCAATTGTCCTAATGAAAATACCATTTACCAATGCTTCCTAGGTCATTAGATTTCAAAGACAATTTTCTAGAAATTATCTGGGAACTAATATAGATATCAACCATTTATTTGGCTAAGTGAGGACTGAAAAAAACCTTGCCTCTGCTACCCTTTTATTTCATTGAAGAAATAATGTTTTAATACCCCCAAATAGAAAGGACTTAGTCATGGAATAATAACAATTCATCCCAAGAAAAGAGAGTTGATATACATACCTGCTCTCTTACTTATTTCACTATTTGCCAGCAAAAACTTTGTCACAGACTGGCCATGGGCCCCAGCTAGGTTTCTGGGGATCATTGCTTTTGAGAATAGCAAGTATTATCTGGCATTAATGTTCAGGAATTGAAAGATAAACTTGGGAGTACTTCTTACCCTGAGGGTAATGAATACTTGTGTCTTAAGAGTGTGAGTGTTGTCCATTTCCTGATGACATCCCTAAACTTTGCTCCCCTGTACAACTTCAGGCATCTCATATAAGCCACAGGTAGCTGGTTACTCACTGACTTTGCAGTTACTCCTGTCCCATTTCAGACCTCCTCTTTGTCTTGCACCCTCTGTCTGCTAGTATTTAGTTTGCTTTTGGAGATCTGTCCAGTTTTGGTGACTAGGTTACAACATGAACTCTTTCTTAGCTTGTGGCTCTGTATGTATGTGTCAGGGCTAGATTAAGCTGCAGACCTAGGCCTAATTCTTAATTTGTGCAATTCAGCCTCAGCATAGCTGCAGACAAGGGTTACCTGCTTCTACCTCACCTTGCTCCGGGCGATTACCTCTTTGGGTGGATCCTACCTTCTAGCCCCACAGTTTAAATAGCTGTTCCTGCCATGCCAAAAACACTCACAAACACAAACAACAAAAAACACGTGGTGATAGCAGATAAAAGATGTTCCAAAAGAAAAACTTAGGGACTTCAGTACATTCTCTAAATATTCAACAAGAGATTGCTGATCAATTGTGAAATCTGTTCTCTGTTAGGCAGTTGATAGGACTTAATAAATGCTTATTGGAAAACAAAGGGGTGTTCATGTATTTCCATTATACAAGAAAGCAAAGACAAACAATAGCATACCCTGACCACAAGGTTGTAATCTTTAAATCCAGCCCAAGTGAAGTATTCTTTTATCCAGGATGAGTGAAGAAATATTTCATCTCCTAGAGCAGCATTCAAGATTTCCAAATAAGGTTCAAAATCCCAGGAATCCTTGTAAATTTTTGTCCCCTCTGGAGGCTCTATGATGCCCTTGCTTAAAGACACAAAGGTGTGAGAACAGTGAAAGAAAGTAACAAGTAATGAAGGCAAAAGTTAGTACTTAAGTAGCAAAAGTCAACCAGACTAGCAGCTTTGAGACCCCTCAGATAATTCACAAGGCGTCCCACAAAAGTGCCTCAGTGGTCCCACCATTGCCTAAATCAGAGCAGCTCCTATTGTCTAGTGTGATAGGTTTCTAAGTCAGATTTCATTCAAAGAAAGAAGTCTATGTCTAGAAAAAAACGTGTGAAAACCACTAATTTGGGCCTCTTTGTTCAAACAAGTAAATTACAGAAATGTTGCTTATAATCTGGCCATGATTTTGTGGATGCCTGCACATTCGTGCCTCCCCACCCCAATTAGAATATAAGTTTGGTGAAAGTAGCAACCATGACTGAACCCATAGGAGGTGCTCAATAAATATTTGTTGGATATATGGATGACTTTAGCCTATCTTTAAGAAATTCCCAGAACTTTGTGTCTCTAATATATGGTGCTCTTGCTGTCCTAATCAAAGCACAGCCAATAGACAGATGCCAGTTTTTATCCTTAAACCCAGCCAGTAATGTGGTAGAGTTCTCTGACAATCCTAGAATTCTGTCCATCCCATGTGAAGATGTATCCTTGCATAAAACATGGAATTTTAAATCCCAAGAATGGAATAGGATGTGATCTGGATAAAGAAAATATAAGGAGGGAAATAGGTGCCCATCTCATAAAGACGTGGCAGTAGCTGACCTTCTTCTCAAAACTATACTTTTATATGCCCAAAGCTACAGATGTACTGGTTTCTGTAAAAAAAAAAAAAAAAAAAAAAAAAAAAAATTTACCAAATCCTAAAGCTTCTTCCTTCTAAATGTATCTCAAATCTTCTTCTGCAACTCCTTGCCTTGCCTCAGTGTAGAGCTTCACTAATCTCTTTCTATAGAAAGCCACACCCTCCCAACCACTCTCCCTTACTCCAGTGGTTCTACCTGTTCCCCAGTCCATTCTCTGCAAAGCTGAAATGGTTTTTCTAAATAAAAACTCAGCAATGTCCCTTCTTTGCTTTATAACTTTCTGCAGCTCCCCTCACTCACAGGACAAATTCCCTGCACTGGCTTCTGGGGCCTTTCTCCGAGCCTGGCTGCCGCCTATCTCACCCTTTTCCTCTGCTTTCACTCACAAGCCCTCTACTTAGGAAGACAGATGGCTTCATGAGGGCAAAAGCCTCTTCACAGCTGTATCCTCTGTATCTGGGATGATGACTTGCACACAGAAGGAGTTCAATAAATCATTTCTGAATGAATCACATATATTTATGCCCTCATTCAAAGTATCCGCATTCACCAAACCCATTATACACTTGCCTTCTCCAGCACATGCCATTGTTTCTGACTAGAATCTCTTTCTCCTCTCTACTTACTCGTGACATCCTCCTCATCTCTAAATGCCAAAGATCCAGATTAAGCTTTCCTTGGTCACAATTTTTTCCTCTTCCCCTTGCAAGGCAGTTAGAGCACTTGGTCTCTGTGTGTCCTCTATACTTCGTCTTAGCTCTAAGACCCAACGGTGTTGACTTTCTAGTCACCCAGAATGCTTTGGTGAGGCACAAGAATACAAATGCAGATTCCTGGGCTCTACCTCAGATCTACTGAATCAGGATCTGTGGGGGAAGGGAGTCCAGGGATCTGGATTTATGTGAGTCTCTTCAATTATTCCTATGTTCATTAAAGCTTGAAAACTGCTGGGGCAATCGAAAGAGAAGATTTTTGGAGAGTTAGGCAAATGTAAAATGACGAAGGCTCTTGAATACCTTGCTAAGAACTGGAATAATTAAAAACCTTTAGACCTGGAAAATAAAATTAAAAACACTTTTATCCTGGAGGCACTAAGGATATCCTACAGAATTTTAAACAAGAATGTTTGCATTTTAGAAAGGTTACTTTGTCAGCAATGAAGAGCAGGGGCTTTCAAACATTTTGCCTATCATCCCAGTAAAGACTACATTTTACATTAGGACCCTGGAGTCCCCCTACCAAGGGTACCTATGAAACGGAAGTTTCATGAAATAATACCCTTGTTACATGCAATGTACTCAGGTATTTTCTATCCTATTCCATTTTATTCTATTCTATTTCATGTTTAAAACATTGGCTGTGAGCAATGGCATTAATTTTGTGACTTGCCAATGGATTGTGACCAGCAGATTGAAGACACTGGCATGAAAGATGGATCAAGGGAAGTTGTGGGGGAGGCACAGATACAAGTTGGGGGGCACTGCAGGAGTCTAAGTGAGAAATTTTGAGAGGCAGAATTAA
This sequence comes from Homo sapiens, assembly GCF_000001405.40. Classification (NCBI taxonomy): domain Eukaryota; kingdom Metazoa; phylum Chordata; class Mammalia; order Primates; family Hominidae; genus Homo; species Homo sapiens. Next base: position 25,095,994 of record NC_000006.12, read on the forward strand.
GGCCAGGGCAGAAGAGGCTGGAGACGAGTGATGGATTTGTGAGTGCTTTATGAAGGAGAATTGACCAGATTTGATAACTCGTTTAATATGGGAAGTTAGCAAAAGACAGAATGAGCTGATTTATCATTCATACTGACTTTGCAGAGGTAAGGCTGGGAGAGGGTGAGCTTTTGGTAATTGCATGTACCACTCTCCAAAATGTTAGTCCATTTCCAAATAGCCCATGATGGTTTCATTTGGCTTAGAGTAGTATTCAAAAATATAGCTTTGTGGCATCATGTTAACTTTTCTTGGATTGCATTTCCAGTGTGTTATTGTTACTTGTTCAAATGTACTATCTGTGGAATGGGAAATTGGGTAATATTTGCACTGATATGAAAACTAATTTTCTTATTGCTTTTTACTTTCATAAAATAATTTATTTTTGAGCTGTATCAATGGACCTTAATAAAAGATTCTTCACTGTTTACTCGCTAGTAAGGTTCTGAGATGATGAAAACATTTGAGTCACTGTTATATAGGATGAAAAGATTAGGAAAAAATTCAGTCTTTTTTTCCCCTAGATTTGTGACATACTTATTGGATAGTTCATTTTATTTAAATGGGAAGACTTCCATTTTTAAAAAGTGAGGTAGGCCAGGCGCAGTGGCTCACGCCTGTAATCTCAGTCCTTTGGGAGGTGGAGGTGGGCAGATCATGAGGTCAGGAGTTCAAGACCAGCCTAACCAACATGGTGAAACCCCGTCTCTACTAAAAATACAAAAATTAGCCGGGCATGGTGGCATGTGCCTGTAATCCCAGTTCGTCAGGAGGCTGAGGCAGGAGAATCGCTTGAACCTGGGAGGTGGAGGTTGCAGTGAGCCAAGATCGCTCCACTGCACTCCAGCCTAGGCAACAGAGTGAGACTCCATCTCAAAAAAATAAAATAAAAAGTGATGTGTGGATTTTACTGTATAACAAACAAAATAGGAACCTGTCAAGAGGCCAGAGGTGAGCCATTTATTTTCTAATAGTATTGAAAAAAAATTATAAAACATTTTTATCCTCTAAAAATATTTAAGCCAAACCTGTCTGTTCGATCCTTCAGCATTCTTCCCAGATCAAGGGTGGCTCCCGGTCGAGGGGTCCATGTTATCACATCAGAGTTTTTCTTGATAAGATTGTTGAGTTCATTTGGGTCATTTTTGGTGTTTGTTTCCTTGATGTACCTGAGAAATAAAAGCATTCCTATGTAAGAAAGTTTATTCTCAGGTGCATGGTCTGATGAGTACAGATTTTTGTTTTATTTTCTCCACATTTTCACTTTCCAATCTTCCTCCACTTATTCCATGGAAAAATAAAGACTATATTTGGGCTAATGTCCCTAATTAGAGAAGAAGTGTCAGTCAAAGAAGGTTGTACTTATACTTTGTTTTTAAGTATAATTGCATGGTGATTGGAATTGAAGTTAGATGTAGCAAGACTGACTACTGAAAATAGGTGGGAATTGCACACTCCTGTATTTAATGTTAATATATGGATTAACTATTATTTGGCAGGCATTATACTAAGTGTTTAATATGAACTAATTGATTACCTTCACAATGCCCCATGAGGCACTATTATGATGCTCATTTTAGAGAGAGAGAAACTAAGCCTTAGAGAAGACACATGACTTGCTTGAGGCCATACCATTAGCAGTCAGCCCAGCCCCAGCTCTCCACCCAGCTGTCTGACACAGGCTGTGCAGCCAGTGAAGCCTCAGCCCTCACAGTTGCCACAAAACTTTGGGAGTAAAATCTGAAAAGCTTTTACATTCAAAACCATTAAAAATCTACTTGTTGGCTGGGTGTGGTGGCTCATGCCTGTAATCCCAGCACTTTGGGAGGCCGAGGCGGGCGGATCACCTGAGATCAGGAGTTTGAGACCAGCTTGGCCAATGTGGTGAAATCCCCTCTCCTGTCTCTACTAAAAATACAAAAATTAGCCGGTCATGGTGGCGGGTGCCTGTAATCCCAGCTACTCTGGAGGCTGAGGCAGGAGAATCGCTTGAACTCAGCAGGCGGAGGTTGCAGTGAGCCGAGATCATGCCATTGCACTCCAGCCTGGGCAACAAGAGCAAAACTGTGTCTCAAAAAAAAAAAAAAAAAATCTACTTGTTACACACACATATCCTCAGTTGCAACCCATCTTGAGATCCAATTTCTTTTTTTCTTTCTTTCTTTTTGAAACGGGGTCTCACTCTTTCATCCAGGTAGAGTACAGTGGCATGAACATGGCTCACTGAAGGTTCAACCTCCTGGGCTCAAGCAATTCTCCTGCCTCAGCCTCCCAAGTAGTTGGGACTACAGGCATGCACCACTATGCCAGACTAATTTTTTGACATTTTGTAGAGATGGGGTCTCACTTTGTTGCTGAGGCTGGTCTTGACTACTCCTGGGCTCTGAGATCTAATTTCTTTCTTTCGAGACAGAGTCTTGTTCTGTTGCCCAGGCTGGAGTGCAATGGCACAACTTGGCTCACTGCAACCTCCACCTCCCGGGTTCAATCAGTTCTCCCTGCCTCAGCCTCTCAAGTAGCAGGATTACAGGTGCCCACCACCATGCCCAGCTAATTTTTGTATTTTTAGTAGAGATGGGGTTTCGCCATGTTGGCCAGGCTGGTCTTGAACTCCTGACCTCAGGTGATCTGCCCGCCTCTGCCTCCCAAAGTGCTGGGATTACAGGCATGAGCCACTGTGTCTGGCTGAGATCTAATTTCTAACTGTGGCATTGATAGAAGCGTGGTGTCTCCCAAATCTAATTCCATACCACAATCTTTCTTGAAAAGCCTTAACTCTTCAATTTCAATGTCATACAAGAAGGTGATTGTGGTTGTGTTGGAGCAGAAAGAGAAAGATCCAGAGAACGAGATTTGTCACTGTGATTCACCTAACATGGGTTTTATAGACAGACATTTCTGTTAAAGGGAATTTTACTTTCTTGAGCTACAAATTGGTTACACAGACGTGATAGATATTTTTAGTGAGATAAGTAAAAAGTACATAATCATTTGTATTTCTATAGCACCAAGGTGACACATTTATGATCTTGGAATCAATTTTGTAGACACAGGTGAGAACGCTGTCACTGCACCAAAGGCGTCAGTAGCTTTTCTCTTTTTACACACATTAATATCCTCCCACTGTTACAGTCACCACCTTGTCTCATCTTCTTCCAGCCTTTAGTCTCTACATGGTTCACTAACAGGTTTCCCTGCCTCCAACTATGTTACTATTCATTACTCTTCCTAAAACATAATGTGTGGTGGTCACAAAGTTCTGTAACTTCTTGATGTGTCTTTGTCTCTCTATAAAATAAAAATAAAATCAGTATCTAGATGGGGTATTGTGGGAAGTGAAAGTATTTGCCAACTGCTTACATGCAACAGTACAGCTTTTAATTGCTTTAAATGACAGCATCACATTAAGTGGTCAAGTACCCACCACCTCCAATTCTTCTCCACATCCTTGCAACTCAACCTACTTAATATTTCTTGAATCTGCATTCTCACTCCCCACTGCCATTCATTATTCCTTCCTGGGTTATTGCAATAGTTTCCAAACTGGTCTTCCTTTCCCTTTGCCATCACACAGGCATACAAACTAACCCCTCCAGTTCACATCTGATTACATCCCTGTTCCTCACCCGACTATCAGGCTCCCTATCCTTCCAGGAAAAAATCCAAATCACGTAGCATGTCCTAAAGTGCTCATACAACCCCTGTCTCCTGTTCTGAACTGCAATTTCTCATCCCAGCATCTTTTTATCTTTGCTGGTCAGTTCCTACTCCTTCTTTAAAATGCAGCATTCATAGACTCATCCAGTGTTCGTCTCCTCTCCTGCGTCTGTATCCCCTTGCCTGCATTGATCATTCTGTATTCCAGTTGTTCTTCTCTTCTAATAGACCATCACTCTGAGAACAGACAATCATTTTATCTCTAGTTCTCCAGTACTTAGCACAGTGCTGCTCAGTGAATGACAAATGAATTTACAAGTAACAAAGAGCAATGATCAAAAGAAATTATGTTTTAACCTTAGACCAATCTTTTCTGAAAAAATTTGGAAGATACAAGAGAGCTAAATAATGTCAACAAGAAGTTTAAAAAGAAACACATCAGCAAGAGACCACATTAAGCAATTATACACATGTAGCTACGTTGCAAGAGAACGTAGCATGTCAAAATGATGACAGGTTTTTAACAATGAGACAAATGAAGTGCAGAGAAGTCAGATAGATGGTGGTAGAACCAAAACCACAATCCCATGTACACCGCTCCTTCTACTGTACTGCTGCTTCCAGTTGATGAGAAGTCATGGGCAGTCCTAACAAGATTACTGTCACAAAAACTCGCCTCGAGGACCGACTTATTATCCAATAAATTCAGACAAATACAGGTAAGTGTACTTTCTTGGTAAAATGACACATGCATTTCCTGCCTGCACATAAACAGTCCCTGCCCTTTGTTCACAAAATATCAGTAACTGTATGATAAAATAAATGTTTTTGTGAAGCAGATGATTGCTCATGAAAACGTTATAGCTAGGGGATGAGTCACTGCATAAGCTCAGGATCAAATAAATTTTATATACAATCAAGGAAATCTTAGCAAAGTTTAAACATCTATAAACTTTCCTTTAGCATTTAAAATAAAATTGTACTCCATATAACACAAAATGGATAGATTTATTATATGTATTGCTTTTGCAAGGGATTATGAAGTCCATAAAATGTGCATGTAATATAACTTGATTGTATCACAAATATGATTTAAACAAATATGCTTGCTGGGCTCAGTGGCTCACGCCTGTAATCCCAACACTTTGGGAGGTCAAGGTGGGAGGATCATTTGAGGTCAGGAATTGGAGACCAGTCTGGCCAACATGATGAAACCCTGTCTCTACTAAAAATACAAAAAATTTAAAAAAATTAGCTGGGCATGGTGGTGCATGCCTGTAGTCCCAGATATTCAGGAGGCTGAGGCAGGAGAATCCCTTGAACCTGGGAGGCAGAGGATGCAGTGAGCTGAGATTCAGCCATTGCGCTCCAGCCTGGGTTGACAGAGCTCGACTCTGTTTCTACCAAAACCAAAACAAAAAAACAAAAACCCCACAAACAAACAAACAAAAAACCCAATATGCTTGCCTTAACTACCAAGGCTTAAGGTGCTCTTTAAGAATCACCATGTTTGCCTTTTTTGATCTTTAATTTTTCAAATTTACTGAGATCCTTTTTTTTTTTTTTTTTTTTTTTTTTTACTTTTTGAGGGAGTACAGATCTATAGATCTTAACACAAATATAGATTCATGTAACTGCCACCACAATCGGGATACAGGACAGTTCATCACCCCCAAAACTTCCTTGCATTGCACCTTTGTAGTAAAATCCTTCTTTAACCCCTACCTCCTCACAATCGCTGATCTACTCTCTATCCCTATAACTTTGCCTTTTCCAGAATATCATATACATAGAATCTTTTAGTATGTAACCTTTTGAGACTGGCTTCTGTCACTCAACACAGTGCCTTTGAGATTCATCCACACTGTTGTATGCAGCAGTTCTTATTCTTGAGTAGTAGTCTGTTGTATGACTATACCAGAGCTTGTTTATCCATTCACCTGTTGAAGGCTATTTGGGTTGATTTGGTGATTATGAATAGAGCTACTATTAATATTTGCATATAGATTTTTTGTGTGAATAAAGTTTTAATTTAATTAGGGCAGATACTCAGGAGTGGAACTGTTGGATCATACAGTAAGGTTAGCTTCAAAGACACTGCAAAAGCGTTTTCCAGAAGGACTGCACCATTTGGCATCCTTAAGAGCAAAGTGTGAGGGCTCCTCTTGGTCTGTATTTTTGACATAAGTTGGTATTGTCAATTTTCCAAAGTGCCATTAATTCTAATAGTTATGCCATTGTGGTGTTAATTTTCATTTTCCTAATGGCTAATGCTATTCAGCATCTTTGCATATGCTTATTTGACATCCATATATCTTCTTTGGTGATGTATCTGTTCAAATATTTTGCCAATTTTTAAATCTTCTTACTATTGATTTTTAAAATTATTTTTAAATCGTAGTCTTATTGCTGAGTTTTGAGAGTTCATTATATGTTCTGGATACAAATTCTTTGTCAGGTATGCTATTTGCAAAATGTTCTCAGAGTCTATAGTTTGCCTTTTCATCCTCTTAATAGTTTCCTATTTATAGAGCAATCATTTTAAATTTTGATAAAGAATAATATATTAATTTTTAAAATAGATCATGCTTTTGATGCAACATCTAAGAAGTCTTTCCCTAACCCATGGTCAGGAATATTTCCCCTATATTTTCTTTTAAAAATTTTATAGTTTTATATTAACATTTATATCTATAATCCATTTTTACTTACTTTTTGCATGTGACATAAGGTTCAGATCGAGGTAGGTTTTTTTTTTGGTTCAGATCGAGGTAGGTTTTTTTGTGTGTGTGTGTATGGGTGTGCAATTTCTCCAGTAACATTTGTTGAAAAGACTACCCTTTCTCCATTAAATTGCCTTTTTCCGGGCCGGGCACAGTGGCTTGCAGCTCATGCCTGTAATCCCAGCACTTTGGGAGGCCAAGGCAGGTGGATTGTGAGGTCAGGAGATTGAGACCATCCTGACTAGCATGGTGAAACCCCATCTCTACTGAAAATGCAAAAAATTAGCTGGGCGTGGTGGTGTGTGCCTGTAGTCCCAGCTACTCAGGAGGCTGAGGCAGGAGAATCACTTGAACCCGGGAGGTGGAGGCAGAGGCTGCAGTGAGCCGAGATCACGCCACCACACTCCAGGCTGGGCGACACAGTGAGAATCCTTCCCCACCCCCCAAAAAAAAGCCTTTTTTTCATTCACATTTCCCCAAATTGCATCTTTGCCAAAAATCAATTGGCCATATTTGTGTGGATCTATTTCTGGATTCTCTATTCTGTTCCATTGATGTCTGTGTCTATTCCTTCACCAGTATCACACTATCTTGATTACTGCAGCTTTATAGCTAATCTTAAAATTAGAGAATATGTTCCTCTAATTTTATTCTTCTATTACAGAATTATTTTGATTAGTCTAATTCCTTTGCCTTTCCTATAAATTTTAGACATTATCTAGATCTACAAAATATCCTGCTGGGATTTTGATGGGCATTGTACTGAATCTATAAATTTGGGGATAATTAAAATATGAACTATATTGAACATCCAATTCATGAATATGGTATGCTGTTCCATTTATCTAATTAGAGTCTTTGATTTCTTTCATCTGTTTTGTAGTTTTTAGCATATGTACTCTGATATCCTTTTTAGGGTCAGGTCCACACACACAGTGCAGCTTTGGAGTTAACCCAGGAGTTTATCCATAATTTTATGGGCTCACTTTCCTAAGCCTCCTCCTATCTGAAATCTCTCCATGATTTTCTGCTTCCCAGGTATCCCCTTCATCTTCTGGTTGAAAAGCCAGGGCTTCGATTTCCCTGTACTGCTGTGCATGTTCTGGAAACTGCATATGCTTGTGGGGCAAAGTGGTGAGAGGTTAGCGAGAGAAAAGACTGCAACAAGGATTCTCTTCGTATTATTCGAACCGAAATTGCTTTGATTTGAGAAAATGATTCTTTTTCCTTGGAGTGTCATCTATGAGTGAGGCTTCTAGCAGTCCTTCACCAGGAGAGTTGCTCAGGGCCTCTCTCATAAGCATATGTACAAAAAGTGAAAGTAAGTTAATTTTTGACTTAATTACTTAGGTGGCTAGAAGCAGCAAATCAAAGAGAAGGATTGAGACTGCTGGTAAAGATTTGTTACAGCAGTGAAGAATGATCACTAACTTAGCAAAACTGTAACGAGCAGATATAATGCTTTACTGCCTGGGGCCGTTTAGTGCAGGGGCAAACAGCTCAATGGACTAGAACACATCCTGTTATAACATCCTCCAGTGAACTGTAGGAACATCAAGCTGTTACATTACATTCTAAAACTTTGAAATGATGAATCCATGATATCAAGAAAAGATCAATTATGTTCTAATACTCTTTCTGAGAAGACAATTATACCTAAATCATAAAATTTTCACATCTAGAGAGATAAACTATACCTATCCAGAAAATTTTGCTACCTAGCATGATTTCACTATTTAGAATGCCCAAGTTCCCAGAAGTTCTATACAGCTAAGATTTTACTCTATTAAAAGGTCTATGATGCCAAAAATTATTAAACTCTGTTCAACAGAAATACAATTCAAGCATGTGTAATTTTAAATTTTCTAGTAGCAACATTAAAAAAGTACACAGTAACAGGTAAAATTAATAGATTTTACTTAACTCAATCCAAATATGTTAATATGAAATCAATTTTTAAAAATTATTGAGATATTGTGCATTCTTTTCTGCATTATCAAGTCTTTGGAATCCAATGTATATTTTAAACAGAGTACATCTCAATTTAGATCCTACATTTTCATCAGAAAGACTTGATCTATAGATCTTATAAAATGAATAGTTCAAAAAGTAGCTTCTCATGCTCAAGTTGTTCCACACATACCCAAAAAGTTTCCCAATAAAAAGAAGCAAGTACTAAAAATGTACTTTCATGTAGCACTCAAATCCACATTGACACAACTGGTTCATATTTTTTTTTAGAAGAACTGATTTGGCTTTGAAGCAAAAGCATAACAGTTTCAAAACTATGCCTGTCCAAGTTTAGTAAATTCACTAACTTTTGTGTCAACTCATTAATATTACCATTGAATTCAAAGGGGTATTACATAAATCAAAACTCAACTATAAATTATCAATACTAATGAAACATTCTTCAAATTTTACTCAACTTTGCAGTCAATTTTAATGCTGTCAATTAAAAATAAAATCTGCATATTGGTTTTTTAAAAATGTATAAAACTGTTATTAATTGGTGCCATGAAAAGTTTCCATTTTAATATAAATACGTGTGATGGGTTGTTTTCCCCTCAAAAATGAAATGTTAAAGTCCTAAGTCCTAGTACCTCAGAATGTGACCTTATTTGGAGACAGGGTCCTTATGGAGGTAATCAAGTGAAAATGAGGTCATGTAGGTGGGCTCTAAAACAATCTGACTGATGTCTTTATAAAAAAAGGAAAATGTGGACACAGATAGGCACACAGGGAAAATGCCATGTGAAGAGACAGAGTAAAGATGGTCATCTACAAGCCAAGGAGTGTCTGAGGCAACCAGAGGCTGGGAGAGGGCCGGGAACCAATCCTTCCCCAGCGGCTTTAAACGGACCATGGCTCAGCCCACACCTTATTTCAAACTTCTGACCCCTAGAACTTAACAAACGTTTGTTAACAAAAATTGTAATAGGTTTCTAGGGCTGTTGTAACAAATTTTTGTTACATGACCCAGTTTATGTTCCTTTGTTACAACAGCTCTAGGAACCTAATAAAATATTTCTTCCCGTGTAACTAAGTCACAATTAAGCTTTTCCTTTCATTGTGTTCAAATACAAGGTGTGTTCAACATAATCTGACAATACACAGTGATTAAGAGCATGACGCTGGAGTCAGACTTAGGATGAGATTCAAAATGAGTTTTTCCATAGGCACTGTGATATCAGATTAAAAAACAAACTACCCTGCCAGATTTTATCTTCGATTCCTGCATATTTGGCAAGCAATTCTTTTGTTTCAAGAAAATCTTGAAATTAATCATGTAGGTTTTCTTGACTTAACTGAGCATTGGCAAAGGGGACAAGATCAAATTCATGGTCTTTTATTTCTTTCAACAATTTCATACATTGGTGATGATTCATAGTATTTGCAGAAGTTATATTGCTGCAAGAAAAATCACATTAGATACCTAAAACATGAGAAGAAAGACATAATTCTATTCTGGAATGCAGTATGGTATAGAGAAAAGAGCTTTAGAACTAAGCATACCAGGGTTCCATTCTCAACTCATGTTTCCAACAGGGTGACTTTGGGCACGTCCCTTGACCTTTCTGAGTTTCAGATTCCTTATCTGCAAAAAAGGAACAATACCCCCTTCCTACGCATAGTGCTATTGGGAGATTAACTTAGATGGCTTAGTTAAAAGTCCCCAGTTCACTTCACATAATAAATGGCAGTTGCCATCCTCTTTCCTGGGATCCTTTCGGAGAATATCTATCTGTTATTTTATCTCCTGAAAGAGTTCCTGGCTGCCAAGTGTAACTTTTATTCATGCTCTGGGTTCTCCAGCAGCTTGTTAAAAAGTTCCAGACACCTACTAATCACTTTCCTTCTCATGTCACACTGCTTTCACAGCAAAGTCGCTCATTCCACCATACGTTAAGTTGTATGTAAAAATGTACAAAGTGTCTAGCCATACTTGTCTGATGGGTGAGATTCCACAAAATACCCAGCAAAGGGACAATAAATTCGGGGTTGCAGGTTCTTCACCAGCCGAGCCTTGTAGTTCAGGAGCTTCTTCCTTTCTGTTTTAATGAATTGGGCTTTCCATTCCTCTGAAATGACAGGATTTAGATTAGAGTCTCCTCTGCTGGAAAAATCACAGAAAAACACATGTTCTAGCAGATTGGAACTCTTTCAGGAGATAAAATTGATAGGTAACTAAGGCAGAAATAGAACAAGGCTCCATGTCATTAGTGGAGGATTTCCCCGGAGTTTTTATCTTGGAAATTTCAATTGGTTACTAGGAAAATGTTACCAAGCCAGCCAAAGGCACTGAGCTTTCTCCTTGTATATGGCAATTCATTCGGACCCTAGCTGAATACACAGGGTAGGATGCATAATCGTAGTTGGTGTGCATGCACATTTTAAGGGCATTGTAATTCTTGAAATTAACTCTTTACTAACATGAAAATGGCTTCATTATATTTGTAGATTATAACAGGTGTGTTCAACATAATCTGACAAATACACAGTGATTAAGAGCATGACGTTGGAGTCAGTTAGGTTGAAAATCCTGACCCACCACTTACTGGTTGGGCAGCCTTGGGCAAACTACCTAACTTCTCCATGTCTGTATCTTCTCTGTAAATGGAGTCATGATGCCCCTCTCACAGTGCCGTTCATTTGCTTATTCATTCACGTAACCAATATTTATTGTGCACCTACTCTGTGTCAGACGTGGTTCTAGCCACTGGGAATAAAGTGGTGAACAAGGCAAAGCAGGTCCCTGCTCTCATGGAGTGTTCATTCTAGTGAGAGAAGCAAATAATGAACAAGTAAATAAAGTCATTGCAAAGAATGATGCACCGTGAAGAAAATAAAACAGGGCAATGGAACAGAGAGTGGCTGGGGTGAGTGGGATGAGATGGAGGGAATCATTAGACAGGATGGTCAGTGAAGAGGTGACATTTGAGTTGAGACATAGATGAAAAGTTGCTGGTCACATGCAAATCAGGGCCAGCTGCACTCCAGGAAATGGAAACAGCAAACACAAAGACCCAGGGCAGGTGTGCACTTGACACTTTGGGTCTAAGAAACAAAAAGCAGGATGGGCTGATATATAGCAAGCATCAGAGTGACAGGCAGTGAAGGAACTTGAGGAATTAGACAGGACGCAGAACATACAGGGTAGAAGGTCAGAGAGCTGTTACTGTTATTGTTTCTATAAAATTTGACAAACACAGACAAGGATACAGAAAAAATATACAAGCTACCCATCACCTAGACATAATATTTTGGTATATTCAAGACCTTTTTAAATGTATATGTGTGTACTCACGCACATGTGCACACACACACAAACTCACCATCACACAGAATGGCATGATGCTAGTTAACCCTTAATAAGTATGTTTTACCTTCCCAGTCACACTTTTAACTTCTTAAGGACAGAACCTTCCCTCTATTTCTCATGTGGTTACACACTCCGGGAGGCAATGAATATAGACTTAGAGAAGAAAGCAAAGAACGGGACAAAGGTTATCTTCATATTGCAAAGCAGGGCATTTTCTGCCACACTGTTAGACAGGGATCACTTATCAGATACATTAATTTATTAAGTGGACATGTATTGAGCACTTACAATACTAGTGTTGAGGATACACACTTCCCCAATGTCAACCCCAACCCCACTCTTGGACCCAGAGCAGAAGGGCTCCTGCCTAAGACCCCCAACCAGAGGACCCTCCTCTGGGTGCACTAGAGGTCCCCAACTAGAGGACTCTCTTCTGGGCACACTGCTCCCTGATATGAGCATCCACAGTGCCAAGGGGATGTGTCTACATTGAGGCTGCACACACCCCATTAGGAACCATATTCCAAGAGCACCTAAGCCTGGATGACCCACTTCAGGCCTTTCCTGTTCTGCTCTACGGTCTACATGGTGAATCCAGATGATTCTCTTTCTTGGCTCCTCCTGAGGTGCTCTCAGATCTCAACATTTCCTTCATGCTCCATCATGTTTTGAGCTAGAAACCTTAGTTGGTAATCTGCAACTTACAAATCTGGTTTCCCAATAAGATTGCATGCTTCTTGTGGGGAGGGATCATGTCTCAATTACATTTGTATTTACTCTTACAGCATTTAGCAATGTGCCATGCGTGATACTTGGTATCACTTTCATACAAAATATTACCCGTAAATTTTCCACCACTGAAAGTCATTGGAAAGCCTGATGCTCCTCCAGCAAAATCACTCATCATTAGAGCAACCTTCATAGGCAGCCTTCCCCCATTGGGTCTGGTGCAGTCTACTATATTGAGTATTTTATGACCTGTGGAGAAACAAAGAGGTATAGATATTCAAGGTGAAATCTTGAACACCCATAGTTTGAATTCCAAGACAAGGACTTCTGTATACAGTCTGTATAATTGAACTTATTTGATTATAGAAGAATTGATTATATCAAAGGAAAAACAAACAGTAAGATTTTAAAACTTAAAGCTTTCAATAGTATATTTTCTGAATTTTCAAGCGACTAAATTCATCCCATTTGACTTGGTGGATACTAGGTGTCTCATGAAGACTTTTATCTTAATTCCACTCTAGCTCATAGATAGACTGCTTTCTTCTGTCAACTTTTTCCAGGTGTTGAGCCCAAAGGATCAGAAAAAAGTGGATTAACATACTTCCCTGTACCTTTTGCAAATTACATGCAAAGCTCATATTCAAATGATTGTTGGGGCAGTAAGGCCATCTTTTCATATGAAAAGCAGTGCATGATTATATTACATGATATTTCTAGGTGAAAGTAATAAAAGACATTTATTTAATAAATGTAGTTTTGAAGAAATCACTATAGGTGGAATGTAAAATATCTATTGCCTTATGAAAGAAATCTTTGCTCCTGTCACTATCTAGATGACATTATTTCTAATTTGTTTTCTGGAAAAATTATTTGAAAGATAGCTCCATATTTCTAGAACAAGGATATAACACGCTATATTCTTTCAAAATGGAGCTAAAAGATGAACATGTGATGAAATTTCATATAGATATTACCATCCTTCCTATTAAGAATGTTTTCCATTTTTCGTTATCAATGGGGATAAAAACATACCTTTGTACTCCACAATAATGCAAGTGTCCATCTCAGGATGAACACCGTCCATCAAGATCATGAATCGAAGATTTTTGTCCACCTGGAATTTAACAACAAAACCAACAACTGTGAATTTCAGTTTGGTTTTTAATTCAGTATTTGAGAAGGTAATCACCTGTTCTGGAAAGACTGGTCAATTGAACCTCACATTTGAAGAAATTTCCTTATTCAGAACTAGATTTATTACCTGTTCTGTAGAGTTGTACTATAATAGTATGGGTTAATAGAAAGAAAATCATCTTTGCCCAGGACAGTCTGCCTAACATTTGAATCACAAATAGAGGTTGTGTTTATGCAGTATCAGGGACATACCACATTGACCCATTTTTTCCTTAATCTTACGGTGACTATCTCACCTAACATTCATCACAGAAAGCATAACTGGAAAGCATGGAAAGAAAGCAGATTTCTGACCTGCTGCCATATTCCAAATGGCACGACATTGATATTAGTCAACTGGACACCGCTCTGATTCAGATTCCAAAATACAGGCCTTTCTGTGTTTCCAACATAAATGGGAATATCTGGTCTTCTCCCAGCAAGCTTTTTCAGTGTGGGGTAACTAGGATAAGACAGATGGAAAGGTTGAAAAGAGAAAAAAATAGTGTCATCTAGTATGACAGACAGTTTGTTCCTTATACCAACATATTGACAGAGAAGTGAGGAATTGAAAAACTGGACTCTCACCAGAGTCCAGAGAAAAGTTTCTGTTCAAGGATGACTGTGAAAGTGACGGGAGATTCTGAGGGGATTCATCTTTGTTGTTAGAACATATCAAATGCTCATGGTGTGGACATCAACCAGGTAGGTAAGTTCCATTTTCCACAGTGATGCTGCTTGAAGGAGGGGTAGTTCTAACAGTAGGCACAGACGAGAAAAAGTCATGCTGTAGAGGAAAGAAATGAAGATCACGGAGATCCTCATTTCTTTGCATGCTTCAAGCAGTAGCTCTCAGTAAGAGAGAGGACTGGGACATAGTACAGGACAAAAGCCCATGTCTCGGACCATTTTGGGGGTTGGTTTTTCAACCTTCAAAGATTCTGTCCCTTTTTAAGGATAAATAATATATTTTGTATATTAAAGCCACACTTTAACAGACTATATTATTCATCCTTAAGGAGGGACAGAATTACCAGCTAGGCAAGACAGTAAAATTTAGTGTTGAGGAACTACATCCAACATTTGTAGTAATCCCAACTCAGTGCACAACAATCATCCAAGTATTTTTGACTATCTAGACATATTAAGTCGGCTTTTATTTATTGAGCATTCATTATATAACAGAGTTATTATACCACTGTAGGGTGTGGTAGAAAGTTGAATAAACAAACAAATGATTACACATCTATTATATTTCAAACTTGGTGCTGGGGCAGTTTTACATACTATGTTAGTCAATTCTTATCAAAAAGCTATGAATTTTTTGTTTTTGTAGATGAGGAAACATTCAGAAATATACAACACACAGTAAACTGGTATTCAAATTTGGGTTTTCTGATTCTAAACCTAGTGCTTCTTCTATAAGAAGAAAGTTTCTAACTTTAATGAACATATTATCTGGTTTAAGAATCAGACTTGTACACAGAGTATAAGATCAGGTAAAATAAGATATATAATCATAGGAAAAGTATTTTAAAAATCTGCATATCAACACTTGGCTGTACTAATATTCAAGTTCCAGCATTGCGTTAAAAGCTATCCAAATAAGTAGAATCTGGAAGGAAGTGAGGGGAGCAACAACCTTTCTCCCCAAAAAACAAAAGATTCAAAAAATCAATGATTCTTTGAATGTACCTTCAATCTCTGGGTTCAGCAACGAAATCCTGCATTTTAAAGGACTTTGGGAGTTACGGTAAGTTATTTTAAAATGGATGTTCATTGCTTTGGATTTTTCAATTGCTAATAATTCTTACTGGCAATCCACCAAAGTACACTGGCCTTTTCCCTTGTTTTTTGTAAACCAGGGAGGCTTTATTCAGTAAATAAAGGTCAGACAGAAGGGTCGGGGACAAGCAATCTTGATGTTTATTAGTTGATTAGGCAAGAGTCGAAAAGTAAGGGTCTATCAAGGAAATAGACCCAACGGAGTAAAAATCACAGGCTTTGGCCCCTTTTCAATAATAAACTATCTGCAACACACTGCACAACCAATGTGTTGTGATACTATAGTTGAAAACTGTTGTTTTAATGCATGACAACTGTCCACACAAGCCCCTGAAATGAAACTAAATTGGTTTTCAGGACAGTAGTTACAGAATAACTCAACTAAATGAGTTCTTACCCTCCCTGAAAGTTCTTACCCTTCTTAAATTTAGTGTGTTCCCATAGAATGTCTCTCATTAAGACTTTAGGTAATTGTATCTTAGACACTATAAAGCGATCATATCATTTATGTGCTGTTGTCCCTACACAAGCTATATAAAATTATTACCACACTTTACTGTTATTGTACAACAAATGAACTCAGGGCTCTTGTAATCCTGAAATTATGCAAGTATAGTTCCAGGAGGTAGTGTGGGACAAAGGTATCATATAAAGTAGAATTTTAGTTGTAGTACCACAGTATCCTAGGGGGTTGTGATCAGTTAAGAAATATGTTGCAGGCAATTTGTTACTAAATCAGTTAATTCAAAAAAACAAAACAAAAACAAAAACAAAAACAAACACTTCCCTGAAAAATAAATCAGAGCATATCCACACTTTAGAGTTCCCATATGCTTTAGAATAAAATATCAAGGGGCCAGTCAACCAGCAACCAACATGTTATCCCTAACCATTTTGTCATGTAGGGTCACAGAAAAACAAAGTCGAATTGCTTGAGTAGCACATTATGGGCATTGCTGTGTGTTTATACTGGCAATCTAGCAGAAGTGATACAAATTTCAAAATAATGATGAAGAAATATGACCCTATAGTTAAGCAAAGGAATTGAGAATATGAGCTTCCCTCTTCTAATAGCTCAGTACCTTTGCAAATACGTGTGGTTTCTTAACTTAAAGTCCTCCTTTCTCCCTCCTTTTTAATTGTCTGGGTCAGGGAAAATTTCAGTTGCTATCATTAGTATCATATTACTCTGGTTCCAATGAAACATTGGGTGAGGTTCAGTCAGGATTACTACGTTGGGTGTTTAGTGTTAGGATACTATAAATCAGGGCTTGGCAAACCATGTGTGGGCCGAATCCAACCTGCTGCTACTTGTTTATGTACAACCTTGCAAGCTAAGAGTGGCTTCTTTCTTCTTTTGAAGCTTGCCCACAGCTGAGGAGATGGTTTTTACCTTTTTAAATGGTTGTAAAGAAAATCAAAAGGACAATGATATTTTGTAATACATGAAAATTATATGATATTCACATGTCATTATCCATAAATAAAATTTGATTGGAACACAGTCAGTCTTATTCAGGACCATCTATGGCTGCCTTTGGGTTACAACAGCACGGTTGAGTGGTTGCAACTCTCACTGTATGGCTTGCAAAGCCTAAAATATTTACACTCTGGCCCTTTATAGAAAATGTGTTCTGCCTTAGGGTGGGAAGTGAGACGGTTATTCATCCTCCCCTATCTTCCTTACAATAGCTCCTTCCTCACTCCCAATGGTGTAAAGTGTAGAAATGCTTTTCTATTTGTATAATTTTATGGGGTACAAGTGTAATTTTGTTACAACCAAAGATTGCACAGTGGTGAAATCAGAGCATTATTAATCCTAATCATGTACCTTTTATCCATTAAACAATTTATCATCATTCACCTACTTGCTACCCCCTCACCTTTCTAAACCTCCAGTGTCTGTCATTCTACTCTCTACGCCTATTTGTGCACATTATTTAGCTCCCACTTATAAGTTAGAACATACCATATTTGTCTTTCTAGAAACAGTTTTAAAAGTATAAACTTTCTATGCAAATGTAAATATTTATCTTAATTAGTCCTTTTTTCATCATCCCAACTGAACCTACTTCAAAGTGAGCAGTGATTGCAAAAGAATCGGAGAACATTTGATGCCTTTCCTGCAGCATGAGCTTAGGAGTTGTGTGCTCAGGACTTCATTACCTCAGGTGGTCTGAGTGCAGATGACTGATGTAAATGAGGTCTGCCTGGCACAGCCTCTCCAGCCAATCAGATGGAGGCTCATGGAGCAACCACCATCCACGGGCAAAAGCAGGACCGATTAACCAAGGGTCAAACACCATTCTCTTGTCTCCTAACTTGAGGTCCATGCAGGCATGAGTGAGATATGTTATCTGTTAAAAGAGAGTGAGATCCCTATTACTGAATCGTTCATTACTGGTCAGCAACAATGAACTGAAATGTTTGGTTTGGGTGGCTGACATAGTACACAGGCTGGAGTACTTTGCTTCTAAGCATGATCAGGCAAAATCTTGGACTCAAATACATTCCAAAAAGAGCCTTTCATAGAACACGGTTCCCAGCACAGGTCATGACTTTATTCAAATATAAATTCTCATGGTTAGTTTTAGATGACAAATCAATTTGTTTACCTAGTTTTAGTTTATTTAAATTAGTTCCTAAACAGTTATTTACAGTCCACACTGAAGAATATATTTTGTGATCAGTCCTTTAAAGCATACTTTACAAGGAAAGGCAGTTAGAGATGTTATCACAAACATCTGGGGATTTAAATGCCAGAGTGGCTGTGAAGAGCAATATGAATGGATGATTCTCGTGAGTTTGGTGGGTTGGCATAGCCACGCAGACTCAACTGACAACTGGCTGAACAGGCTTGCAAGACTTTCTCTTCTAAATTACCTGTTAAATAATTACTCCTTCTGGATGCCAAGGTCCTCTAAGAATGGACACAAACAGTGACTTAGAGACTGGCACCATGGGGATTCCAAATCCAATTCCTCATTCTCTTGCCACAGCCTGGCACCTCCATGGAAAAGGAATGTATTGAGAAGCAGAGATGAGATAGCGGGAACGTCATGTGAAAAGGCAACAAAGTGGGTGAGGAAAGGTCAAGGCATAGATTAGTTTTTATTATGTCTATTCCGGGCAGGTTCTCATTTGTTTCCTTAAAATTAGCTGCCCAAATATACATAAACTTCCTAAATACACAGAAAAATAAATTTTTGATTGTGTACCTCTCCCAAACTATTAAAGTGTTTCCTCTGAAGGAAATTCTCTTCTAAAGCCAGAAAATACAACCAGCCATTCTATCCAGTAGTGATCTGGCATCAAATAGTTTTGCATGAGTTTCCTTAGGGATTTTTCCCAAAGTTTTGTATTGTTTTTTTCCTTGTAATCCCTGCCAAGTTCTGGGGGTTCCTTAAAGAATTTGTTTTATCATATGACTTTTTACCATATGTCCTAAATACCCATCTCAAACAGTATTCAAGGTAATATAGGATGTTTACAGATATAGATGTTAAATGGACATCTTGGTCACGTTTTTGTTTTTAATAATATTATCCTTTTAATATTTCCTTACCTGTACTTCTCCAAAAGCCAACTCTTCAGGAGATCTGGGCTGTAAGTCCCAAGGGTTAGGAGGATTCAGTTCTAAAAGCAAAAGTCCGTTGTTTTCATCCATTTCAACAACTAGAATCAAATGAGAACAAATCTGGATTAATGACAAAAATGGCTTTTTAAAAGCATCACTGAAATAGGAATGCATGGTCTTCCAAAGATCAAAGGAAAATCAAAACAAAGGGTGCCACTCCCTTAGATCAAGCAATATCTGCAGAGACTATGACTTAAGATGAACACCAATTCATTTCTTTATTCATATGGCACTTAGAGAACTTATGAGGTCTCAGTCATGTCAGGGATACACATATACAAACAAGACTTCCTTACGACTAAATGAATGATTGATAGAGATGACTTCGAGGCGCTATGGGAATGCACAGGGAGGGGCATCTGATCTGCAAAAATGACACACATTCAGTAGAAACCATACTCTGAATTTTTATCTTTTCTGGGCTAGTGATACACAGTAAGATGCTGGGCAGCGGTAGCGGGTGCAGCTCCCAGTCAGCCATGTGCAATCACAAGGGTAAACACCAGATACTCTACAGTGGACCATGTTGCCAGGTGATTGTGCCCAACTGCAGGCTAATGTACATGTTCTGAGTATGCATACAGCATGTTAGGCTAAGCTACGATGCTTGGTAGGCTAGGTGTATTAACTACATTTTGACTTACAGTACTTTCAACTTATGATGAGTTTATCAGGACTTCACACCATGTGTAAGTTGAGGAGCATTTGTATACAATTCTGCTAATTAATTATACCTCAATAAAGCTGAGGGAATAGAGAATAGCTATCCTGAAGCCCCATTCAAAAAAGTGATTACCTCCAGAGCATGGGTGGGAGGATATGTGATATAATCAAGGAAAGATATATATTCTGTTGTTAATATTTTATGTCTTAAGCTGGGTGCTGGGTACATGGGTGTTCACTTAATTTTTAATACCTTTTAAACATTGCTTAAGAAAATGTAATAAAAATATTTTTCTTAGTCATAACTATCACCTTATTTAATGGTGAAACACAAATGGCTTTCTTAATAAAATCAGGAATACATAAAGAATGCATTATTGAACGATGTTCCTGAAAATGCAAGTGGTATAATGAAGGTACATATTATTATTTCAAGGTTATATGATTGTTGAAAATTAGAGTCATGAACTAGAAAAAATGCTGGCTTTGGGAACATGTGGGTGGGAATCCTATTTCTGCTGCTTATTAGCAGTATCCTGAGCCTCAGTTTTCTGATCTATAAAATTATGATACATAACTTCATAGAGTTGTCGTGGAGGTTAGATGAAATAATAGATACTAAAGTGTCTAGCACCATGCTTGGAACAAAGCAGGCATTTAATAAATAATAGTATTATTATGGTCATTATTTTATACTTAAAGGAATATATAGAACTTTAAAAGTTCATTGTAGGACAAACAAACCTATATACTAGCAAACTCGTTAGAAAAATACAATTGTATTATGGGAGACCCTCAGGAAACTCTTGCACTGATAGCTACCCCTTCTTAATTTTTCTTTTTCAAGAGATGCAGAAAAAAATAAGTCTGTAATTCTTCACTTGATCTTAGCCAAAAGGCCAAGAAGCAATTGTAACTCTTAATCATCGTTCTGAAGCAATTACCATAAAGATCGCTATGCTCCTTGCACAAAGATAAATTGCATAGATGCAACGAAGAATGTGACATCTGCCAACTATTATAAATAAATTCATGAGAATATAGTATTATTAATTTGACCTTACAAGCTGATAAAATCTAGGTCATTTGGGTTATAATTTTATCCAGAAAAAACAAACAAATGGTAGTCCCTAAAATCTTTTTTAAGGAAGAATAATGAAGGCGAAATGGAACAAAAATATACCATAAAACTATAATAATCAAATCACTGATTATTGACATTAGGTCAGCCAAAAAGTGGATCCTAATTATGTTAACTGTTTATTCTAAAGAAGGTATCATAAATATGTGGACCATCTAACATGGTGCTGTGGCAATTAGTTCTCTAAGTATTCTAGTTGATTAAGGACACAAAACGACCAAGCCATGAAAATGTATAAAATAGAATATCAAATATGAGAGGACTTTTAAATTTAATAGCAATGGAAATAATCCCAGTGGAAAATCTGAATAGATACAAATGTAAAATGAAAAACTTCTAACACCAAAACAATTTAGCAAACACATTTTGCCAAACTATATTTAGTGAAATATTAGCATCATATTTGACAGAAAAATGCAAGTAAAAACAATGAGATGCAATTTTTGCCTCAAATGAGAACAGTCTGAAAGACTAAGAATGTTCTGAGCTGGTAAGGTATGGGGAGAAAAGGCACGCTCATAAACCAGTCAGTGGGAGCAAAAATTTGTCAGTGCCAAAGAATGGATGGTAATGCTATACATATTAAAGAAGGCACATATGATGAACTCATTCATTCATTCATTCATTCGTTTAGGACATCAAGTGGAAAGGGTTGTGTTAGTCATACTTTCTAGTTCATGACATGTATCTGATCCATGCAAAGCTCTTTTCTTTTTAATCTTATTTATTTATTCCCTTTATCTCTAGTTCCCATTCTCATTTTCCTCCCCTCCAAGGTGCCATTCTAAATGTTTGTGCAAAATATGTATTATATTGTGTGTGTGTGCATTTTTAATTTATATAAATGGCATTAGGTCTCCAATCTGTTTCTTACTGTTTTTCACTCAACACTATGATTTTGACACCCATGATGTTGCCATGTGTACATCTAGCCCACATCTAACTGCAGTTGAGTATTCCACGGTTCATGTCTACCACATTTTACAAATTCACTCTCCCAGGGGTAGACTCCTAGGTTCTGTCACAACAGAATTTCTTTGAGGTATAAACAAGAGCAGGATTTATGGATCCTAGTATGTTCATAAACCTCATCAGAAGCCAGGTACAGTGGCACATGCCTGTACTCCCAGCTTCTAGAGAGGCTGAGATAGAAGGATCACTTGAGCCCAAGAGTTCAAGTCCAACCTGGGCAACATAGCAAGTCCCTGGCTCTAAAAACAAAACAAAATAAAAAGAAACAAGAACAACAAACAAAAAACTCATCTGGCTAGTTACTGCCAGATTACTCTTCAGAATGGCTGCAACAGCCACACTCCCATCACATGGATGAGGACTTCTACGTCTCTGACGTTTGGCATCATCTTAGCTTCTAGCTTTTTACTACTCTAAATGATGTAAAGTGAAACTTGCTTGCTTCACTTGCAGTTTTCTGATTACTACTTAGTAAGTATCTTCATATGTTTAATAGCCTTTGGGTTTATTCGGTAAAATGCTAGTTCATACTCTTTCTTCCCTTTTTATTTTTCTGTCTTTTTCTTGTCAATTTGCATTACTTCCTACTCTATGCTTGATATTAATCCCTTGTTGATTATAAACATTGCAAAAAACTCTCAAATTGTCATTATGTCTTTCAATTTTGTCCATGGTCTCCTTCATTAAGCAGAAATCTCATGTTAATAAAATCATATTCGTCCATATTTAAAATTTTTGTTGCCCTATGAGCTGTACTTTTGAAGTGTTATCCAAAGAGTGAAGAAGTGCCACCCTATCTCTAGATTGCAGAAATATACTCCTATATGTCTTCCATTACTTTCACATTGAGGCTATTGGGCCATGTGAAGCCCACCTTCAGGCTGAAGTATATGAAGGTTGGTGGTGAATGCTTTAATTGCCATACTATTTTACCAGTAATTCAACTACCTTATGAAACAACTCCAAATACAGAGAAGCTCTTAAACGCAAAAATACCAGTTTTAATTTTAAATAAAACTATGATGATCTTAAATTCTAACAGAAAAATGGCTAAATATATTAGTTAATATTTAATGTGAACATAAAATTATATGTGCATAGAATCTGACATTATGTCTAATATCATAATATTCACAAGATGCAAAAATGGTTTACATAAAATAACTGTTTGAAAAATTAAGTCTAACAAGAAAACTAGAGAACAGAACAGTTAGATGGAAGATTAACAGGGAATAGAAGACTTGAACAACACCATAAACTGACTGTACCTAATAGACATACAGAGAACACTTTACCTTGGGCCATAAAACAAGTGGACTTTATGCCACACTGGTTCAATATTTGAAAGATGCAAGGCTGATTCAACATTTGAAAATCATTCAATGTAACACACTGCATTAACAGAACAAAGAAGGAAACCACATCATCATCTCAATTGACACAGAAAGGGCATTTGAAAAAAATCCAACATCCTGTTGTCATAAAACACACTCAGAAAACTAATAGGCCAGGCGTAGTGGCTCATGCCTGTAATCCCAGCACTTTGGGAGGCCAAGGTGGGTAGATCACTTGAGGTCAGGAGTTTGAAACCAGCCTGGCCAATATGGTGAAACCCCGTCTCTACTAAAAATACAAAAATCAGCTGGGTGTGGTGGCACGTGCCTGTAATCCCAGCTACTTGGGAGGCTGAGGCAGGAGAATCTCTTGAACCTGGGAGGCGGAGGTTGCAGTGAGCAGATATTGCGCCACTGCACTTCTGCCTGGGCAACAGAGCCAGACTCCGTCAAAAAAAAAAAAAAAAAGGCATCTAAGAAAACCTGACAGCTGTTTTCCCCCTAAAAGCAGGAACCAGACAAGCAGTTTCCTTGGCTAAAACCTCCATTTCTACATGGAGGCAACTGAACGGGAAAATGACATAAAAGGTATCCAGTTTGTAAAGGAAAAAGATAACTGTCTCTATTCACAGATGACACAATCTTGTATATAGGACACCCTAAGATATCTACAAATGAAACTATTAAAACCTTCAAAGGATACAAGGTATTTTGAAAATCAGCAATATTCTATACGCTAGCCGTTAATTTTTAAATAAAATTTACAAACAATTCCATTTACAATAGCATCAAAAAGAATAAAATACTTAGGAATAAATTTAATCAAAGTAGTATAAAACTTATACTCTGAGAACTACAAAATATTGTTGAAAGAAATTAAAGAAGACTTAATAAATTAATAGACATTCCATGTTCATGGATCAAGACTGAGTATTGATAAGATGGTAATACTCCCTAAATTAATCCACAGTCAACACAATTTTAATCACAATTCTGGCTGCTTTCCCCCCCCATACCTCACCCCCTGGGAATTGACAAGCTGACCCTAAAGACTCAAGACAAGCTGGCCTAGAGTAACTAAACTATCTTTAAAAAGAAAATAAAATTGAAGGATTCACAATTCCCAATTTGAAAAACTTACTACAAAGCTACAGTAATCAAAATGTGTGGAACTGGCAGAAGGATAGACATATAAATCAATGGAATAAAGAGTCCAAAAATAAACCCTTATATTTATGATCAATTGATTTTTCAACAAAGATGCCAAAACAATTCAATAGGGGAAAGAATAGTCTGTCAGAAAATGGTGCTGCAATTCATCCACATGCAAAAGAATGAATTTGGGCCCCTACATCACACAATGTACAAAAATTAACGCAAAATGAATCAAAGACCTAAATATAAGAGCTGGAACTATAAAACTCTTAAAACAATAGGAATAAATTTTCATCACCTTGGATTAGGCAATTTAAAAAATATTTCTTAGACTGGCTACACGTGGTAGCTCACATCTATAATCCCAGAATTTTAGGAGGCTGAGGTGGGGAGATCTCTTGAGCCCAGGAGTTTGAGACCAGCCTGGTCAACATAGTCTGACCTTCTCTCTACAAAAAGATACAAAAATTAGCCAGACATGGTGGTATGTGCCTGTAGTCCCAGCTACTTGGGAGGCCAAGCTGGGAGGATTGCTTGAACCCGGGAGGCAGAGGCTGGAGTGAGCCGTAATCATGCCACTGCACTCCAACCTGGGTGACAGAGAGAGAGAAATAGATATATTTCTTAGACTCTCTCTTAGACTATTATCTATGTGTGTGTATGTTAGTCTAATAAGTATATTAGAATAAAAGACTTAGTTATTCTAACCATATACTTTTTTAGATACCAGAAGCACAAGGTCCAAAGAAAAAAAAATTAGATGTCATCAAAATTTAAAACTTTTGTGCTTCAAAAGATGTCAACAAGAAAGACAGATAATAACAAGTCTTGGTGAGGATGAGGAGAAACAGAGTCATACATTGCTAATGAGAATGTAAAATGATGCAGTCCTTTTGAAAACAGTTTTACAGTTCCTCAAAGTTAAACATAGAGTTACCATATAGCCCAGCAATTCCATTCCTAGGTTTATAACCAAGAGAACAAAAAACATATGCCCACATAAAAATTAGATAAATATTCATAGGAAAAGTATTCATCATAGCCAAAATGTGGTATATCCATACAAGGAATGTTATTCAGCCATAAAAGTCAAGTAAATGAAGTACTAATATATGCTATGACATGGATGAATCTTGAAAACATGATGCTAAGTGAAAGAAGCCACACACAAAAGGCCACATATTGTATTATTCCAATATATGAAATGTTCAGAATAGGAAAATCCATAGAGACAGAAAGAAGATTGGTGGTTGACAGTGTCTTGGAGAAAAGGGGAATGAGGACGACAATCATTACAGGGTTTTTTTGGGAGTGGCGGAAAATGTTTTGGAATGAGATAGTGGTGGTGGTTGCACAACGTTTGAATATTTTTTTAAAAAGGATTAATGTGTGCAGTTTAAAAGGGTAAATTTTGTGGTACACAGATTATTTCTTACCAAGAGGAAGAAGAGGAGGAAGAGGAGAAAGAGAAAAGGAAGGAGGAAGGAGATGGGGAGAGGGAGGACAGCAACCACCAGAACAAAACATTCTAAAATGTTTTGGGTGATGCAAGTGTAGGTGAGATTCTTCCTTCTACTTTTCTGAATTCCAACGTTTTAATTGTGAACATATATTATTTTTTATAATAATAATAAAATCAGATGCTCATCACTGATAACATGTCCCCAGGTGGATCAAGCCCTTATCTTTCTCAGAATGTGGTATGAAATCCCTACAGCGTTGGTAGCACTGGACTAAAAAGTGAGCTCTGTTAACAAATGTTCCCTTCGTGGCAGTGTCTTCACTCCAGCTAAGGCTGAAATTCCCAGAATTTGTTATTTCCTGTCCTCCCACTGACCCTGCTGCCAGCTCTGGCCCTGCCTTTTGCCTGCATGATGGTTAACAGTAGCCTTAATCTAATTTTCCAGTGCATCCAACTTCCTGCTGGGAGGGAAATCCCTTATTTCTGCTCCTGTGGTCCCAGTCCCAAGGATATATGCAGATTATTTGAGACATATATATACAAATAAATTATGCTCTGTGTACTAACTACCATGAATTTAACAGGCATTAAATTAAACATTTTTTTATAACAACCTGTTTTTTGTAAGACGGCTACTAAAAATATTATTTCTATTTCACATTTGAAGAAATTAAAGCACAAAGGGATTGACTAAATTGCCCAGTGTCCCCAGACTGTCTGTTGGAGCCTGGATCCGCACCCAGGTGAGAAGGCCCCATTGCCTTTGCTCTTAACACTTTGCTACAGTGTCTCTGTAAAGGTCTTGATCAAAAGATTTAGAGATTTTCATAAAAGCCCCTAAGCAGTTGTAGATTACTTGGTTATATATTCATAAAGTTCATAGTCTCTTGTCCTTTCACTTACACAAACTAACAGTGTTTATACCCAAACCTATGTTTATTATCAGTTTTATGTCAAATAAATTTAACAGTATTTGTACAGCACACATAACCAGCTCCTAGTAATAAGGCAGCTGGCAGGCTTTCTGGGCTAAGTCAACAGATTCAGGGTGGAGTTCACTGGAGAAAATAGCTAGTGGTCCAGGTGTCCTGTTTGAGACGTGGAGGGACGATGAATTTGTAGTCAAAACACTTAGCAACTCTTCCCAAAATAGCATTCTATTTCCTTGTAGTGAATGGCAAAGGACACATACCTCAATAAGTAACACCTTTGTTTGTAGGAGAACTGGGAGAATGCTGGCAACACACTCTTGTCTAAAAAGGCATTTGGTGTTGGTCTCACAGAGACACATGGGTGACAGTGGTCACGCCTATATAGTATGCCTATAATAATTTGAGCCTAAAAAAAATTTAAAGGTATTATATTCAAAGCCCACAGCCTGGAGGCATAGCCCAGGAAGCTTCCAGCTCAGCTCCCTTAACAGGTAATCTAAGACTGCTCTTATATCACCCACATGTGCTTATGCATGTATTTTTTAAATAATTGAGTCATTCTATTTATAATGTTTATAACATGCTTTTTTTGCTTTGTGTATCAGAAATAGGCTTGAGTGCAATGGTGTGATCTTGGCTCACTGCAACCTCTGTGCCTACTGGGTTCAAGCGATTCTCCTGTCTCAGCCTCCCAAGTAGCTGGGATTACAGGTGCCTACCACCATGCTCAGCTACTTCTTGTACTTGTAGTAGAGACAGGGTTTCACCATGTTATCCAGGCTGGTCTCAAACTCCTGACCTCAGGTGACCCACCCACCTCAGCCTCCCAAAGTGCTGGGATTACAGGTGTGAGCCACCATGCCTGGCCTCACCCAATGCTTCTATTCCTCCTCTCCCCTCATGCCTTCATCCAAGGTTCCTGACCCTTCCAGACATGGAGCTGGAGGAAAAAGGAGAGTTAAAGAAAGAGAGCAAAGGTCCTTTGGTCACGGAGCAGCAGCACTATCTGGGCTTGGCTTTTGCTTAAAGCTGATTCTAAGGGATACCTCAGTGGGTTATTGCGAGGATCCGTCCAATTGCTTGGAAACACCCACCTGAAGTTCTCTGCACCTGGGTATCTCTATGCTACCTGGTTACTTATGCTTTCCTTAGCCCCTAGCAACGTAGCAATACATCCAACTTTTCTCTGCAGGCCTTTTGGACCTAGAATGACTCTACGTTTATGCCTCCCATTCATGGTCCACATCACATCCATAGGAAACACTCAACTGTTCTAGCCCCACTGAATTCTGGGAGTGCCAGTGTGCCTAACACAACCTCTTCTCCTTCAGCTTGTCTGTCACAGCTACATGGCCAATCTTTCATCCTTGAGATTTCTCAGGGGAGAATCAGACACCAGCCCACTGTGTCCCTTAACCTTGGAGAACACATATCAGACTCTCTAGAGGTGGTCCAGCTAAATTCTGGCCTAAGGAGAGGGGCCGGCATCCCTCAGAAGTTGCCCCTGCAAGGGGCATGGACTCTCAGTACAGCTTTCCAAATAACTCTTCCTAAGAAGTTATATTTCAAACTCCCCTTCTATGCTTTAGTATTCCTTATAAGGGTGAGGGATTTAAGAATGATCTACTGGTTCTCAGCCTCTTTGTAAATCCTTTCTCAGAACTTCAATTTGGAATGGGCATCTGTTGTTTTGCAACCTCAACTTCCATTTCACCATCCTGTTACAAGGTATTGCATATGTTGTATATTTAGCATTTTCCATTTTTACATATAACCCAATTTTCCCAGGCCTCACCAGATTGACAATATAAAATAAAGTTGCAGTCTATCTTTATGCACAAATGATGATGGCAAGAGCCCCAACTGTTTTGCTGACTAGAAATTAGCACATTTTCAAGTGTCCCGAACGTATTTTGGGGACTTCCCCAGAAGCATGCTACACACATGCCCACAACCTGATCTGTAACTGCTTGGTGTCTGCTTTTCCCTCTTTTCCTACCCTGGCTTATAATCTTTCACATTGTCTGCCTAGGAGTTTGAGGAATGTCACATCATTGCTAGGTTCCAAGGGTAGGTAGAAGAAATAGCCTCCTCTCCAATTGTGTGTCACATGTGGACACCAGGACGTGAAATGGCTCTTCTTTGTCAGATAACGAGTTCTGGCCATCTCCTACTTCCCACGAATCCTCCAACTCTCTCCTAAAAATAGTGCCATTATTTTTCTGATTGCCACTTTCCTGAGCTTGGGCAATCCAACCTGGTCTACGGGCCAGAACAATTCCCATTTTTAGCTCCCCACAAACCACAGACTCCACCACCCAATTTCCCTTCCTTTTTCTCCCTCATGCCCAGGTACAAAATAGAAATCTCTGTGTTTATTAATGGATGGGAGGGAAAGAGAAATTGAAGTCTCACTAGCAGCTTCTGGGTCAACACTTTGCTTGTCAGGGATATTCAATATTATCTTTCTTTTGCTTTCTAAGTTCAAGAGCCATTCAGAAAAAAAAGCAAAGTGGAGGACAATGTATACAGTCTGCTACTAAGGAAGGGAATATTATAAATATGTACTAGTTTACAAATGCAAAAGATACCCCTAGAAGGACCCACAAGAAACTAAATAATAATGGTAGTTGCTTCTAGAGTGGGAACTTGGTGACTAGGGATCAGAGAAGGAGAGAAAATTCAGTTTTTACTCTATTTAATTTTGTACTTTTTGAAAATTTTACATGTGCATGTATACCCCAAAGAAATTAGCAGTTTGCAAATAGATAACTCATTTTAAGAAGAGAGAAGACAACGTTCAAGTTGAAGCCTGCAATGGCAGACCATCCGTATCCATTTGCAAAGAAAAAATTAATCTTGTTTATGCCCCAAATGAAGAGGACTAACAACTAACAGCACGAACAATAGCCTACACCACAGGCATCTTAATTGATTCACCTTACACAATTCTGACTGAAAAATTAAAGTTGAGCAAACTTTGCACTTGATGGCTGCCAAAACCATCCAGATCAGCTGCAGACAAGAGCAGAGCTCTCAGTGGAAATTTTAAACGAGTGGGATCAAGATCTTGAAGCATTTCTTCGAAGCACTGTAACAGAAGATTAAACATGGCCTTACCAGTATGATCCTGAAGACAAAGCACAATTAAAGCAACGGCTACCAAGAGGTGGAAGTGGTCCAGTCACAGCAAAGCCAGACCGCTCAAGAGCAAAGGTCATGGCAACAGTTTGTCGAGATGCTTAAGGCATTTTGTTTGCTGAATTTTTGCAAGGACAAAGAGTGGTAACATCTACTTATTATGAGATTGTTTTGAGAAAGTTAGCCAAAGGTTTAGCAGAAAAATGCCCAGGAAAGCTTCACCAGAATCACACCATAAAAATGCCTCTTGCTCATTTCTCTCATCAAACAAGGGCAATTTTGTGAGAGTTTCTGTGGGAAATCATTAGGCATCCACCTGGTTACGGTACCAATTTGGCTTCTTCTGACTTCTTTTTCTTTCCTAATCTTAAAAAGCAATCTTTAGGCTGGGTGCGGTGGTTCATGTCTATAATCCCAGCACTTTGGGAGGCCGAGGCGGGCGGATCACAAGGTCAGGAGATCGAGACCATCTTGGCTAACACGGTGAAACCCCGTCTTTACTAAAAATACAAAAAATTAGCCGGGCGCGGTGGCGGGCGCCTGTAGTCCCAGCTACTCGGGAGGCTGAGGCAGGAGAATGGCGTGAACCTGGGAGGCGGAGCTTGCAGTGAGCCGAGATTGCGCCACTGCAATCCGGCCTGGGCTAAACAGCGGGACTCCGTCTCAAAAAAAAAAAAAAAAAAAAAAAAAAGAAATGGTAAAAATAAAAATTAATCTTTATTAGGCTTAAATGTATTCTTTCATAATGATATTAAATTATAATGGAATTAGTTAAAACAAAAACTATCAATAGCTAATACTTAAATATTAAAAAAAAGCCTAATCATAAATAGGTAATTTTAGAAATAAAATTAATAAATTGAAGATAAAGCCTAATCATCAATAGGTAATTTTAGAAATAAAATTAATAAATTGAAGATAAACTCCATGTCACAAAATGACACATTTTAGAGAACAGAGACAGCAGAATAAAGAAGTCTTCAGAAACACCTCTTTTATAAAAGCCAAGCTGGATAAGATCCAACTGGGGCCAATACAAGGAAAAACTGTAGTAGTAAATATATATCTATAATTTACATCACTCTGAAATCCTTGACCCCTAGAATAGTCAACCAAAGGTTACATATTTCAAAGAGAAAAGATCTTATAGTTTAAGATTTTACAGCATATATGTGAGATAAAATACAAGATGCTCAGTTAGATATGGATTTCAGATAATGAATTTTTAAATATGATTTCTATAATATTTAAGACATATTTATTCAGAAAATTAGTTGATAAATCTGTAATTTAAATTTAACCAAGGGTCTTGTATTTTTATTTAACACTAGCAACCCTGTTTTAGCATGAGAACCAGACTGTAATAAAACAGGTTGCTCAGTATCTTTTCCCCATCTTACCACAACTTTGAGGGGGACGGAGTGGCTAGAGGTGGGATATAAATAGTTCCGTTTTTTCTATTTTGGTGGTGTTTCTGGTGATTTTTTGTTGGTTTTAAGAGTTAAAGAATTTTTTTAAATAAAGAAATCTGTCGCAAACCAGAAACACCAAATTTTTTAAAACTAAAAACATCTACTTTAACATAAGTGAATCATGCTGATATTTCTGAATTTCATTATATCCAGAATTATTTCATGTTCTCCAAGTTATGAGGCAAAAAGCATATTCCACGCTTCAATTTATGAAGGATTATTTTATGACTCCTTTCTCATTGATAAGTAGCCAACAACCTTTCAATTAATTCTGATGGAACATTCCAACTGCAGCTATTTGGCATGCCAGGCCATGAAAGGGAAAATTGGCAGAACCATGCGGTCATAGATGACAGGGAGACAACAGTTTTCCAGTTAGAGGAGGTTGTGAAAAATTGATAGGCTTTAAAGATGAGAATCATGGCTTATAGGATTTGTTGATCTTGGTTGTGTTGAGAAGAAAAATGGCTGAATAATGGTGGGTAGAACAGGTAGGTCTCTGTTCTTGGCTGGAACCTAGAAACTAGAAAAGACAGTTTCTTCAGATAAATAGCTACGAAGAGAATCCAACTATAATTTACTGAACTCAGAGAAGTGGATGGGAGAATACAGAGCATAAGTTAACACAGAAATGCAGTCTCAACGTGCAAATGCTTGGTGAGCTGCATCTGGGAATAAAGCTGGCAGAACCTGCTTCCTCATGGGCAGGAGAGCTAAGAGGGGAGGACTAATGTGTCAAGAGAACAGGTCAATCACCTGTAAGGCTTTGAATGAAGAAGAGAAAGGCTAGTCTGTGGGAAAGCAATCACTATACTTAGATGAGCATATTAGATACAAAAACAATCTGAGTTCCTGTAAAAAAGTCCCTCTGTATAAGCTACACAAGAAGCTCATTGCAGAGAAATAGTAACTATAATTCACTTTTTTGAGGTGCTTGCCATATACCACCATATGGCATTCTTTTAAGTTTTATGTGTTTGGCATCACTTAATCCTCTCAGCAACCTGACAAAGTAGGTAATATTTTCATCCTCATTTTAGAAATGAGAAGACCGAGGTCCAGAAAGGCTAAGAAACCTGTCGAGGGTTATGACCTAGCTAGTAAGTCGTGGAATCAGGCTTCTAAACCAGGTAGTCTATAAGGAGAGATGATGCTCTTAATCAGTAAACTTTAAGGCCTCCTTAAATGGCTGGCTAAGTGGCACTCTGTGAAATGGCCCGCTAAGTTAAAAAACTAGGAGAGGAAACCCAGAGACAGAGTCCCAAAGCTGTAATAGTTGGAAGAGAAAACTCCAACACCTTGAAGTGCTGGCGGAAGTTTACCAGTGACAGAACTATGTCTGAGGCTTCACTGACTTGAATCCACCCAGAAGATGGAAGAACATCAAAATGGGCCATCAGGGAATTACTTAGAGGTTCTCCTAGAGCAGAGTTGCCAGCTAAAAGGGTGTCCCATTAACTACTTTGGACATATTTATACTAAAAATACATTAGTTTTTTTAAATCTGAAATGCACATTTAACTGGGCATCCTGTATTTTTATTGGTCAAGCTGGCAGCCCTATCTGAGGAGCCAAGCAAGCTACAGGTGCAATACTGGTGTGAAAGGAAAATATCTTGGGCCCCCCAAATCGCTAAGCTAAAAGGGAAAGTCAAGCTGGGAACTGCTTAGGGTAAACCTGCCTCACATTCTATTCAAAGTCACCCCTCTGCTCACACTGAGATAAATGCATATCTGATTGCCTCCCTTGGAAAGGCTAATTAGAAACTCAAAAGAATGCAACCAATTATCTCTTATCTACCTATGACCTGGAAGCCCCCTCCCTGCTTCAAGTTGTCCTGCTTTTCCAAACCGAACCAATGTTCATCTTACATATGTTAATTGATGTCTCTTGTCTCCCTAAAATGTATAAAACCAAACTGTGCTCTCACCACCTTGGGCATATATCATCAGGGCCTCCTGAGGTTGTGTCATGGCCAAATGTCCTCAACCTTGGCAAACTAAACTTTCTAAATTAACTGAGACCTGTCTCAGATTTTCAGGGTTCACATTTTGGTAACCATGAAGGGATTCTGAGTGGAGATGCCCCTGACCTTTGACAAATCTATGCTTGGTACCAGCATGAGCTAACTTTATGGCTCAAACCAATAGGACAATTTGCTGAGGCCTGAGAGCACCCCCTCCAGAGAATCCCTGATGTCCCCAAATGTGGTAGAGATCTAAAGTTTATTTTGCTGGAAAAAAAAAAAAAAGCAAGTAAAATTCCAAAAAAACTTTTACTTGCTTCCAAAAAGGAAGGGAAGATTTCCTGTTTCCATGGCTATGGAAGACAGGTAACTCTTTTATGGAGTTTGAGCTCACTTCCAACAGGGAAGATGAGTTTTTTTTCTCTCTGCTTCTAGTATGGTAGAGAGCAGTCTACACCCTGAGACCCATCCCTAGCTAAGTAACTGAATTGGGGTTTGTCTTGGCTAAAGTTAAGATTAACAACCAGCTGGTCTTAATTTCTCCTTACTATTAGAGTACTCAGTAATGATATAAGTTGTGTGATTGTTTTGCTTAACTGTTTTTGTTGTTGTTGTTGTTCATTCCTGTTTTCACTGTTGTTTTGGACTTTTTCCCATTGGGTTTGATCAACTCTATCCAACTTGATCAAATCCAAAGGAAATTCCAAATTATGGGGAACAAGGCCTCTGAAGTGGCTAAATTCTCACACACACACACACACACACACACACACTCACGCACACACGTGGTATGGGGTGGAGGGGAAAAAATGGCCAGAAAAAGGAAAAAAAAAAAAAACAAAAAGAAAAATTTTTTATTCTAAGGGTCTTCATTTACATAACAAGGCCACCTTTTTGTTAGCCAGGCCAAACTGAAAGAGCAATGGCTGTACTTCTGAAATAGCAGCAATTTGTCCTAGCTGAAATATGGTAATGAGATTTTAAAAGTTTTTTTTTAAGGAGCTCAATGGTTAAAAGTCAGCTTAATTAAAACCTAACATCCAAGATGCGTGCGTGTGTGCGCACGCGCGCACGCATATGTGTGTGTTTGTATTTAAAAGGACTTCATGTTTTTGTTTTTCTCCTGGGACCTTGTCTTTTTTTTTTTTTTTTTTTGAGCAAAAGTTTTTTTCTTTTCAGTTGACAGAATTCTGTTTTCTTCATTTACTTCTACTATCTCTCCTTTCTCTTGCACCCTCTGCTGCATGGAGGACCTAAAATAGTTTATAATAGCCTGGGGTTCCTTAAAGAAAATGGAGAAGGCACCAGACTCCCTTTCCAGGGAAAACAAATTTTTTCAAGAATGTAAACAGACAAGTTTGTCTCAGTTCTCGAACAGCTTACTTTTGTATTGTGTTACTTTTTTTTTTTTTGACTAAAATAGTTATTGCAACAGAGGTTACTCTTGGGTTTTTAAGGAAGAATGTGGCTTAGACACTTAGAAATGTCTTTAATTTTTTTTTTTTTCTGAGTGCACTGTAAAAGCACCACGTAGCCTAATCTCATATTAATTCTCCCTTTTTGGAGACCCAGGATTCAGTATGGGCTCTGCCCAGAGCTCAGAGATCCAGTTAAAAGATAGGTAGTCATTCCCTACCTAAATAAAATTAGTCTCCTTATAGAATCCTATGCTAGACTTCTATAATTTTATGTTTAATTTGGCATCCATTTTTAATCTCCCTCTAACACCACCAGACTTTTTCCTCTCTGTACCTTATGATGTAACTTTTGCTATATCATTTTCACCCGAGTTGTTTCCTTTAGTATGCAAATTTAAGGCTATTTAGCTGACAACTGCCTAGGGTTGTGAAACAGTTTATCAGGAATCTGAAAGTCTAAGGGGAAAAAAAGGTTTCTATAAATCTATAAGATGTACTTTTCTATCAGCATGCCCAATATATCTATGTATTTACATGTTGTGTACACACTGTTTCACTACTGAAAATGTATGAAAGAGCTCTAATTAATTGGCTTAAGAAACTAAAAGTGTTGGCTGGGTGCAGTGGCTCACACCTGTAATCCCAGCACTTTGGGAAGCCCAGGTGGGTAGATCACCTGAGGTCAGGAGCTTGAGACCCGCCTGGCCAACATGGTGAAACCCCGTCTCTACTAAAAATACAAAAAAATTAGCCAGGCATGGTGACAAGCACCTGTAATCCCAGCTACTTGGGAGGCTGAGACAGGACAATTGCTTGAACCCAGGAGGCAGAAGTTGCAGTGAGCTGAGATCACACCATTGCACTCCAGCCTGGGCAACAAGAGCGAAACTCTAACTAAAAAATAAATAAATAAATAAATAAATACATAAATAAATACATTATCAGGAGAGAAGAAAAGACTAGTAAAATGCTTTTTCAACTTTACATAACTTAAGTAAAATTTTTAATAAATAAGCTAGCTTTAAAAATTATTCGTAAAGTAATATTAGGAATGTCTTAAGAATTGCCAGCATACATTTTTTGTTTACATTTATTAATCAAGCAGTTTCATAGTTATTATCCCTGCCAAATACTATAAGGTGTCAAACTTTGGCACAGGGGTTACAAAACTATAAATTCAGCCCAAGACAGAATGATCTTTACTTGTGTAATCTTTCATAAATAAGACACTGATATTAGTTTAATTAAAATAGCAACATCTTGAATTTAGTAAGATTACCATAACTTCTAATCTTGTGGCTTTAGGCAGTCTAGTTCACGAGCAGTAAAGTTTGTTTTGGGAAAGGACTGTTACTATCTTTGTTTCAAAGCTAAACTATAAACTAAGTTCCTCCCAAAATTAGTTTGGCCTACCTACAACCAGAAATGAACAAGAACAGCTTGGAGGTTAGAAGCAAGAGCAGGATGGAGTCAGTTAGGTCAAATCTTTTTCACTGTCTCAGTTATAATTTTGCAATGGCAATTCCATAACTTCAAATAATGACAATCGCAGTTTTTACAAGTGATCTAGGTAAATGATTAAAATAATTAGGTAAATGTAATAGGATAAATACTTGTAGACAAACTCATTATAATTTAGAATCTAAAGTTATATTAAATAATAGATATTTCATTATTTGGGCATTTTCCAATAAAAATATATTTGTAGGAAAACATTCTTTCTAAAAAAAAAAAGCAGTATGTCCTTTTAAAAAAGGTGAACACTTTTTGTCTAATTCAAAGCTTATTTAAAGGGCATGTACAAAACAAGGTAAAAGGAACCAAGAAATAAAAGACATGTAAAGCAAGTTATAAAAATAAAGAGCTTTTTTCGGTAAGAAAGCTTAAAGAGAAATAATTCCATATGAGAAAGAATCTTGTATGGTAAATTTAGTCCTAGAGTAAAATGACTGTTTAAGAAAGAAGGATGTTCAGCCAGGTGCAGTGGCTCAAGCCTGTAATCCCAGCACTTTGAGAGGCCAAGGCGGGTGGATCCCCTGAGGTCAGGAGTTCGCGACTAGTTTGGCCAACATGGCGAAACCCTGCTTCTACTAAAAGTACAAAAATTAGCCAGGCATGGTGGTGTGCACCTGTAATCCCAGCTACTCAGGAGGCTGAGGTAGGAGAATCACTTGAACCCGGGAGGCGGAGGTTGCAGTGAGCTGAGATCGTGCCATTGCACTCCAGCCTGGGCAACAAAGTGAGACTCCATCTCAAAAAAAACAAAGGAAAGAAAGAAAAAGAAAGAGAGAGAGAGAAAGGAAGGAAGGAAGTTAGTTCAAGACAAACCAGAAAGCCCAAGCATGTCATGAACAATCTGTATAAGTCACAAGAAGAAGATTTATAAAAAACAAAACAAAACAAAAACTTTTATATGATCAAGTTGCCTATGATTAAAGGGAAATAATAATGGTCTTTCTAGAGGTTGGGTTTGATGTTAAAAAAAATGCCACTTATACACTTATATTACATCTCGCTGGTTTTGGTTTT
The DNA here is from genome assembly GCF_000001405.40 of Homo sapiens. Classification (NCBI taxonomy): domain Eukaryota; kingdom Metazoa; phylum Chordata; class Mammalia; order Primates; family Hominidae; genus Homo; species Homo sapiens. Next base: position 25,133,248 of record NC_000006.12, read on the forward strand.
CTCTCCTCTTTTAAAAAGTGTGAAATAGTAACACTCCCCTTCAACTAATTTTCAGCTCATATAAGTTTTTTTCCCTGCTCAGTTTCTTTTTTTGGTGGCCTGATGCTAACAACATTTCTTTAAAGGTCTAAAGGAATTGTTTTCTTCCAACATAATATTCTGTGCACTGCAGAAGGTATTTTCTTTTGCCTTTTGGTAACTGGCCTAACAGATTTTACATTTATCAAAATAACTCCCATGCCATTATTATTAAGTTTGGTTTCCTTAGGAAAAACTGAGATGTAAAATGTTTTTTTAATTAAGGTTATTACATTCTTGTATCTTCCTGTATGTGCTTTTAAAGTCCTTGTGACATTGAGTTACAGGGCTTTGACTCTTGGGTCTAAAAAGAACACCAAGTCCTGCTAAATCTCAAACACTGACAGCAATTAAAACCTCATCTCCAGGCCCCCTAGAAGATGCCAATCAAAATAAACTGCATTCCTGAGACGCAGGGCCAGAAATTAAAGGCATTTAACTCCTCAAGGCCCAGGGGCTATTGCAGAAGAGGTGGGCTTGTGAGATCACAAAGTTAATTTTTAGAGATAAAATGAGTTCAGTTTCTCTATAAATTAACCATTAATGTCAAAGGCACACTGATGCAAGACCAGCATATCAACCCATGTCAAATTAACAAGGTTTTCTTAAAACATTAACCAACTCCTTAATAAAGGTTACAAAGATATAAAAGGCTCATGGAAGATATATCTTATGATCAAGATTAAACCTTTATGGATTGTTTATAAAATTTTGGAAAACTAATTGGCTTCATGCTGTTTTTTTATTAGGGCTTAATGTTTAGAAAATTAAGTCTTCTCTCTCAAAGAATGAAGGTTTTTGCCCTTTTGTTTTGAAATCCTTATCACTTTGGCTAAATGAATGACTTATTTTACAATGACCTGTAATCCTATTTTGTGATATTAAGTGTTTAAAACCTTTGATATTTGACAAACTTTCTGAAATCAAATTATACATTATGTCTTTTTCTGAACTAATTAGTCCTTTAAGATGGTATTAATGGGTTCCCTAAAGTCCAAAAGTGACATATTTGGCTTTTTTGGTATGAAAATTATACAGGAAGCATTGTCCAATATGAAATGGTGTTTGGTTTTCTTTGGGCTGTATTTGTATAAATATGTTATTGGTATGTATTCCAAAATTATGGGAAACTCCTATTATTCTGATATGACACACTGTATGTTATCAGTAATAATTATAATTTTTATGTTAAATTATTGTGTGCTACAGAGGTAACAGAATGTCTGACTATGGCTGCCCTAAAACTTTTCATTATTCACAGACAATTGTCATCTTTTTTTGGTCCTTTTCAGAGGTAGTTTTATAATCAGCTATAAAACTCTTAACAGGTGTTCTTGAATGCATGTTTCTGATAGCTCTGGAGACTGTGACATCAAAATAGAGAAAAAACTTCGAGGACTCATGGAGAGCTGAAATGTTCATGAATATCAAGCAGAACAAGAATTAACTGCATGGACTAAACTAATAGAAGTTTGAAGTAATCTTTTTTAACTTTTTGCTTAAAATGTTGCTGATAATTTGTTTTTCAAAATCAAGAAACTTTTAAGCTATTTACAGCTTTTTAACAATGGAGTATACTCCTTTGAACAAAATTTGGAGCATATTTGTTTTTAAAACTACCTGATTTCTACAGAATTTGGAATCTATTTGTGAGTATTCTTTACTTATGACAATACAGTTATTTGCATAAGTGCAATAAGAATCTGTTTTCATTTGTAACAGCACACATTTGAAGAAACTGGTTATTTTACCAAGGCTTTGACTGAAATAGTGTGCTTTCCTTTAAAGAATTAAACTTGACTTATGGAGCCAATAAAAAGTCCCTTGGAAAAACTAGCCTCATACCTTTGTCTCCACAGTCCCTGTACAGGGTTCCTGACCTGTGGTAAGTAAAAAAGGTCACTTACTGACAGGCCCAGGAGCCCCAGGTTTTTGTTAGGAGCTCAAAAGGAGAGGAATTCACCCAACTCATAGGTATTTCATGGTACAAATCCATGGCTGGGCTGTGCTTTAAAAAAGTCTTCTCTGAGATTCCTTCTGTGGAAAAAGTTCCATCAAAGCCAATTTAAAAGCTTATATAAAAAATAATTATTCTTGCTGCACTGTATACAAAGAATTAGGCCAAGTATAATAAGGAAAACCAGTCCTGCCATGATTTGTCTTTCATAAAAATGGGAAAGGGGAGAGAGAAAAATTATGTTTCAAAAACTATAGTACATCTATTGTTAGATTCTAGTCTTGTGTAATGTTTTTCAATTTTTATTATTTTCTACAGTTTGGACTGAATTCTAATTTTTCTTAGCTACATGTCTTCAAAATAATGTTTTCAATTTTTTTCCTTCTTTTTTTCCTCCATTTTTCCAAATTTGGAGTCACTGGAAACTAAGATGTGCTTTCATAAAGCCCTGTGAAATGAAGCTAAACAACTTGAGCTTCAGAAGAAAATAGCAGCGACCTATTTACATACATAAGCCACTTTCATACCTGCCTACTGATGTATGGACTTCAGAGTAATGTGGCATATATCTATTTTCCAGAATTGTTCTTTTGTTTGTTGTTGTCCTCCCCCTATTTTCTCTTCACAGGACATGAGACTTCACAACCTTCTAAAAAGGAGCTTTCCTAATAACTCAGGACCTACCTATCTAGGAATAAACCATCCTAGCCATGAGAGATCAGACGAAACCTGAGGCCAGAGACTCATTTTCTTCTAAAATGCGTTCTCCAACAGATTTTTAAAAAGAAAAGGGGGGAAATGTGAAAGTATTTTGGGCCCCTCAAATCACTAAACTAAAGGAAAACTTCAAGTGGGGAACTGCTTAGGGTAAACCTGCCTCCCATTCTGTTCAAAGTTATCCCTCTGCTCACCAAGATAAATGCATATATCATTGCCTTCTGTGGAGAGGCTAATTAGAAACTCAAAAAAAATGCAACCATTTGTCTCTTATCTACCTATGACCTGGAAGCCCCCTCCCTGCACCTTTCCAGACCGAACTAATGTTCATCTTACATGTGTTGATTGATGTCTTATATCTCCCTAAAATGTATAAAACCAAACTGTGCTCTGACCACCTTGGGCACATGTTGTCAGGACCTCCTGAGGCTGTGTCCTGGGTGCACGTCTTCAACCTTGGCAAAATAAACTTTCTAAATTAACTGAGACCTGTGTCAGGTCTTCAGGATTCATAGTGGTTAGTTAGCATTTAAAAATCAAATAACATGAGGGGCTGGGCCTTGATACTAGGTACAGAGCAAAGTAAATCTGTGTGAACGTTAGACAGCATTCTAGATTTGGGTAACAGGTAACTCGTGGACAACTACTCAGCTCTTATTCTGAATGCACCAGCACTAAACTACCCCTAAATGACCTGAGAAATAAGATTGACAACACAGTGGAAGAAAAAAGCCTAATACCAAGTGACTAAAGCCACATAGGGCAAATTAGGCTAAAGCAAAGCTTGAAAGGTGGGGTAAACACTCACAGAGTTACTGGTGTTGAGAATTAGACTGACAAAACACATGCCCAAGAGCGCTATCTGACTCTGCCAGGCCATGTTGCTATTTCTTTGGCAGTCATTGAGAAAAAAACTAACAAAACAATCCTGTCCTGGTATTGCTGCTGCACTGGGGAGAGGTGATCTATACAGAAGGGAGAGAAGGGGAAGGGACAGTAGAGGAGGGGAGGGGATGGGAGGGAAGTTGGCAACAATATCAGTTCTAGGAAATGGTCAGAAGAGTCACTGTTCAGGGCAGGAACAGTCGGGGCCCTGCTATTTTTGTTTAGTAATCACAACTAGCCTCCCGGGAAAATTCTATCTGCTGTCCAGCAGGCTTTGGAAAAGAGCCCTCCTATACACACATGCACACACACAGGAGCATGCACACACACACACACACACACACTTATGGGAGAGAGAGGAAGGAGACCCATAGGAGGCTTGGGTCTTTGAATACCAAACCAGGTAAATGTGTGCTTTACCTATGCACACCCAAACACACACACACACACACACACACACACACACACACACACACACACACATACCCCAGAGAGGTTTTACTATTTATCAAGTCAGGAATAAATTTTAAATTAGAGTTCTTATAAGAGAGAGGAAAATTAAATAGAACATACAACTTTTAGATCAGAGAAATGGCCTAAACACGCAAGAGTAAAATTTTCTAGGGGAAGTAATTTGCTTATTGGTTCATTTAAAATTTCTAGATGAACACATTTCCTGCCAAATCTAATTGCAAGAAAGGTCACCAGTGAGAGAAAGCAAAGGACTCTTGGTACCTTCCGGCTAAATCCTCGATATCTTTTATGAACAGGCCTCCTTGGTGCTTGCACATATTCTTGCATGCCCTCAGTCGGCTCTTATTCTTGTACAAGACGTAGTCTTTGCCAGTGCTCTTATTGCGAAAGAAATTGATTCCTTCCTTAAGACTGGCAACTTCAACAGGTGATAGGCACAACAGGATCTCAGTTGTTTGTTCGATGCTATGAAAAGGCAAACATTTTGAGGGGGAAGGTTAATAATGTTAGGTTTTAAGAGACAATCATTTCAAACTGACAGCTCAAAACCCCTTTTCCCTAAAATATTTTGTAAGCCCCTTGCGTTCCAAGTACCCAGGTTTAGTGGCTACCTGAGGATGCATTTCTCCCCACCCTGATATGAATGTAAATATACTTCTTACTTGTTAAATATGCCTCTCCACTTTTCTAGGGAACTAATAGCCCTCTTACTTGCCTGCCCATCGTCTGCCGGTTCCTCTGCCTGGGTATTTTGAAAGAACAGCAGTTGCTCATATCGTTTCTGTTGCTCATTTGCTCCCCTAAGGCATTAGTCAGCCTGAAAACAGGACGTTTAAGGTATTTTCCTTTAACAGTTACTGATTTCCTTTGACAGTTTTCTCCCTCTACCACAGCTCTTTTAGAAGTCTAACACCATATTCAATTCTGAGAAGCCACTGTGCTGTCCCTCCCATCTCTGCTCTTGCGCATCTGGACTTCCTCTGCCTGGAACGCAGTTCCTCTCCTTCACCACGCAGCATCAGTCTTGGGTCAAATAGAAACGAATCGTCCCCTTCCTGGTTAAGTCTTCCAAGACACACCAGAGGTCCAGGCTGGCATTCTTGGTGTACATCCCTCTTCTGTAGAACATTATAACACTGTAATTGGCACACTGCCCTGTTGACTTACATTTAGGCACTTTTGAAAGCACTCTGTATCTTCCTTCTCCCCCTACCACTTAGCCCACTGCCTTTCACAGGATATGTCTTCACTAGCTCTCTACTTAATGAATCACCCCTCCCACTGCACTCAATTTGATTAATTTACAAAAAGCTCCAGCCGCAAACCAAGCATTTGAATCTTTTTTTTCTTTTAAGGAAACTAGCCGTTACACTTCTCAAACCCCAATTTCTAAACACTCTGTTTACAGTGCAACACTGAATCATAACAGAATATGATTTCTGCCAAGAAAGGTTTCAAAATAGCTTTTGCAAATCCATGGTAGGAAATCTGGGCACATGTTGTTTAGTTTTATATTTGACTCCAAACAAAAAGTAGCCAAAATTCTCTTTGCATGTTAACTTAAAACTGATTTGGAGCACAAGCATATTTGTGGCACTTTCAGTTTCATTTTTAGAAGCGCTGCAAATTTCTTAAAGGAGATAAAAATAATTTTAAGAACACTCCAGGGTAGAAAATAACAGAGAAACCACTTCCAATTTTAAACTGATGAAGGCATAGCTCTGTAATATTATGATCTACTTTCTCAAAGCAGATTCTCATTGTCACCTCTGTCCCAAATTCCTAGTAATTGTGTTCCCAATGGACTTGAAATTATTCCAAAAATATGTTCTAAATGTATTTGACAGGAAGAAGCCATTCTAAATTTCATGACTTCTCTTTTGACTTTGTTCTTACGAGTACAGATATCTGACACCAAGCTAACATAAGCACTGAGGCAATTCCTGGAATAATTAGTCTAAGAGTTTAAAAGGCAAACCTCTCTAGATTTTTGTTGTTCCATTGAATGAATTCATATAGCCAAAGTTCTCTGTTAGATTTCAACTTATATCACAACCATGTAGAACAGGTTCACTCAACCACACTTTTGTCCTCAGTTCCACGTGAAAGTCACATTGGAGCAGAAGGCAAAAGAAAAAAATATGTGCACCTATATACATGCTTTTCTGTGTATTGTTTAAATGATTAGCTTTTCCCCAAAGTATTTTTAAAGATATCAATGAATTTGCTTCTATCAAAATCAGAAAAATAAAACTGTAGCAAATTCTTGTTTTGCTATAAAACATTAAAACTAAAATGAATTGCCTTTTTTCGAATTGGTTTTGGGGGTAGATTCGAGTTACAAAATGGCCGCCCGGAGCGTGTTCGGCGCGGTTCCCCCAGCGGTCTCTGGCTGAACCGGCGCTCTCGCCTCCCTGCTGAACACAGCGTGAGGACCCCCCCTCCATGGACATGGTGTTTGAGTCTCTGGGCTTGCCGAACACCAAGTCCTCTGAGTTCCGCAGCGCAGCACCGGAAGCGGCCGAGCGCGCTCAGCCCGGCGACCCCTGCGGGCTCCAGACCCCTGCGCCGCTGCGCCCTGGGTTTCGCCGCACCCAAGACCCAGCGAGTGCAGCGGCGGCCGCCGAGGAGGTTCGAAAACACGGCCAAAAGAAATGCCGAGAAGGAACTGACAGATAGGAATTGGGATCAAGAAGATGAAGCTTAAGAGGTGGGAACATTCTCCATGGCCAGTGAGGAAGTCTTGAAGAATAGAGCCATAAAGAAAGCAAAGCGCAGAAATGTTGGATTCGAATCTGACACTGGAGGAGCCTTTAAAGGTTTTAAAGGTTTGGTGGTACCTTCTGGAGGAGGACGCTTTCCTGGATTTGGTAGTGGCGCTGGAGGGAAGCCTTTGGAAGGACTGTCGAATGGAAACAACATAACCAGTGCCCCTCCCTTCACCAGTGCAAAGGCAGCGGCAGAGCCCAAGGTAGCCTTTGGTTCTCTTGCTGCAAATGGCCCTACCGCCTTGGTTGATAAAGTTTCAAATCCCAAAACTAATGGGGACACTCAGCAGCCCTCCTCCTCTGGCCTTGCTTCCAGTAAAGCTTGTGTCGGAAATGCCTATCACAAGCAGTTGGCCGCCTTGAACTGCTCCGTGCGGGATTGGATAGTGAAGCACGTGAATACAAACCCCCTCTGTGATCTGACACCTATCTTTAAGGACTATGAGAAATATTTAGCAAACATTGAACAGCAACACGGGAACAGTGGCAGGAATTCTAAAAGTGAATCTAACAAAGTGGCGGCTGAAACACAGTCTCCTTCCCTTTTTGGCTCAACAAAATTACAGCAAGAGTCAACGTTTTTGTTTCATGGCAACAAAACTGAAGATACACCTGACAAGAAGGTGGAGGTGGCATCTGAAAAGAAAACGAACCCATCATCACTAGGAGCGACAAGTGCCTCATTTAATTTCGACAAGAAAGTTGATAGCTCTGTTTTGGGCTCATTAAGCTCTGTCCCCCTGACTGGATTTTCTTTCTCCCCTGGAAACTCCAGTTTATTTGGCAAAGATACTACCCAGAGTAAACCAGTCTCTTCACCATTTCCCACTAAACCATTGGAGGGCCAAGCGGAAGGTGACAGTGGTGAATGCAAAGGTGGAGATGAAGAAGAGAATGATGAGCCGCCCAAAGTAGTAGTTACCGAAGTAAAAGAAGATGCTTTTTACTCCAAAAAGTGTAAACTGTTTTACAAGAAAGACAATGAGTTTAAAGAGAAAGGCATAGGTACTCTGCATTTAAAACCTACAGCAAATCAGAAGACACAGCTTTTGGTGCGGGCAGACACCAATTTAGGCAACATATTGCTGAATGTTCTGATTCCACCCAATATGCCATGTACGCGAACAGGGAAGAATAACGTTCTTATCGTCTGTGTTCCAAATCCACCAATTGACGAGAAGAATGCCACCATGCCAGTCACCATGTTGATTCGGGTAAAAACCAGCGAGGATGCAGACGAGTTGCACAAAATTTTACTGGAGAAAAAGGATGCCTGAACACGCGAAGTTGGCTGCGGAATTATTGCCAAGTTGCTGCTTCTTCCACCGCCCCTTAAAGTTAGTCAGTTTTTCTTCTCTTCTTTGACATTCTAAGAACTTATAGATAACCTAAAACTTTTGTGAGAAAGATTAATGTGGCCAATAAAACCTTTAAATGTTAAGTGTCAAAAAACCGCACTCTCCCTTCTTAAGAACTGCCTAAAGTGTAAAATACATTTGAATGCAATTTTTGGAAAAAAAAAAAAAAAAAACTAAAATGAATTTTAATACACCTACTTTTTAACATTTCAATATTTTTTCAAATACATTAATATTCTTGAAAATAACCATTAAAATACATTTATACAGGGGCACGCTTTTTCCTTTTTGCCTCAGAAGTAATGGCAGTGTGGCAGTATAACATCCTGTCTTTAAGTTTTGGATATTTCGTTTGTCATGGAATTTGTGCGTTCATTTTGGCCTTAAAAAATATTGTGTTGGCCAGGTGTGGTGGCTCACACCTGTAATCCCAGCACTTTGGGAGGCCAAGGCAAGCGGATCACCTAAGGTCAGGAGTTCGAGACCAACCTGGCCTACATGGTGAAACCCTGTCTGTACTAGAAATACAAAAATTAGCCAGGTGTGGTGGCAGGTACCTGTAGTCCCAGCTACGTGGGAGGCTGAAGCAGGAAAGTCGCTTGAACCTGGGAGGCGGAGGTTGCAGTGAGCTGAGATCGCCCCACTGCACTCCAGCCTGGGTGACAGAGTGAGACTCCATCTCAAAAGAAAAAAAAAATGAAAAAATATTGTGTTAAAATAATTTGTTTTAATCAAGATTTTTTTTACATTCCTTAAATTTTCTACAACTTAAAAGTGGTCTCACTTGTCTCACCCTAATCCTGGGCTCTGTTATTTTCTGATGCTTAATTATGATCTAAACTAGGAACTAGTTAGAAGTCAGCTTCATAGTCAATGTATGTATCTCACCTGACTTATCTCCATCCTGTTCTTTTTCTGAAGATTAGTAGGAACCAGATATAAGTGTGTAACAAACGAATTTTTAAAATTTACCTCACTAGAGATCACAGAAAATACCTATATTAATAAAAATGTCATTGGTTTACTATGTCGAGGGCCTATGGAATAAACAGTGATGCTCTTGAAACTTATTTTGAAAATTCAAAATCTAGACCTCAAAAAAATACAGAGAGGAGTAGAGTTTTATGAGGTAAAAATGTCATTCATTCATGCTCTGATGGCACCTCACACCCTGAGGATCTCTTCAAAGACCAGTGGCTGGGGCTTCTAAGCTCAGAGCTGAGGGAGAGGCAAGGATAGGAATGATATAAATGTCAACTATACTTGCAGTCCAAGCAGGGCAAGGAGCCCAAATAAAGACTACTTATGAAGCTAGAAATCCTCCAGAGGGTCATAATCTGAGAAAAAGGGTGGAGGAAGAAAAGGCAACTCATTCAGAATTTTCAGTCTGTATGTACATTTTGCTCCCCGTCTTAGGTATTTTGTTTTCAATGGGAAGATGTTCAGTATTCTGTTCAAGAAAAGGTAAACTCTATGAAGGCCAAGACTACAGTGCCTGTCCCGTGGTAGGTGCTCAGTAAATATCTAGTGAATTAAAGAATATCCTCACACGAACAAAATGTGTACTCCATGGTTAAAAGAAGAAAAATTCACCTACTGTACCCTGTGATACTCAATATCTAAAATCAATCACATAAGCTTCCACTTTAGGAAACTAGAAAAAGGAAAGTAAATTAAATTCAAAGGAAGCAGAAAAAAAGAAATGAAAATTAGAGCAGAAATCAATGGAATTGAAAACAGAAAACTAATAGAGAAATGCAACAAAACCAAATGCTGGTTCTTCGAAAAGATCAAAAAAGTGATAAGCCCACAGCTAGGCTAACTAATATTTTAAAAGAGAGAGAGAGGGAGGATGCAAAAATATTAATATCAGGCTGGGCACAGTGGCTTATGCCTGTAATCCCAGCACTTTGGGAGGCCAAGGCAGAAGCATCACTTGAGCCCAGGAGTTCAAGACCAGTCTGGGCAACAAAGTGAGACCCTGTGTCTAAGGCAGGTGTGGTGGCTCACATCTGTAATGCCAGCACTTTGGGAGGCTGAGGTGGGCGGATTGCTTTGAGCTCAGGAGTTCAAGACCAGCCTGGGCAATACAATGAAACCCCATCTCTACAAAAAATGCAAAACAATTAGCCAGGCATTGGTGGCTTGTACTTGTAGTCCCAGCTGCTTGGGAGGCTGAGACTGGAGAATCACTTGAGCCCAGAAAGCAGAGGTTGCAGTGAGCTGAGATCGTGCCACTGCACTCTAGCCTGGGTGACAGAGCGAGTCCCTCTCTCAAAGGAAAAAAAAAAAACAGACCCTGTGTCTACAAAAACAAAAAATACAATATCAGAAATGAAAGAAGGGACAACACTATGGAACTTATGGACATTAAAAAGATAATAAAGGAATGCTATGAAAAACTCTACGCTCACAAATTTGATAACCTAGGTGAAACAGACCAATCCATTCAAAGACACAATCTGCCAAAACTTGTACAAAAAGAAATAGACTATCTGAGTAGTACTATATATATTAAATAAATTGAATCGGTAACTAAGAACCTTCTAAAACAGAAAGCATCAGGCCCAGAAGGGTGTACTGGTGAATTCTACTATAATTTTAAAGAAGAATTTATACCAATTTTCAAAAGTCTCTTCCAGAAGACAGAAACAGAGGGAATATTTCCTGACTCATTCTATGAGCCCATAACCCTAATACCAAAATCAGACAAAGTTATAACAAGAAAAAAAAACTACAGGCTAATTTCTTTCATGAACATAGATGCAAAAATACTCAACAAAATATTATCAGATATAGCAATGGATAAAAAGAATTATATGCTATGACCAAATGGGATTTATTCCAGGCATGTAAGGCTGGTTCAACATTCAAAAGTCACTAATATAATGTATCAAATCAATAGGCTAAAGAAGAAAAGTCACATGATCACATGCATTTGATAAAATCCAACACTCATTCATGATAAAAACTCTCAGCACACTAGAAATACAGTGAAACTTCTTCAGCTTGATAGAGAACATTTACAGCTGGGCACAGCAGCCCATACCCATTAATCTAAGTGTTTTTGGGGGTCAACACAGAAGGATTACTTGAGGCCAGGAGGTTAAGACCAGCCTGGTCAACATAGCAAAACCCCATTGCTAAAAAATAAAAATAAAAAAGCGCCAGGTGCGGTGGCTTATGCCTGTAATCCCAGCACTTTGGGAGGCTGAGGCAGGTGGATCGCCTGAGGTCAGGAGTTCAAGACCAGCCTGGCCAACATGGTGAAACCCCGTCTCTACTAAAATACAACAATTAGCCAGGCATGGTGGCCTACGCCTGTAATCCCAGCTACTTGGGAGGCTGAAATAGGAGAACTGCTTGAACCCAGGAGGCGGAGGTTGCAGTGAGCTGAGCTCATGGCACTGCACTTCAGCCTGGGTGACAGAGTGAGACTCCATCTCAAAAAAAAAAAAAAAAAATTAGCCAGGCATGGCAGTATGCATCTATAGCCCTAGCTACTTGGTAGGCCAATATGTAAGTATCACTTGAGCCCCCAGTTCAAAGCTGGGGTGACCTATGATCACACCACTGGACTCCAGCCTGGGAGACAGAGCAAGACCCTGTATCTTAAATAAATAAATAAATTAATTAATTAATTAATTAAAACATCTACAAAAAATGAGAAAGTAGAAGCTTTCTTACTAAGATAAGGACAAGGCAAGGATGTCGTCTCTCACCACTGCTTTTCTACATTGCATTGAAAGTTCTAGACAATAAAATAGGGCAAATAAATAAATAAGTGGTATACAAATTGGGAAGAAAGAAGTAAAACTGTTTTTGTTCACAGATAACATGATTGCCTATGTAGAAAATCTGAAATAATCAATTCTTAAATGTGGGCTGCACATAGAGACTTCCTTTCATAGAGACTTCCTTTCAAAGAGTACAGTATGGAAATGATGAAAAAAAGAGTAACTTTAACAGTAAGGAAATGTGACAATCCGTCAATATCAACGGTGATAAATTATGTTAGAATGTAACTTTAATATGATGTGGTCTTCCTCCTGCAAACCCATAATCCCAGTCTAACCATGAGAAAAAAAATCAGATAAATTCCAGTAGAGAGGTAACCTATAAAATACATGGTCTGTACTCCTTGAAACTCAAGGTCATCCAAAACAAGAAAAATCTAAGTAAATATTACAGCCAAGAGAAGCCTAAGGAGACATGATAGCTCCTTAGCTAATGTGATGTGGTATCTTAGATGTAACCCTGAAACAGAAAAAGACATTAGGTAAAAGTAAAGAGACCTGAATAAGCTACTCAGCACATTAAGGCAAGAAAAAAAAAAGTCAAACACATAAGGAGTGGAAAGAAAAAAAATCATTTTTGAAGATACTTAGAACTGACTGTATACATAAACATTCAGAAGAACCCACATATAAATTATAAGACTCTGAGAGTTTAGTACAGCTGTTAGATATATAATCAATAGTTTAAGAAATCAATTTATTCTCACATCAGCAATAAAAAATACAAAAATTGAATTTAAAAATATATCATTTAAGATAGCAGAAAAGGCTGAGGTGGATCACCTGAGGTCAGGAGTTCGAGACCAGCCTGGCCAACATGGTGAAACCCCGTCTCTACAAAAAATACAAGATTAGCCGGGTGTAGTGGCACATGCCTGTAATCCCAGCTGCTCAGGAGGCTGAGGCAGGAGAATTGCTTGAACCCGGGAGGCAGAGATTGCAGTGAGCCGAGATCGTGCCATTGCACTCCAGCCTGGGCAACAAGAGAGAAACTCCATCTCAAAAAATAAATAAATAAATAAAAATTAAAAGATAGCATAAAAAATGAAATATCAAGAAATACATTTAACAAAAGATGATCTCTTTGGAGAAAATTATAAAACTCTATTGAGAGATATTAAGTGTATCTATAAACGAAGAGTTATATTATGTTCATAGATAGGAAGCTCAATATTATGAAGATAATCAATTTACTCCAAATTTATCTGTAGATTTACTATAGTCTCAATAAAACCCCCAGAATTTTTTTTTTTTTTTTACAGCTTAAAAACTTACTCTAAAATTTATTAAGATATGCCAAGGGCCAAAAAGAGAAAAAACATTCTTCAAGAAGAACAAGGTGGGAGATGAGAGAGGATTTGTCCTAGCAAATATCAAGACTTATTGTAAGCTATAATAATTAAGATCATATAGTGTTGGCTCAGTGGTAGATAAAATAATCAAGGGAACAGGATAGAGGCCTGGAAACAAGTCCACATATACACCAACACTTGATAAGTGACACTGTAGATCACTAGGGAAAGGATAAATGTTTCCACTAAACTTGCTGGGGTAACTGGGATCCCATATTGGAAAAATAGATTGGACTCTTTCCTTATTCCATAGATAAAAATCAATTTCAGACAAGTTAAAAGACTTACATTTAAAAGATAAACAATCAAGCTTTTGGAAGGTATTTAGGAGAAATTTTTTATAATCTTGGGACACGGTGGATTTTTTTCAACAAAACACAAAAAGCTCTACCCAAAAGGAAAATTATTGCAATTTTAGATTACACCAAAAGAACATATACACCCCAAAACACAATAAAAGAGTAAAAAGGTAAGACACATAATGAAAATTTGCAACATAAATATGACAAAGGATTTCTATGCAGAATATAGAAGAATGTCTATAAATCAATAAGAAAAAGACAATCTATAAGAAAAATGGGCAAAAAGGTTTGAATAGGTACTTCATAAAATAGAATATCCAAATTGTGACTAACTGTATAAACAGAGCTCAGCCTCACTAGCAATGGGGAAGTGAAAATAAAAACCACAATGAAGTACCACTATACTTACCAGAACAACTAAAATTAAAACAACTGCAAGTACTAAATGTTGATAATAGGAGTATGGAAACTCTCATATGTTACTAATGACAATGTAGTGAGGTTCAATCTCATTGAAAAATAGTGTGGCATTCTACACTAAAACAGAGAATACACATATACTGTCACCTAACAATCCTACTCTTAGCTAAGTCTCAACACTGGAGAAATATGTGCATATGTTCTTCAAGATACATGTACAAGAATGTACATCACAGCATTATTCATATTACATTTGAGTATATTACATTGGAAACAATGCAAATGTTCATCAACAATGAAATGATAAATTATGTATTTATATGTTATGTAAATTATACGCTATAACAGTAAAGTAGCATTCTGTGGAACACAAAAAGACAAATAAACCAATTAAGACTACTTGTAACAACGTGCACCAATGCCCAGAAATAATATTGGATAAAAAGAACAAAACACACACACACAGAGGCAACGTGACTCCATTTAAATAAAGTTCCCTAACAAGAAAACTAAAGTGTATTGTTTCAGAAAATGAGAAAAATATTACAAGAGTCAGGGTACTATATATCTTTAAGGAGAGAGTTTTAATCAGAAAGGAGCACATATGTAGGATGCAATTAAAGCAAGACATGGGGCAAATTTGTAGCTTTAAATGGCTATAATAGAAAAGAAGAACGATCTTAATAATCTTAAGACTTCAACTTCAGATCTAGAAAAGGAAAAGCAAACAAAACCCAAAACAAGTAGAATAAGAAAATAATAACAGGGTAAAAATAAAAGAAGTAGAAAAAACAAAAAAAATAGAAAATCAGTAAAATCAAAAAATGGTTCTTTGAAAAGATCAGCAAAATTGGCAAACCTTCAGGTAGATTGAACAAGATAAAGAGATAAAGCACAGATTACAAAAAAATCCGGAATGAAAGAGGAGATATTACCATTAATCCTACAAATATTAAAAGGACTATAAGTAAATACTATGAATAAATATATGCCAACAAATTAGATAATTTAGGTAATGTGGGCAAATTCCTAGAGCAACACAAATTGCCAAAATGGACTCATAAAGGAATAGAAAACATGAACAAACCTATGACAGGAAAAGAGATCGAATCAGTAATTTAAAGTATTTTCAAAGAAAAACATAGAACCCAGAGGCTTCACTGGTGAATTCTATCAAACATTTAGAGAAAAATTAGTACTGATAGTCCATAAACTTGTCCAGATCAATTGGGATTTATCCTAGGAATGCAGGATTGATTTAATACATGAAAATCAATTATGTAATATACCACATTAAGAGAATAAAAGGTAAAAACCACATAATAGTCTCAAAAGAAATTATAATGCAGAAAAAAATTTTGAAAAAAAATACCCTTTCATGACTAACTCCCACCCCCTCACAACGACACACTTTACAAACTAATAGTAGAAAGTAATTTTCTCAATCTAATTAAGGGAACCCATGAAAAACCCAAAACTAACATTATACTCAATAGCAAAAGACTGGATACTTTTTCCCTAAAATCAAGAAGAAGATAAGGATATCTGCTCTCACCACTTCCATTCAACATTTTACTGAAGGTTCTAGACAGGAAAATTAGGCAAAATAAAGCCATCAAGTTGGAAAGGAAGAGTAAAGGTATTTGCAGACAACATGATCTTGTATATATAAAATCCTAAAACATTTACTAAAAAATTTCCAGAGCTAATAGACAAGTTAGGCAAAATGTCAGATACAAGATGAATATACAAAAATCAATTGCATTTCTACATGTTAGCAATGAACAACTCAAAAAAGAGATTAAGAAAAAAATTCATTCAGAATGTAATTAAGAACAATAAACACTTTGGAATAAGTATAACAAAAGAAGTACAAAACTTGTACACTGCAAACTACAGAATATTTTTAAAATTAAACATCTAAATAAAGAGGAAGATACTCCATGTTCATAGATCAGAAGGTTAGATGGCAGTACTCCCCAAATTTTTCTACAGAGTTAATGCAATTCCTTTCTAAATCCCAGAAACTCACAAGCTGATCCGAAAATTCGTAAGAACACACAAAGGACTCTGATTAAAATAATCTTGAACAAAGTTGGAGAACTCATACTTCTCCATTTCAAAACTTACAACAATATTACACTAATCAAGATAGTGTAGTACTGGCATGAAGGTAAACATAGAATTGAGAGTCCAGAAATAAGCTCGTGTGTGTGGTCAATTGATTTTCAAGAAAGTGTCAAGACCATTCAATGGGGTGAAGAATAATCCTGTATTCAACAAATGGTGCTGGGCCAACTGAATAGCCACATGCAAAAGCATAATTTGTACCCCTACCCCACACCACATACAAAAATTAAGTCAAAATGAATCATAGACCTAAATATAATAGCTAAAACTATAACACTTTTAGAGGAAAACTGTAGGGAGTGAGTTCCAGAATTTCTGGACTGATCGAAGAAAAAGATATGATGAGCTGGCAGCAACATGCACAAGCTTTAGCAGGGTGCTGCTTTAGCAAGTAAGCAGGAGGAATGAGTCCTTCACATCTTGAAACTATCCGGAGTCTTGGAGGGACCACCATTCAGAAGGGGAGGAGAGCAAGGAAACTTCTAGGAAAGGGGATAAGTCAGAGGCACAGCAGGGAGTCTCAGGGTTAGTGAACTCAAAGGACAGCAGCAGCCTGGCAACTTTATAACACTGGGGCTTATCTTATCTATGGATAATAAATATTGCCAATTTCATGGAGTATGCAGATCAGGCCCTAAATGGCTAAAAATATGCTTATTTGGGCTATGTTTAAAACAATTGTGTGTGTACAATTTTAAGTCTGGTGCTGGCAGCCTTTGAGCCAATGGATCTCAGTCTGCTGTGAAGAAATAAACAACTTAAGAGCCAACACATAGAGAACATCTTTGAGTCATTTGTGAGGTTGGTGCAAAAGTAATCGCAGTTTTTGCCATTACTTTTCAAGATAAAAACCATGATTACTTTTGCACCAACCTATACTTTAGAAATATAGGAATATATCTATGTGACTTTGGGTCAGGCAATGATTTTGTAGATACAACACCAAAAGCACAGGCAAAAGAAGAAAAGAAATGAGAAATTTGACTTTATCAAAATTAAAAACATTTGCATTTCAAATGACACCATCAAGAAAATGAAAATAACCCAAAAGCTGCGAGAAAATATTTGCAAATTATATATCTGTAAGAACCTTGTATCAAGAATATACAAAAAACTTTAAAACTCAATAATAAGAAAACAACCCAACTAAAAATAATCAAAGGGGAGCCAGGCATGGTTGTGCACATCTGTAGCCCTAGCTACTCAGGAGGCTGAGGGAGGAGGATCACTTGAACCCAGGAGTTTGAGAGCAGCCTGGGCAACATAGCAAGACTCCCATCTTTAAATAAATAAAATAAAACAAACGATTTGAATAGACACTTCTCCAAAGAAGATATATAAATGGTCAGTAATGCGCATGAATAGAAGTTAACCATCCTTAGTCATGATAGAAACTCAAACCAAACTACAGTGAGATGGTACTTCACATCCATTAGGATAGGTATAAGAAAAAATGAAGGTAATATCAAGTGTTGCTGAGGTTGCAGAGAAACAGGAACCAACAAACACTGTTGTTGATAAACTTTGGAAAGGTTTGGCAGATTCTCAACATGTTAGAGTTTCTGTTGATCCAGCAATTCTACTCCTCGGTCTCCACCCAAAGAACTGAAAGCATATGTCCACACACACACACAAACCTGTATATAAATGTTCACTTTGCTACTACTCATAGCAGCCCGAAAGTACAAACAACCTAAATGTCTATCAATTAGTGGATAAATGTATACATCCATATATTGAAATACTATTTGGCAATAAAAAGGAATAAATTACAATACATGCTACAACATAGATGCATCTCAAAAAATTCTGCTAAATGAAAGCAGTCAGACCCAAAGACCGCATATGATATAATTCCATTTGTATGATATGTCCAGAATAGGCAAATTCACAGAGACAGTAGACCAGTGGTTATCAGAGACAATGGTGGGGGTGTAGACAGAAAATGGGGACTGACTGATCAAGGGCACATGGTTTCTTCATGAGGTGATGGAAAAATTCTAAAATTAGATTGTGAAGATGGTTGCACAACTCCATTAAGTATACTAAAGACCATTGAATGGTACACTTAAATCAGGTGAATTTTATGGTATTTAAATCATATTATCTATAAAGCTATTTTAAAAAGAAAGAAAGAAAGCAGCATATGAGAGATTTCTGGGGTGCTCACAGGTAATATTACATTTTCTTTTTTTTTTTAACCTAGGTTAAACTGGTGTTCATTTTCTAAGTGTTCTTCATTTATGGTTTTTGAGCTGTTCTGTATGTTATATTCCACAATAAAAACAATGAGGAAACTGCTGTTTCAAATATGCCTTTTCAAAGTATACTCACTCCTCACTTATTCTGATGTACAATTGTAAGTAAAGTTTGACCTCTCAAGAGAGAGCAGCCCACTCCTGCAACAAGCTATAACCAAGTATAATCAAGCTATAATCTGCTATAATTAAGGAAGGTCCTACTGCAAACAGGTTTGGCTTTCAAGTCAGCCAAACTGCCTGGATGGAGTGTCTTCCAGTGACAAGTTCTGGAAGTTTTGAGTTATATTTTAATAAGAGAAGTGCTTCCTGTACACTATGCATGAGTAATAATGATGATTGTAATAATTAGATTACACTTAAAGGGCAAAATACTAAAGAAAAAGTCATTGCAAATTTCATATTTTTCATTCTCATTCACTTGTTAAAACATCTTCTTTGGAAATAATCGTAGACTCACAGAAATTTGCAAAAATAGTCCAGAGTCCCCTGTACCCTTCAGTTAGCTTCCCCAATAGTGATCTCTTATGTAACTGTATTACTGTATTACAATATCAAAACCGGGAAATTGACATTGGTACAATACTGTTAACTAGAGCACAGACTTTATTCTCATGTCACCAGTTTTCACAGGCATCTATTTGTGTGTGTGTGTGCGTGTGTGTATACAGTTCTATGAAATTTTATTCTATGCTTTAATTTGTGTAGCCATCACTACTCTCACATAACTCAGGCCAGGCGAGCTTACTAAGGGTGGAAGTCGGACTCCCTGCTCCACTGGGTCCCGCCTGCCCTTCAGTCTCATGCCTGCCCAGCCCTCTGACCACCTGGAATGGAATGAGTCTGTGCGCTCTCTCCAGATAAGCGTGCGGGGCCTTCCTGTGCTTGCGCCCATGACCAAGGCCATGGACAATGACACTTACCCCCTGGTTGCCTTCCAGAGGACGCCAGGTAGGATTCAATACCCAGTCGCAGTCATTGCTGACCTGGGCACAGGGTCAAGGGCCCAAGAAGAAAACACCTGGTTCAGTTACCTGAAAAGGGGATACCCAACCCTATCAGACAGCAGGGACAGGGTGGTGGTGAAATGAAACAAAGACCACTGCATTCTAGAGTCCCACCTGGCGGAAAGTGGAGAGGGGCATGGAGCTCTCGGATCTGAACGTCTCTGGTGGGAAACTACTCTATGGACCAAGTGAGAGGGGTGACCTATCAGATAGATGGCAGCAAGGCCGTGTCTCGGGTAATTCTCTCCGAAGGCGATGGGGCAGTGGAGAAGGGGTTCATGGCAGTGGAGGGCCAGCGTCTGTAGGGGGGCAGCCTGGGCAAGGAGGGGACATAGTGACTGAGAACGTGGAATGGGTGAGAGTGGCAGGCCACAAGGGCAGCGTGGACCACAAGAACTGGGTGTGCAGCTGCAATGCTCCCAGGGCCGCCACGGAAATCCGACCGCCAGGCTGCCTCACACCCCTAGTCCGCCTGCTGGAAAGTGCTGCAGCGCCGGTCCTGCCCCCAGCGGTGCAGCGAGGACTCCTGAGCACCACCCAGGACTTCGGTTACATTTCCGTCAGCCACATGGGGGAGGTGGGCCCCGCGCACGTTAAAGTTCATTCTTCAAGTTCATCCCCAACACCAACGACCACATCATTGTGGACCTCAAGTCCAAAGAGGACAGCGGCCAAATCGCCACCTGTATCATGGTCTTTCTCTCTCGACGGACTAGTCCTTCTGCCAGGCACCAAAATTCGAAGTGTAAAGTATGAAGGAACAAAATTTATTTAAATTTTAAAAATTAAAACATTAAGCAAGGCTGAGGGGTGGGCAGTTTTCAGCTACATTGGAACTCACATTTTATAAATGCCGAAGGACTGCACTTTTGTTTTATTTTGTTTTTGGAACAATGAGGTGTATACTTGGTTTAGAGATCTCCAAAACAGGGAGTTCAGTCCCAGGCTGAGAAAAGGGGCAGAGGTTCAGGAACCTCGAGGTTGCCCTGGCCAGAACTTTTCTCTGTGCTGCCAGCTCATGGTAAAATTGATCACTGCAGGCAACTTCATAGGGGGTCTAGTTTTTGAATTGGTCATGCGCTTTCTTCCATCTGACCTCCCTTTCTTCTCTTTACCTTTGTTCTTTTGTTTGATAAGTATTCCTGGAGCTCCTACTATGTGTGAAGCACTGCCCCACCCTGGAAATACAATGAGTATGAGGAGGATCTGCCTGCTAGGAACTCCCAGGCCACCCCCTTTTCTTCCTACTTTATGAGCCTTGGATTTATGTCCACCCTACCAGATCCTTGGAAAAGAAAATGTTTACATTGCAAGACACTGTAGGGCTATGGACAAGGGCAGGCCCCTGGGGGGGACACATTTACCCACACCTGCCACAGGAAAGAACACAAGCCTATCTGTTTTTTCCACACTTCAGATGAAACCATCTCCACCTCATATGGCCAATGACTCTCTGTTTTCTTTCTTCAGGAAACTTCTATGGGTGGGTAGCACTTTGAAGTTTTAATTATTAACCTATTTTAATAAAAGTGAATTCCTTTCTTGGAATCACTAAATCTTCTCCCACAACACAAAGCCCTGTAGTTAATAAATCCATTCCCAGTGGCAGAAGAGATCACAACGAAGCAGTGACAACTGGTCAAGCAAGTTTATAAAAGTCTGAGTTCTTGGCCAATGTATACTAAAGAAAACATTGCCTTTTTCTGAGACCAAGTAGGAACGGAGCTTGGCTTCAGCCTATATCGACTAGAGCATTCTTTTGTGCATCCCCACTCACCACAAACCCACACTACTACCTTGCTTAGGCCACAATGTTTGAACCATACCTTTTACTTAAATAATTCCAGAAACTGGCCTTAGGAGATAACCAAGGTTGTTGAGTGTCCCACATAGGTAAGGAATGCTGAGCCATTGATTTACACTGTTGCTGTAGCCAGCCAGATCACCAGGTTGCCCATTATTGAAGATAACCACTGTAACCAGATATGCTGACTGGCATACCCTACCCTTCACACTTTCCCAGCCCATCCTGCATACCCTACCCCTGAAGTCAATTCCCATGCTTTGCCTAATTTAAAAAAAAAAAAAAAAAAAAAAAAAAGCCCTACTGGCTTCAGTCAGGGAATTCTCTCTCTCTTGTGCTGCCTCTCTTATGTCCAGGTATAAACTCCAATAATGCCTTGTCTGGGGAAACTTTTTCAGTCTCATGCCAATTTCTGTGCATTAACGGCCCAAGAACCCAGAGTTGGTACCATTTCTAGCAACTGTTAGAAATTGTCATGCCTTTCAAGACTTTTATGAATCACTTGAATTTTTTATTTCCTGACTCCAATGGGACCCTAGTTTCCAACAGGCCTACTGTTGACCCTTGACCCTGGGGCTCCTTTATTCTGGACATAGTCTGTGAATAAGGCCTGTCATTTCCCTAGAGTTTCTTTCCATGGCCTTTATTTCTCCTCTTTCCAACGGCAATTTTGCAACCCCTACTCCGTGGAAATGTCACACTAACTTTGGCTTGTCATTTGGCCCCTGCTGTCTTTTCTGGACACTCCAAGGTAAAGGCAGAGTTGGGTTTGAGACAGAGGTTAGGCACGCCCACAGCTGAGAAAAGATGTTTCCTTCAGTCACAGTGCTCCTCCCCCACAGCAGTTATCTCACCCCAACCCCCACAGGATAGTGTAGGGCATGCAGTAGGCAGGAGGACCACAGACTCTGATTGTCCCCATGCTGGTCCCAGTGGACTCTGTGGGCTCTGGCTGTGCCTGTGCTTGCCCTTCACAGATCTCTTCCCCTTTGAAACACAGCTGTGAGGAGGGAAGCCAGGAAGGACCCCTCTCACACAGTGGTGGTCTGTTTCTTCCATTACAGAATAAGTAGCAGAAAAAGTAAAGGCAGGTTCCTGAATGTGACACATTTCTCAAGAACTCAGATCTCACCAAGTATAGCCTGCAAGACCCAAGTCTGTTCTAATTTTGCCTGGCTGGGCTCTCTGATCCTCCTCAATTATTGTCCACGATATTCAGGCTCTGTCATTTAAAAAATACAGAGAGAGAAAATCAGGAAGGCTGGAGCATGTGGGACAGTCACTAAATTGAGACCTTTCTGATGTGTTAATATCAGCATCTGAGCCATAGCCCAGGTGCCTGGAAGTAGCATTTTCATACAGTCAGTGGTTTTCAAATACTTTAAGGCTAACATTTTTTCTTTCCCTCTATATTTCTGACAGTCAGCATAATGATTGTGTTTGTTCCCTACTGGATCCATTTGTTTTATAAAGTCTGACAGGAATGTGAAGAACAAAAAGATATATAGTTCTTGTGGAACGTGCTGGAGCACACCTGTAGTACCAGCTACAGCTTGGGTGGCTTAGGGAGGAGGCTCATTTAAGCCCCAGGTTTCAAAGTTACAGTGAACTGTGATTGCACCACTGCACTCCAGCCTGGCTGACAAAGCGAGACCCCCATCTCAAAAAAACAAACAAAATGACATATAACTCTTCTATCACCACCAAGGAACTTCCTCAGTGAAACTCCCAAGGACTACCCTTTACAGTCACATCCCCACTGTTCATATCCTCTGGCAACCACTGATTGCCCAGCTATCCTTACAATGTTGTCATTTCAAGAATGGTATGTAGAAGGAATCTACATTACATTGCTTTTTTAAACCTTCCAAACCTTTTTTTTTTTTTTAAAGCATTTCAGCCCCAAAGACCCTCCAGCTAGTTCTCTTTCTCCTTTTCTTTATAGCCAGGTATACTTTTTGTGGTTGTTGTTTCTGCACACCTAACAGCTTACTAGTTTTCTTCCTACATTTTCAGTCCTTTTTTGTTTGCTTTGTAGATGGATCCTTCCTCTATCTGGTCATTCAATGTTGTAGCTCCTCAAGGCTCAGTTCTGTGTCCTGTTCATTTGACACTTTTTCCCTACAGAGTCTCCTCCATACTCTTGGCTTCAATTATCTCCTGAACACAAATGACTTTCAAACACATATATGGGCAGACCTTGAGCCACAAAGTTGTATCTGTATAGCTAACTGCCTTTCATACATATCTATTTGGATGTCTTAAAGACACCTGAAACTTAGCATATCCAAAATTCAGCTCAGTGCATCTCACTCATTCTCATCCTTCAAATGTCCTTCATGACAACCTGTTATCTTCAACGACTCCCTTTCTCTCCCTACCCTATAGCTAAGTCAAATCCATTAATCTTACCTCTTAATTCTCTCTCATAACCATCTTCCCTGTCACCCTAATCTAAGCCATCACCATGGCCCTCTGGGCCACCGCCATAGACCCCTAACTGGTCACCCTACATTCACTCTTTCTCTAATTTGTTCTTTCCACAATGACCAGAATAACATAGTTATTTAATTTTAAATTTTTGTGAGTATATAGATGTATATAATTGTGGGGTATATGAGACGTTTTGACACAAGCACGCAACGCATAATAATGTCATGAAGAATGAGGCAGAATAACATAGATTAAATGGAAATTTAAAATAATTCCACCCTATCAACCTTTTATTCCACGTCAGTCTCCTGTCATTGTTCCTAGGAGAAACAGCAAAATTCCTAACATAGCCTAGAAGGTGAAGCATATGTAATGACCCCTACGCACTTCCTCCAGCTTATTTTGTACTATGTTCTTCCTCCTAATGATAGCTGGTCTTCTTTCATTTCCTCAATGTACAACCCTATACCCAGAATATTCTTTTTTGATCCCTTCCTCACAGATTTAACTCTCCTTATTGTTATGGGAAGTCAGGGACCCCAAACGGAGGGACCGGCCGGAACTGTGTCAGAGGACCATAAATTGTGAAGATTTCATCTTAATATGGACATTTATCAGTTCCCAAATAATACTTTTATAATTTTTTATGCCTGTCTTTACTTTAATCTCTTAATCCTATTATCTTCGTAAGCTGAAGATGTATGTCACCTCAGGACCACTGTCATGATTGTGTTAACTGTACACATTGATTGTAAAACATGTGTTTGAACAATGTGAAATCAGTGCACCTTGAAAAAGAACAGAATAATACCGATTTTTATGGAAAAAGGGAAGTCAACCGTAACATCTGACTGCCTGCAGGGTCAGGCAAAAAGAGCCATATTTTTCTTCTTGCAGAGAGCTTATAAATGTACATGCAACTAGGAAAGATATTGCTAAATTCTTTTCCTAGCAAGGAATATTAATATTAATACCCTGGGAAAATATTGCGTTCCTTGGGGGAGGTCTATAAACGGCCGCTCTGGGACTGTCTGTCTTGTGCAGTTGAGATAAGGACTGAAATATGCCCTGGTCTCCTGCAGAACCCTTAGGCTTACTAGGGTTGGGAAAATTCCACCCTGGTAAATTTATGGTCAGACCGGTTCTTTGCTCTTGAACCCTGTTTTCTGTTGTTTAAGATGTTTATCAAGACAAAACGTGTCAGGTGGTTCCAAGATGGCTGAATAGGAACAGCTCCAGTCTACAGCTCCCAGCGTAAGCAACACAGAAGACGGGTGATTTCTGAATTTCCAACTGAGGTACCGGGTTCATCTCACTGGGGCTCATCAGACAGTGGGGGCAGGACAGTGGGTGCAGCCCACCAAGTGTGAGCTGAAGCAGGGCGAGGCATCGCCTCACCTGGGAAGCACAAGGGGTCAGGGAATTCCCTTTCCTAGCCAAGGGAAGGGGTGACAGATGGCACCTGGAAAATCATGTCACTCCCACCCTAATACTGCACTTTTCCAATGGTATTAGCAAATGGCACACCAGGAGATTATATCCCATGCCTGACTCAGAAGGTCCCACGCCCACAGAGCCTCGCTCATTACCAGCACAGCAGTCTGAGATCGAACTGCAAGGTGGCAGCGAGGCTGGGGGAGGGGCACCCACCATAGCTGAGGCTTGATTAGGTAAACAAAGCGGCCAGGAAGCTCGAACTAGGTGGAGCCCACCACAGCTCAAGGCCTGCCTGCCTCTGTAGACTCTACCTCTGGGGGCAGGGCATAGCCAAACAAAAGGCAGCAGAAACCTCTGCAGACTTCAATGTCCCTGTCTGACAGCTTTGAAGAGAATAGTGGTTCTCCCAGCATGGAGTTTGAGATCTGAGAACAGACAGACTGCCTCCTCAAGTGAGTCCCTGACCCCCGAGTAGCCTAACTGGCAGGCACCCCCTAGTAGGGGCAGACTGACACCTCACACTGCTGGGTACCTCTCTGAGACGAAGCTTCCAGAGGAACAATCAGGCAGCAACATTTGCTGTTCAGCAATAGTCACTATTCTGCAGCCTCCACTGCTGACACCCAGGCAAACAGGGTCTGGTGTGGACCCACAGCAAACTCCAACAGACCTGCAGCTGAGGGTCCTGACTGTTAGAAGGAAAACTAATCAACAGGAAGGACATCCATACCAAAACCCCATCTGTACGTCACCATCAAAGACCAAAGGTAGATAAAACCACAAAGATGGGGAAAAAACAGAGCAGAAAAGCTGAAAATTCTAAAAATCAGAGCACCTCTCCCCCTCCAAAAGAACACAGCTCCTTACCAGCAATGGAACAAAGCTGGACGGAGAATGACTTTGACAAGTTGCGAGAAGAGGTCTTCAGACGATCAAACTTTTCCGAGCTAAAGGAAGAAGTTCGAACCCATCGCAAAGAAGCTAAAAACCTTGAAAAAGGATTAGATGAATGGCTAACTAGAATAACCAGTGTAGAGAAGTCTTTAAATGACTTGATGGAGCTGAAAACCAGGCACAAGAACTACGTGACAAATGCACAAGCTTCGGTAGCTGATTCGATCAACTGGAAGAAAGGGTATCAGTGATGGAAGATCAAATGAATGAAATGAAGCGAGAAGAGAAGTTTAGAGAAAAAAGAATGAAAAGAAACGAAGAAAGCCTCCAAGAAATATGGGACTATGTGAAAATACCAAATCTACGTCTGATTGGTGTACCTGAAAGTGACAGGAAGAACGGAACCAAGTTGGAAAACATTCTTCAGGATATTATCCAGGAGAACTTCCCCAATCTAGCAAGGCAGGCCAACATTCAGATTCAGGAAATACAGAGAATGCCACAAAGATAACTCCTCGAGAAGAGCAACTCCAAGACACATAATTGTCAGATTTACCAAAGTTGAAATGAAGGAAAAAATGTTAAGGGCAGCCAGAGAGAAAGGTCGGGTTACCCACAAAGGGAAGCCCATCAGACTAACAGCGGATCTCTTGGCAGAAACTCTACAAGCCAGAAGAGAGTGGGGGCCCATATTCAACATTCTTAAAGAAAAGAATTTTCAACCCAGAATTTCATATCCTGCCAAACTAAGCTTCATAAGTGAAGGAGAAATAAAATCCTTTACAGACAAGCAAATGCTGAGAGATTCTGTCACCGCCAGGCCTGCCCTACAAGAGCTCCTGAAGGAAGTACTAAACATGGAAAGGAACAACTGGTACCAGCCACTGCAAAAACATGCCAAATGGTAAAGACCATCAATGCTAGGAAGAAACTGCATCAACTAATGAGCAAAATAAGCAGCTAACATCATAATGACAAGATCAAATTCACACATAACAATATTAACCTTAAATGTAAATGGGCTAAATCCTCCAATTAAAAGACACAGACTGGCAAATTGGATCAAGAGTCAAGACCCATCAGTGTGCTGTGTTCAGGAGACCCATCTCACATGCAGAGACACACATAGGCTCAAAATAAAGAGATGGAGGAAGATCTACCAAGCAAATGGAAAACATAAAAAGGCAGGGGTTGCAATCCTAGTCTCTAATAAAACAGACTTTAAACCAACAAAGATCAAAAGAGACAAAGAAGGCCATTACATAATGGTAAAGGGACCAATTCAACAAGAAGAGCTAACTATCCTAAATATATATGCACCCAATACAGGAGCACCCAGATTCATAAAGCAAGTCCTTAGAGATCTACAAAGAGACTTAGACTCCCACACAATAATAATGGGAGAATTTAACACCCCACTGTCAACATTAGACAAACCAACGAGACAGAAAGTTAACAAGGATATCCAGGAATTGAACTCAGCTCTGCACCAAGTGGACCTAATAGACATCTACAGAACTCTCCACCCCAAATCAACAGAATATACATTCTTCTCAGCACCACATCACACTTATTCCAAAATTGACCACATAGTTGGAAGTAAAGCACTCCTCAGCAAATGTAAAAGAACAGAAATTATAACAAACTGTCTCTCAGACCACAGTGCAATCAAACTAGAACTCAGGATTAAGAAACTCAGTCAAAACCACTCAACTACATGGAAACTGAACAACCTGCTCCTGAATGACTACTGGGTACATAACAAAATGAAGGCAAAAATAAAGATGTTCTTTGAAACCAATGAAAACAAAGACACAACATACCAGAATCTCTGGGACACATTTAAAGCAGTGTGTAGAGGGATATTTACAGCACTAATGCCCACAAGAGAAAGCAGGAAAGATCTAGAATTGACACCCTAACATCACAATTAAAAGAACTAGAGAAGCAAGAACAAACACATTCAAAAGCTAGCAGAAGGCAAGAAATAACTAAAATCAGAGCAGAACTGAAGGAGATAGAGTCACAAAAAACCCTTCAAAAAATCAATGAATCCAGAAGCTGATTTTTTGAAAAGATCAATGAAATGTATAGACCGCTAGCAAGACTAATAAAGAAGAAAAGACAGAAGAGTCAAATAGACACAATAAAAAATGATAAAGGGGATATCACCACCAATCCCACAGAAACACAAATTACCATCAGAGAATACTATAAACACCTCTACACAAACAAACTAGAAAATCTAGAAGAAATGGATAAGTTCCTGGGCATATACACCCTCCCAAGAATAAGCCAGGAAGAAGTTGAATCTCTGAATAGACCAATAACAGGCTCTGAAATTGAGGCAATAATTAATAGCCTACCAACCAAAAAAAGTCCAGGACCAGATGGATTCACAGCCGAATTCTACCAGAGGTACAAAGAGGAGCTGGTACAATTCCTTCTGAAACTATTCCAATTAATAGAAAAAGAGGGAATCCTCCCTAACTCATTTTATGAGGCCAGCATCATCCTGATACCAAAGCTGGGCAGAGACACAACAAAAAAAAAAGAGAATTTTAGACCAATATCCCTGATGAACAGTAATGCAAAAATCCTCAATAAAATACTGGCAAACCAAATCCAGCAGCACATCAAAAAGCTTATCCACCATGATCAAGGGGGCTTCATCCCTGGGATGCAAGGCTGGTTCAACATATGCAAATCAATAAACGTAATCCAGCATATAAACAGAACCAAAGACAAAAACCACTTGATTATCTCAATAGATGCAGAAAAGGCCTTTGACAAAATTCAACATCCCTTCATGCTAAAAACACTCAATAAATTAGGTATTGATGGGACGTATCTCAAAATAATAAGAGCTATTTATGACAAACCCACGGCCAATATCACACTGAATGGGCAAAAACTGGAAGCATTCTCTTTGAAAACTGGCACAAGACAGGGATGCCCTCTCTCACCACTCCTATTCAACATAGTGTTGGAAGTTCTGGCCAGGGCAATCAGGCAGGAGAAAGAAATAAAGGGTATTCAATTAGGAAAAGAGGAAGTCAAATTGTCCCTGTTTGCAGGTGACATGATTGTATATTTAGAAAACCCCATCATCTCAGTCCAAAATCTCCTTAAGCTGATAAGCAACTTCAGCAAAGTCTCAGGATACAAAATCAATGTGCAAAAATCACAAGCATTCTTATACACCAATAACAGACAAAGAGCCAAATCATGAGTGAACTCCCATTCACAATTGCTTCAAAGAGAATAAAATACCTAGGAATCCAACTTACAAGGGATGTGAAGGACCTCTTCAAGGAGAACTACAAACCACTGCTCAAGGAAATAAAAGAGGACACAAACAAATGGAAGAACATTCCATGCTCATGGATAGGAAGTATCAATATCATGAAAATGGGCATTATGCCCAAGGTAATTTATAGATTCAATGCCATCCCCATCAAGCTACCAATGACTTTCTTCACAGAATTGGAAAAAACTACTTTAAAGTTCATATGGAACCAAAAAAGAGCCTGCATTGCCAAGACAATCCTAAACCAAAAGAACAAAGCTAGAGGCATCATGCTACCTGACTTCAAACTATACTACAAGGCTACAGTAACCAAAACAGCATGGTACTGGTACCAAAACAGAGATATAGACCAATGGAACAGAACAGAGCCCTCAGAAATAATACCACACATCTACAACCATCTGATCTTTGACAAACCTGACAAAAAGAAGAAATGGGGAAAGGATTCCCTATTTAGTAAATGGTGCTGGGAAAACTGGCTAGCCATATGTCGAAAGCTGAAATTGGATCCCTTCCTTACACCTTATACAAAAATTAATTCAAGATGGATTAAAGACTTCAATGTTAGACCTAAAACCATAAAAACCCTAGAAGAAAACCTAGGCAATACCATTCAGGACATAGGCATGGGCAAGGACTTCATGTCTAAAACACCAAAAGCAATGGCAACAAAAGTCAAAATTGACAAATGGGATCTAATTAAACTAAAGAGCTTCTGCACAGCAAAAGAAACTACCATCAGAGCGAACAGGCAACCTACAGAATGGGAGAAAATTTTTGCAATCTACTCATCTGACCAAGGGCTAATATCCAGAATCTACAAAGAACTCAAATTTACAAGAAAAAAACAAACAACCCCATCAAAAAGTGGGCAAAGGATATGAACAGACACTTCTCAAAAGAAGACATTTATGCAGCCAACAGACATATGAAAAAATGCTCATCATCACTGGCCATCAGAGAAATGCAAATCAAAACCACAATGAGATACCATCTCACACCTGTTAGAATGGTGATCATTAAAATGACAGGAAACAACAGGTGCTGGAGAGGATGTGGAGAAATAGGAACACTTTTACACGTTGGTGGGACCGTAAACTAGCTCAACCATTGTGGAAGACAGTGTGGCGATTCCTCAAGGATCTAGAACTAGAAATACCATTTGACCCAGCCATCCCATTACTGGGTATATACCCAAAGGATTATAAATCATGCTTCTATAAAGACACATGCACAAGTATGTTTATAGCGGCACTATTCACAATAGCAAAGACATGGAACCAACACAAATGTCCATCAATGATAGACTGGATTAAGAAAATGTGGCACATATACACCATGGAATACTATGCAGCCATAAAAGTGATGAGTTCATGTCCTGTGTAGGGACATGGATGAAGCTGGAAACCATCATTCTCAGCAAACTATTGCAAGGACAAAAAAACCAAACACCGCATGTTCTCACTCATAGGTGGGAATTGAACAATGAGAACACTTGGACACAGGAAGGGGAACATCACACACCGGGGCCTGTTGTGGGGTGGGGGAAGGGGGGAGGGAAAGCATTAGGAGATATACCTAATGTAAATGACGAGTTAATGGGTGCAGCACACCAACATGGCACATGTATACATGTGTAGCATATCTGCATGTTGTGCACATGTACCCTAGAACTTAAAGTTCTAGGGTAATAATAATAATAATAATAAAATTTTAATAATAATAATAATAAAATAAAATAAAAAATTTAATAATAATAAAAAAAGACAATACATGCAGCGCACTGCTGAACATAGATGCTTATCAGTGGTTCTGCTTTTGTCCTTTGCCCTGTGATCTTTATTGGACCCTTATCAGTGGTTCTGCTTTTACCCTTTGCCCTGTCCCCTCAGAAGCATGTGATCTTTGTTGGACCCTTATCAGTGGTTCTGCTTTTTGCTCTTTGAAGCATGTGATCTGTGTACCTACTCTCTGTTCTTACACCCCCTCCCCTTTTGAAACCCTTAATAAAAACTTGCTGGTCTGAGACTCAGGCGGGCATCATGGTCCTACTGATACGTGATGTCACCCCTGGCGGCCCAGCTGTAAAATTCTTCTCTTTGTACTGTCTCCCTTTATTTCTCAGCCAGCCGACACTTATGGAAAATAGAAAGAAACTATGTTGAAATACTGGGAGCAGGTTCCCCCAATGCCTTATACTTTAGGTCTCAGTTCAATCAGTAGCCCCACTGGGAATTCCCTGACTCCCCATATAAGGTCAAATCCCACCGTGACACAGCCTCACATCACTTTCTCTCTCATCACTTTCAAACTGATTTTTTTTTTTTTTGAGATGGAATCTTGCTCTGTCACCCAGGCTGGAGGGCAGTGGCGTGGTCTCAGCTCACTGCAACCTCCGCTTCCCGGGTTCACACCGTTCTCCTGCCTCAGCCTCCTGAGTAGCTGGGACTACAGGCGCCCGCCACCACGCCTGGCTAATTTTTTGGTTTTTTTTTTTGGTATTTTTAGTAGAGACGGGGTTTCACCGTGTTAGCCAGGATGCTCTCGATCTCCTGACCTCATGATCCACCCGCCTCGGCCTCCCAGAGTGCTGGGATTACAGGCGTGAGCCACCGCGCTCAGCCAATAATTTCATTTTTAATTATGAGGTTGGTTGATTAATATCTGTGTCCCCTAGAAAACTGTAAGCTATGCAAGGGAAGGAACCAAGTTTGTTTTAGGTTTCCGTTGCACCCCCACAGCCTAGCGCACATGAGGATTTCAACAAATATTTGTTGAGAGAATAAATCAACATTGAAACTAATGGCTCACAACAGTCATTCTTACAACCCTTTTTATAAACCTGAGATTTAAACATGTCACCACTCCTAAAATATCTTTAGAACAGCTTTATATTTACTTGAGAACTAGAACTTAGCAAAATGTTATAATAATATGTGTTTAATTAAATATACTACAGAAAGCACCCCCCCCTTTATGACTAGGTAGTGGTCTAAATGTTTATTTTATACTGCACTTGATATTTTCCCATAAAAACAAGTTGCGAATGGCAAGTAAGTTCTAACCAGCCCACAAAAATCTTACTTACCCCATGAAGTAGTCAACATTGTATTGATTGGAGCTTTAAGACTAACTGCACTTTTGATCCATGAATTCAGTGTACCATTTAGTCCAGAGCACCCCTCAAGTCCAAACCCTGGGTCTTCCATGCCCATTCAGCCTTTAGTATCTCTCTGGATCCTAAAGCTTTCTGAGACCTGAGCAAAGCAGTAAGTAATGTCTTGACAGAAGGAAAGCTCCAAAAACAAGATCTGCTAGCAGCCACAGAAAAAAGAAGGGAAGTATACAGAAAAGGCAGTGTTGCTGATAAGGGGGTTGGGTAAAGTGGACAGGGTTGCAGAGAGGGCTCAAGCAGATAGAATATCAAGGGTAAGCAGGGTGCGATACAAGCAAGTTCTATACCCAAGTAACTGAGTGAATTGTAAATCAGGTGTTCTGAAGATGGCAAACACTATATATTTGAAAACTGTTTTAACATCCTAAATCCCTCCCCATCCCCCAGCAAGAACTCTCAATTCTTATATCTAGTTACAGAAGACGTGAAGACAAACCATCAAAAATAAATATCCTAAATTCAGTAGAAAAACAATACACACCATACCTTTGTTCCATTCCGAGTAGGCAGGGGCCAAACAGCACAAGAGCAGCTCCCCAGAGAAAGCTGAAATGGAGTGAGGTTGAAATCTTCTTTTAAATAACGTTTAAAACTTCTAGAAAGGTTGCAGCCTGAACAATTCAATTTGCTTGGTAACAAATTTAATCAGATTTTATTGTAGCCAGAAAACCTTTCCGAAAGTAATTACGAGAGCACAGCAGGCAAGAGCACAGCAGGCGAGTCAGACTTCTGGTGACATGAACACTCAGCCTGCTGATATGAATTTCAGTTGTCTTCATATATCTGCCAACCTTACCATTACCCTCCCAGCTCCACCCACAGAGCCTAGCAAAGAGCACTTCAGATAAACTCTGAATTCCCCACCAGCACAGGAGTATGAAGTGTGTACTTTAGATAAACTCCGAATTCCCCACCAGCACAGGAGTATGAAGGGTGTGTGTGTGTGTGTGTGTGTGTGTGTGTGTGTGTGTGTGTATGTGTTCATACATGTGTGTCTGAAAGCACATGTATGTTTTTGCAGATACATGAATGTAGTGTCAGAGGAGAAAATATTAAGGAGAACTTAATATATCACTCCCTAATTTTTTGTATCCTTCTGTAAGTCATCCTGTCATAAACACAGATTTTGGTTTTCTTTGTAATATAATAAGAATTGCTTTGTTGTAAAAGAAAAGACCTCTGTATAGTATTTCCCACCGGGGCATACAGTTTAGGCCTGGCCTCTGTTCCTTCCCGATCCCTACCCTCCCCTGACTGTACTGTCCTCTCAACCCTGAGGGCTCAGACTAGTGGGAATTCAGAATCCAAGTCTAAATCTCTTCAGACATCTGTATGCCACTTGGTTTATTTTCCCCAGTTTGATAAATATCCTGTCTTGCCCAGTCACTGTTTCAGCTCTAGCAAGCAGGTGTTCTATGTTTCTTTAAACAAACACAATACAGTGAAGAACTAGCTGGCATTGTGCCTGCCCAGGTATTTTCAAAAACTCACCTTAAGTCCTCCCCGCTTCATTAAAATCAATTCCTCCTTTTCCCACTGAGTGCTCTTTCTCCTGAATCCCTGGAGAATTCTGTGCCTCAAAATTTGCACTTAAAAAAAAAAAAAAGCAACACTAAATTCTCTTTTATGTTAGTCTTGTCTCTCCAACTAGATTATAAGTTTCCGAAGCACTGGCAATGTGACTTTGAACTTGTATTTACCACAACGTTTAAAATTCTGTGTAGGAAACAACTAAGCAATTCTCACGAAACAGCAAGAGGACAGTTGTAACCACATCTTATTCTAGTTGGAGAAATGTCTGATAGTAGGATAAAGGAAGAAAAGACTGCTATGTAGAGCAATTCTTCTAAGTAACACCTGCCCTCAAAATATCCTTTTCCTCTCCAAATCAAGAAGGTCTCTCAAATTATTCCTTCCCTAGTTCTAGATGACATCACATGACATTTTTTAAAGTGAGGTATGACTTACATATAGTAATGTGCACTAATCTTGAATGTATAGCTCTATGACTTTTTTACGCAGGTATACATTCATGTAACTACCTCCCACATCAAGATATAGAAAATTTCTAGGACTCCAGCTAACTCCTTCCCAGTCAACATCCACTCAAATGATAGCCACTCCTCTAATCTGTATCACCACAGACTGGTTATGCCTACTCTTAAATTTTGTATAAATGGAATCATATGCTGTTTTGTATCTGGCCTCTTTCTCCTACCATTATGATTGTGGGATTTATCCATATTGTAAACATATTTCATGTTATGTGCATATTTTATTGCATGTTAAATAAATTCTACGTAAGCCTCACATAGGAAAAGAAAGCAGGAAACCACCAGAAGGAACTGAACCCTGAGATGCACAATTGCTTAGGGAACCCACAGGATTTGCCAACATTGAGAAAAATAGACCTCTGATTAGAAATAAAAGCCATCTATTTTCTCTTATACAAGAAACATTAGACATATGGGAAAAATTAGCTGCCAGAAATAAGCTGAACAATCAGGGCAAAGATATCTTTCTGCAAGATAGATTTAGTAAAGAAAACAAGGAAGAATTTTCAGAAAAAGAAATTTAGTGCATCAAGGAATAAAAAGGGATTATAATAGCAGGAACCTGAATTCTCTGAAGGAGAGAACAGGTGTGGCAACATCTTTTTGACTTAAATATCAGATAGAAACAAAGAGGACTTTAGAATTCAGGTAAAGGGAGTTCTGTCTGGAAGATAAGAAAGGCAGAGAACAGAGGCCCTTTCTCTTTTTTGATTTCCAACTTTTAAGTTCAGGGGTACATGTTCAGGATGTGCAGGTTTGTTACACAGGTAAACACGTGCCATGGCAGGTACTGCACAGACCATCCCATCACCTAGGTACTAAGCCCTGCTAGCATCCATTAGTGATTCTTCCTTTCAACAGGACAGAAGAGGAGCCTTGTTAGTAAGGTGGTAGGTGACAAATCCCTGGTAATGGGGCAGATGGAGGACTTTTTAAAACACATGAATACTCTCTGGAGAGCTGTGACGCCACCCTTTTCGCCACCTCAGACCTTCAGCAAAGTGTGTCCACACAAGGTGAATGGAATGAAAGAATGCCATTTGGGGAACACAAAGGAAAACGATGTGTTCCATGTCTGCACCAGGACAGGCTGTAAGAACAGACTCTAAGAAGAGGTACAATTAGGAAATCTAGGACAAAGAAAATTGGACCTAGGTGGGGACCAAGTACAAAACCTCTTGGAATTGAAAAGAAAAAAAAAAAACAGGAGTTAGGGGAGGCATTAAACTTCCCATCAAGAATGGGATGAAGAGCCAGACATTTTATTTAAATCTCAAAGGGAGGGGTAATTTTCAGGAAGGTGTCACATAAATGAAAAGGGGTAACAAAAAAGGAGAGAACAAAAGGATTTTTCCAGTAAAATCATGGGCGCCAAAACAAAACAAAAAAATAGTGGAGATCTTAAGTAGCAGAATAATATGCCAAAAACCAAACCTGGCAACTGTGAAACAGATAACCAATTTAAGGAATCTCCTAAAAAACAGAGAAGTTATGAAAGAAAATTAAGAAACAGGAAGAATAATATATGATAACTTCTACATAACAGAAATTCCAGAAAACAAATGAAGGAATGATCAAGAATAAGTTAACATTTTTCTCAATAGAAGAAAATCTAGATTTCATATTTAAAGAATCTAAGGATTGTTGGGCAGGAATACTGAAAAAAGCCATATTACAGATAATCTGTTGAAATTTGTAAATGACAGAAAAGAATCCTACAAGAAATCCTACAAACTTCCAGAACACTCCCCCACCCTCCTCACACTCACTTCTCCCAACAAAAGACACTCCAACACCTTCACCAAAATCAGGTGTCTGCCAAGTGCAAAGAAACCAGTGGACATTGCTCTCTTATTTGGAAATAAAATGCCAGGAGACCCAATGGAGTGATGTTTACAGAATTCTGAGGGAGAATTCTACAGCCAAATGGTGACTCAAGTGTGGCTGTAAAAATAAAGGCCTTTTCAGACTTGTAAGGACTCTGAACACACAATTTCCAACTGTGGTCTCAGAAATCAGTTCCACAGTATACTGTTCCCCTCAGCCTCAGAGTCTTTGGTGAATCTCCAGGTGACAGAGAGTTTCATCTCCCAAAGAGGCCCTCCAGTCTTCTCTGGTAAAGGTTTTAGATACTCTCGCCTTCCCAGACATCTGAGCTTCATTTTCTCCTGTGTCTCCAGAGCTCTTTTTGCTTTTTTTTTTTTCCCTTCTATTCTGTCCGACCTTAGCTATTACTGTTTTTCAGGTGTCCTTGACTCACCATTCTCTTATTACAGAGACTACGTCTGTCTTACTCATTTGTTTCCAAAACCTCCTCGAGTAAAAAGAGGAATTTGCTGGAAGGGTCTGGGGAGATCTCGAAAAACCCAGCATAGAAACCTTAGCCCATCTGGCCTCATGCAAGGCCGGAGTCTCAGGCTCTAATGTCAGCACTAGAGAAAAACACGTATCTTCCTTCTCTTCCTGTGTCTCCATGGTGTGGGAGAGGAGGGAAGAAGAACTAACCTGAACGGCCAGCCACAGGCATTCACAGGGTCAGGTGCATGGTGGGCAGGGCCACTGAGCTGAGTAGCATCTTCTACGTCTGTGTTCCACCCAGGAGTGGGGGCAGTGAGGGGAGCAGGCCTGGAGATTTTAGGCTACTGGTGGGCCTCAGAATCTCCTCTGCAAGGACTTTAGAACTTCCAAGTCTCAAAACAGAAATCCAGAATGGGTAGTAGAAGACCCCTCTTAAGCCTCTAAGTCATGTACTCTGTCTTTTATCAAAGAAGGCTACACTGGGATTTTTAAGATATTGTGCTGATTAATAAAAATCATTCTTTCCACCCATTTGCAACTGAGTCTTTGTGTGGGTGCCTGCCTTAATTTCTAGAACCTAGAGAACTCTCTCCCTAAGTAGCCTTAGTGAAACCTGAATTCTTTCTAGGACTGTGCTAGATTTTGGAAGGCAAGCACTACACTATCTTCTTTTTGTTGCTCATATCTGGCCAAGAGCCTAGATCAGTGGTACACAGTAAATGTTTAATAAATGTTGATCAGCAAACAATATCTTAGCATATTCATTTCTTGGAAGTATTAACTAGTTTGCTTTTGTAACACCTTTTAGTCCAGCTTTCATTTTCCATTTTCCCTTCCTGAAAACACTCAAAGGCCATTTCTGTCTCATTTTATCATTCCTGGAAGAATATCACCCAAGTATATCAGGCAGTTTTAAGTCTTTTCAAAATTCATGGAAATAAGTATGGAATAATTTTTACCAGCCAATATTAATGGCAGTGCAGAAGAAAAATACAAATGCAATATAATTGTTTCACTGAATTTCTTAATTTTTATGTCTGTGTTAAATTTAACAGCAACTGAGTGGGGAAAGATTTCAGGTCATCTTTTCATTGTTCCATTCATGGCCTGTGCAGATAAGTTGCATCAGATCTGATGAGAAGTAGACTCAAATGAGTGAGCACTGTTTCTCTTCTTGTGGGGTGCTGCTGTGGGGTTCATCTTTCTTTCTAGACCAAGGAGATAGCTAAGAAGGAGAGAATTCACTGTGGTAGTTCTTGACTTGCATGTTGTAGGTTGCTCTTTATCTCCACCATGACTGATTTTAGCCTAGGGCTTTGGATCAGGCATAAACAGCCAAAGTTACTAACCTAACAGGCCAGACAGCTTTGCCATTTCATAGTTCTCATTTAAAAAATCTATCCAAGAAGCCCTACCTACCTCAAGTCAATCCCCAGCTTCCTAAGCATTCAAGGCCTTCAGTCTATATCCTTAAGGGAACACATCTGTAGAGACCTTCCTACCACAAGTGACACGTCAGCCCAGCCAAACACTCAGAGGGCACATTATCGTGCTAAGTCCTACACTAAGTGCTAGGGATATAAAATCAAATAGAATTTCAGCCTTCACCTTCAGGAGGTTACAGCCCAGTGAAGGAGACAGACATCCAGCCAGAAAATGTCAGTAAAATGTCAGCAAATGTGACAAATGACCAATTCCTCCACCTTGGTTCTAAGCATTCTCCTCTACCCCATAGTCGGGAATCTTAAGCTATTGTCTCTTTTCTCTCCTGATTCTTAAATCTTTCCTATCTGTTCCTTCCTTTAGCATCTAAATGTGTGGAAGCTTCTCCCATTTTAAAAACTGTAAAACTGGCCGGGTGCAGTGGCTCACTCCTGTAATCCCAGCACTTTGGGAGGCCAAGGTGGGCAGATCACAAGGTCAGAAGATCAAGACCATCTTGGCCAACATGGTGAAACCCTGTCTCTACTAAAAATACAAAAAAATTAGACAGGCGTGGCAGCACGTGCCCATAGTCCCAGCTACTAGGGAGGCTGAGGCAGAAGAATTGCTTGAACCCGGGAGGTAGAGGCTGCAGTGAGCCAAGATCATGCCACTGCACTCTAGCCTGGCGACAGAGTGAGACTCTGCCTCAAAAAACAAACAAACAAATAAACAAAAAAACTGTAAAACTACAATTCTTTCTTTACTTACTGTTACCATCTAGTATTAACCCTTTCTCTTTACTTTCAGAGCCAAACTTCTGGAAAGAGGTGTAGTCTCTCCACCTCTCTCTCCTCCTCTTCTTTCCATTCACTCCTTAAGCCACACACTATGGATTTCACCCTCGTCATTCCACCAAAAGCATTCTTCCTGAGGTCAAAAATATCTTTCTGGGTGGGTGCGGTGGCTCACATCTAATCCCAGCACTTTGGGAGGCCAAAGTGGGCGGATCACTTGAGTCCAGGAGTTCGAGACCAGGCTGGCCAACATGACAAAACCCCATCTCTACTAAAAATACAAGAAATTAGCCAGGCGTGGTGGTGCACACCTGTAGTCCCAGCTACTCGGGAGGCTGAGGCAGGAGAATCACTTGAACCCGGGAGGTAGAGGTTGCAGTGAGCTGAGATCACACCACTGCACTCCAGTGTGGGTGACAGAGCAAGAGTCTGCCCCCCCCCCCCAAAAAATCTTCCACATCATGATATTCAAATAATGCATTCTAGTGTAGTCAGCCCCTTCCTGGACATCTCAGCTCCATCTGGCACAGTCGATGATGTCCTCCTTTTAAAAACACTCTCCCCTTCGGCTTCATGAAACATTCCCTCATTCCCCAAATTCCACAAAACACCAAACCCTTTCCCCTTGAAGCAGACACACTGCCCTAGTCCAAGCCCACATAGCTCTCGTCTGAACCACAGCAGGAATGTCCCAACTGAGCTTCCTGTGTCTCCTCTCACCACCCTGCCCTCCAGCCCACTTGCCACATCACAGCCAAATGAGCTTTATTTAAAATATCAGATTTGATCATATCTCTCTTTAAACTCTTAATGATTTCCAACTTCCATAAGGATAAAGTCCAAAATCCTTAGCGTGGCCTGCCATAAGCATCCTGGTCTGATCTGTGCCTGCCTCTCTAGACTCAGGTCAAATCACCCTCCCCAGCCCTCTCTCCATTCTGGCCGGTGTGATCTTCTTATGGTAAAAAAAAAAAAAAAAAAAAAAAATATTGCATGGACTTTCTCATTTCAGCTGTTCTCTCAGCTTGGAGTGGTCCCCCTCCTCATCTTTGCCTGGCTAACTCCTACTCACTACTCAGATTTCAACTTAAATGCCACTTCATCTAGAAATCTGATTCCCAAGGAATTGGTTAAAGCCCAATATGATCATACAGCTTGTATAGCACTGTAGTTCTTCTTAACAGTCAGCACACCAATTATTACTTATCCAAGGTTTACCTTTACCCCTAGACATGACTGAATGAGAGCAGGGGCCATGCCTGTCTTGTTCATTGCAATGTCCCCAACACCTGGCATGGTGCATATTTTTAATGAATTAAGAAATGAATGAATATACTGAATGCATTAAGAACAATTAAGAGGGACACCTAAACCAGTCTGTAACAGGAAAATGAAGGCCAAGCATTTTCCAAATCTATAATACTATGATTTCTGGAGGAAGAATGCATAGAAAGAGCCAGATGCTTGTAAAGGACAGGTGTATTTACAGAAACAGCAAAGGTGTGTAGAAGGGTTTTAAAAGAATGATTGTTATTCTGAAGTGCTGTAAAATACAGCAGGATCTATGGTGTGAACAAAATCTAATAACTCTGGCCAGTAGCATGTTCTGAGAGAACATATGTTATAGTAGATGAATTTATGTTGCATATGTTTAGCTAAGTAAAGGATACTTACACAATCACTTCTAGAATGAGTCATCTGGAATTAGCTCATGCCCATAAATCAACACAACCCAGGCCTGAAAGAATCAAGGCCTTATACATGCAAGAATTTGACATTTAAAACAAAAAAAAAAGCAGCATTAGCAATCCATAAAAAATGTTAAATCATAAATGTCTAGAGCTGTAAGGAACCTTATATTATCCAGCTCAACCCCGCTACACCTCCTATCATTCTCATCCCAGGGGTGTGTAATATGGGAAGCTGAGGCCCTAGGAGGTTAAGTCACTTTCCTCTGGTTACATGTCTACTTTGTGGCTAAACTGGTCGTAGAAACTGGGTCAGCTGGGCACAGTGGCTCATGCCTGTAATCCTAGTACTTGGGAGTCCAAGGCGGGCAGATCACGAGGTCAGGAGTTTGAGACCAGCCTGGCCAATGTGTGGAAACCCATCTCTACTGAAAATACAAAAATTAGGCAGGTGTGGTGGGGTGCGCCTGTAGTCCCAGCTACTTGGGAGGCTGAGGCAGAAGAATCACTTGAACCCAGGAGGCAGAGGTTGCAGTGAGCCGAGATCTCACCACTGCACTCCAGCTTGGGTAACAGAGTGAGACTCCGTCTCAAAAAAAAAAAAAAAAAAGAAAGAAAGAAAAAAGAAAACAGGTCTGTATTTCAATGCCTCCTAATTATCTGTAACTTTTGATTCTGTAAACTTCAATAAGACTACTCCAAACCATGGCCTGAAGGTGGTTTTCTGGAAACCCTTACCTTCCTCCAGTCTTGATACCGATTCACTATATAGCATATCCTGCGTGAAGAGAAGCCTGTGGGTGCTGCTAACCTCAACACCTACCCCGTACCACCCACACTGCCGAGGGGCTTAGGAGTTCCTAATGGCAGTAACTGAAACACTTTGAGTAACTCCTTTAAATGATGTCCTGTTCTGTGGCATTAAGTAACATCGCTCTCATCTGTCCTTTGTGATTTCTCAGTCTCCCTGCTGTCGTATTTGGGAAATATAAATATTTGGGAATAAACAAACAATGTAAATAAATGTTTGGGAAACTTCTTGTGTTATAGAACATTATAGAAAATATACATATTTGTTTTCATCTATCTATATAGATATATAGATATATATATCTTCTGCATCATGATATTCA
This sequence comes from Homo sapiens, assembly GCF_000001405.40. Classification (NCBI taxonomy): domain Eukaryota; kingdom Metazoa; phylum Chordata; class Mammalia; order Primates; family Hominidae; genus Homo; species Homo sapiens. Next base: position 25,175,196 of record NC_000006.12, read on the forward strand.
AATAATGCATTTTAGTCAGCCCCTTCCTGGACATCTGAGCTCGTTTGGCACAGTCGATGATGTTCTCCTTCACAGTTAGTTCCTGGTTCATAACTCCCACATCCCTTGTTACAGTCTTTCGTTATAATGCTGGGTGTGTTAGGTCTCAGGGGCAGGCCTCAGGAAATAATCTCTTTCCTGCATTCCTTTTACCTGACCCAAGGCAGGATTCTAATGTTCCCTGTCTTTCTGATTGTGGGTCTTAAGAGTCTCCCCGATGAGGGCCTCGCCTCATACCCTGGGGGAAGGAATGCTGATGTCACGAAGTTTCCATAAAAATCCAAGAGGACTGGGTTCAGGGAGCTTCTAGATAGCTGAACACATGGAGGCTCCTGGAGGGTGGAGCCCAGGGAGGGCATGGAACTCTGCATCCCTTCCCCTATGTCTCTCCCTATGTGTTTCTTCATCTGTATTCTTAGTAATATTCCTTATAATAAACAAGTAAATTTAAGTGTTTCCCTGAATTCTGTGAGCTGCTCCAGAAAATTAATCAAACCCAAAGAGGGGATTCCTGGGAATCTCAACTTCAAGCTAGTTGGTCAGAAGTTTCAGAGGCCCAGACTTGCAACTGGTGTAGAGGAGACAGTCTTGGGGACTGAGACCCAACCCATGGGATCTGACGCCATCTCTAGGTAGATAGTGTAAGAATCGAATTGGAGGACATTTGGCTGGTGTCCACTGCTTGAAGTGTGGCAACCAACCCCCTAACCCCCAACATATTTGGTCATAGAAGCCTTCTGTGTTGATTGTTGTAGTGTGAGAGTAAAGACACAGTTTGAGAGAGTTTCTCCCTGCACAGCCACTGATTGCACACTTTAGAATGGCTAAGGTGATAAAGTTTGTGTTATGTACATTTTATGACAATAAAAAATAATTACTCAACAACTTCCAGCTCCAGCCATGATGGTAAGCCCCACTCCTCCTAGATCCTCCCTCTTACAACTTAAAAACATAAAATAAATAAATTAAGATTGAATCCTGAAACATGTTCAATCAACCCATAGGAAGGTACAAAAAAGAGAGACAGAGGGACAGGAAATAGAGGAAACAAAAAGAAAACAAAGTAGTGGGGCAGATATAAGCCCTAACATATCAACAATTCCCTTAAATGTAAGTGGTCTAAATACACGAATTAAAAGACAGAAATTTGCAGAGGGGATAAAAATAAAAACATGTTCCAACAATAGGCTATCTATAAGAAATTCACTTCAACTTCAATTACACAGGTGGATTGAAAGTAAAAGAAAGGGGAAAAGATATACCCTGAATTCATTAATCAAAAAAGAGCAAGTCTTGGCTATATTAATATCAATGCAATTAGTAATCCTTGTTTTTAAACCACAATTTTAAAATTTCACTAGGAACAGCCTTGAAGAGCCTCTGTGTTTCAAGAATGCTGACATCTGCCAAAGGCTTTGCAGCCCTGTCTCAGACTGGCTCAGTCCACTTTAGCCCAGGTCATGCAGATTTGTCTCCCATTAGATGTGAAGAAACAAAGTGAAAGTCTCTCTTAACCTGCTCTTCTGCCCTCCTCACAAACCAATTAAAATAACTTGAGTCATTTTTCTAGCTTTGTATTGACAGAATTTTAAAGATGAATAATATTGTGTGAGAATTTTGAAAAAAGTGTATGCTGATAATACTGACAGGAACATAAATTGATAGAGTGTTTTTAGCAATTTGACAGTATCTATATACAGATGCTCCTTGACTTACAATAGGTTGTGTTCTGATAAAACTATTATAAGTTGAAAATAATCTTAAGTCAAAAATGCATTTAATACACCTAACCTGCTGAACATCATAGCTTAACCTAGCTTAAACTTGCTCAGAACAATTACACTAGCCTACAGTTGGGCAAAATTATCTAATTTAAAATCTATTTTATAATAAATGTTGAATGTGTGAGGTAAGAGTATCATACTACTTATCACTAGCTCTGGAAAAAGACCAAAATTCAAATTCAAAGCAGTTTCTATTAAATGTGCATCACTTTCACATCATTGTATAAAGTTGAAAAACCATAAGTTGAACCATTGTAAGTCAGGACCATCTGTAATCTATATAATAACTTTTAAATGTGAATATCCTTTGATTCACCAATTCTACTTCTATTCTAGTATAATTTTTCTAATGAAGTACTTTGGCATTTATACAAAAAGTTGTCCATTGCAACAAAATATTGGTAACATCAACAGAGGAATGAGCAAATACATTATGGTACATTCTTCTGTGGAATACTATGCAGCAGTTAAAGAAGTAAATTTATAGGTACTAAAATGTTAAAGAAAACAAAATGAAAACCAGGCCTGAAGAATTCTTGAGCAGACAAAATTGGTTATGCCTCATCATAACCTTGCTTGATTTACAAGCGTAAGTGAAACTTGAGCTATATTTTATAAATGCCTATATTAAAAACAGAACTTAAGCTCAACCAATCAGAAGTAGCCAATAAACTTATGTAACTAGGGACTTTCCAAAGGGATAGACCAAACAAGGCAACTGTATAATTGTAACCCATCAAATATTTTCTTTGCTTTACTTCTATGTTCATCCTATAAAAGCTGCCCTCTTGTGTTCCCTCCATGGAGCTCCTAAGCCACTTCTGGTTTGGAGCTGTCCCATTCATGAATCATTGTTTCCTCAAAGAGACTCTGAAATTTTGTTGTGCCTTAGTTTACTTTATAACAAACATAAATAGGGCTTTAGAACACATTTTTATTGATGTATACTGTTTCACTTGGGGTGTATAAAAAATTCCTACTTATAATAATGGTTTAAAATTTCAAATTTATTAGTGCTATGAAATTGCTACACTATTGCTAGTAGTGATATATTATTTTGCTCATCAGCACATGAAGCCTGGAATAGAGTGGTTATATTTGAATCCCCAGAGCATCTTAGAGTCTAGCACATTATATTTACTTAAAAATTGTTTAATTAACCAATTGATGAAAAAGGCCAGCAATTCCAAACTTCCTTCCAGCTCCAGTTCTTTGATTCTAACTGGAGAAAAACTGCCCTTACATATAAAATGTTCATGACAATACCTATCTCAGACAGCTGCTATAATGATAAAGTATCCAAAATTGCTGAGGTGAGGGGTGTTATAATTTGGTAGACAAATTCCAGGGGCTATTTGTTGTTACTCTTCATTGGACAAAACTACTTCTCTACAAAATTCAGACTCGCTCTGAGAAGTTTCAGAGAGCTAATTTCAGTGTGTATGAAGGAGGAGGGGCAGGGAGTGAAGGAAAGACAGGTGGAAATGTCAAACACTAAAACCACTGCTGTAGTTGAGAACAAAGCGGGAGCTGACGGTCAGCACTGATCATGAGTGCTAGACTTCTTAAAAAAGCAATGGTCATGTTACGGAAAGTCTCACATTTGTTAAATGCTTTAAGCACACAGTGTATTTGATTCTCACAACCAGGAAACTCTTGAAATCCAACCTCCAGAGACGTTCTAATCCAGTTCTCTCATCTACCTGTCATTCTTTGGTCATGCTTGATGGAAAACTAGATTGCAAACTTTTAAAAATTCCTGGGGCAAAGAAAATTTATAAATTTGTAGATTCATTTCCTGAAGCTGCCATAGCAGATGACCGCAAATGGAGTGCCTTTAGAAAACGACAGAAATTTATTCTCTCACAGTTCAAGAGGCCTGAATATGAAATCAAGGTGGCAGTAGGGTTGGCTCCTTCCAGAGGCTCTGGGAGAGAACCTGGTTTGGCTTTTCTCCTGGCTTCTGGTGGGTGCTGGAAACTCTCGGCATTCTTTTGCTTATAGATTCATTGCTTCATTCACCTCCAACTTCACATCATCTTTTCTGTTTTTGTTTTTTTTTCTTTCCCGTCTGTCTCTTCTCCTCTTATATAAGGATGCACACTTGTCATTGGATTTAGGGCCCACCCAGATACTCCAGGGTGATTTCATCCTGAGATTCCTAGCCTAATTATATCTGCAAAGTCCCTTTTCCCAAATAAGGTCACATTCAGAGGTTCCGGGTGAACATATCTTTGGGGGCAGGGGCACTCAACCCCCTACAGCTTGTTTGTATGATTTTGATTTTGGAAGAAAGCTACTAAAGCAGAAATATAAACAACAGAAGTAAATGCAAAAGATAAACTGAATGGAAATAAAAGCTAAAAATAGAAAACCGGCAGTTTCATGGGCAGTTTCAAGCTGACAGATTTAAGGAGTTTGTGGTATCTGTTCCAAAATTCTGCAATATCCTTTTAAAGAGGCTGACTCAAGCTTGGAACTAAAATGTTTACCACTTACCAACCAGAGCACACCACCCTCCCAGTGTCCTTTCCTGGAATTCAGGAATTTATAAAAAACAAATTCATATCCTGGAATTTCTAAAAAACAAATATTCATGACTGTAATATACTAAGATATAATTACTTGAGAGGAAAAAGCACACAGAAGCAATTAAACAGAGTTTGAAGTGTCATCTACTAAATTTAGATTGTTTCCAGTAAGGTGGTAAGCTAAATACGTCAACAGATTCTCTTGTTTAAAACAACTAAAAAAGGGGCCAGGCGTGGTGGCTCACGCCTGTAATCCCAGCACTTTGGGAGGCCGAGGTGGGCAGATCACAAGGTCAGGAGATAGAGACCATCCTGGCTAACACAGTGAAACTCCGTCTCTACTAAAAATACAAAAAAATTAGCCGGGCGTGGTGGCGGGCACCTGTAATCCCAGCCACTTGGGAGGCTGAGGCGGGAGAATGGCGTGAACCCGGGAGGCAGAGCCTGCAGTGAGCCGAGATTGCGCCACCGCACTCCAGCCTGGGCGACAGAGCGAGACTCCGTCTCAAAAAAAAAAAAAAAAAAAAAAAACAAAAAAAAACAAAACTGAAAAGAGCCCATGAAAGTAAGAAAGTAAGGAATTCTCAAATCGGGCTAAGTGAAGACGAGCCACTGTAGAGAAGTTGTGAGAGGCCTGGAGCCGGCCATTTGTCAAATGAAAGAAGCGAGGAAGAGGAGATTGAGCTTTGTATTTTATGACCTCAAAGGCACCAGAGACACAGCCCGGGGTCTGCCCACGTTGTGGAGTATGTTAAAAGAGAGCGAGATTCCCATCACTGAATCATTACTGGTCAGCAAAATTAAACTGTGTCTAACAGGAGATCTGCCACAAAAAAGGTTGGGATCATAATGAGTTAAACCATCTATTTTAGAAAGAACTAGAAATAAACCCATATTAGTCTCCAACCCCTCACCTCTCCCTTCTCACCTCCAGCTCTAGAGGAAAGAAAATCTACGAGCTCAAATTTTAGTGCTAAGCAGAAGGGAGATTAAAACAGCCTTCTAAATACTAAAAACCAGAGAAATCTAGCCTTTATGCATGTTTGTAGCTTGAATTTACACTACCTGAGAGAATTGGAGAAAAGTCTTGCTGAACATTTAATTTAGAGTGCCCCTGGACTAACAGTTCTCATAAACCTAGAAGAAGGGGAAAATTCTCTTTGAAGGACCCCATCTTTAAGCTAGCTAAAGAGAATTTCTGCAAGTAGAATTACAAACCATGAAGCAGCTCATGGTACAAAATTACTAAACAGCCAAGGCACAATGAGTAAGAGCTAGCAAAAACAACAGATTACATACACATAAAACAGACCCACAATAGTATGGTTAATATTATGATCAATTCTATATGCCTGAGCCTGAAATATGCCTGTTTACATACTTATATCTACAATATGAGAAAGATATAGAAAGATTCTAACCAAGAGAAAGCTGATATAGCCATATTAACTATTAACATATTAATTAAGAGAAAGATGATAAAGCCATCCTCTTTTAAGCAACAAATATTACCAGAGAAAAGGGAGTTAGTTAAGCTGCTGCAGTGCATAAAGGGACCATCCAGAGTGACACGGCGGCCACTCAGCAGGCAGCCCCAGCGCTCATCCTGTCTCCCCAGACCCGCTCACCCCAACGCCGCATTTTCTCCCGCTGGTGGGTGATCATGAGGCGGCCTCAGGCTCCCTCGCCCACCCCTTCCCTGTCCTCGTCCTGGCCCCAGGGGTTGGAGGGAGCACCACTTGCCTCCCACCAAAGCTCCAAAGAGAACTCACAAGGAATTGAATGACCTGGCACGGGACCCACCCCCGCCCAGCACAGTGTACAGCCGGTCCTGTTGGAGATGGCATGTCGACTGGCAAGCTGCAATAAGAGGCAAAATGACAGTCCCAATCAGGGTGTAATATTTTTCTTGCAATTCATTTCCCAACAGACTTCCCCCTCAAACCCCCTAAGGTTGCATTTACAAGAATGTATTTTCCAAATAGTAACAGTAATGGCAGCACGTGTCTTGACATTCTGTGGTCACAGTGGTCTCCAGCACTATTTCAAAAGTACTCTTTTCCATTTGTTCCCCATTGTATGATTCCAATCCACATGATCTTCTAGTGAATGAGGTTGCTGAGATCTACAGAAAGGATAGAGAAAAGTATAGCAGAATAGCTCAGGGATGGACTCAAAGTATGCCAGGTAATTAAAGAAACTGAATAACCTCTACAAATAAAGACAGGGGCACTCTGAAAGAGAAAGTCCTTTTAGGCTGGGCATAATGGCTGACACCTGTAATCCTAACACTTTGGGAGGCTGAAGCAGGAGGATTGCTTGAGCCCAGGAGTTCAAAACTGGCCTGGACAACATAGTGAGACGCTGTCTCTACAAAAAAATTAACAAATTAGCCAGGCATAATGGCATGTGCCTTTGGTCTCAGCTACTCAGGATGCTGAAGTGGGAGGTACCTTGAGCCCAGGAATTCAAGGCTGCAGTGAGTCATGATAGTACCACTGCACTCTGGCCTGGGTGACAGAGCAAGGCCCAGTCTCAAAAAAAAAAAAGGAGCAAGTTCTTTTGATTTCCATTTTAGTGCCTTCTATGAGTATACACCTCACCCTGCCCTGTACATACAACCTGATACAGCAATGCTGCATGTTGTACATACTTGGAACAACAGACTAGAAATACTGTACTTCTGTACCAACATTGCCTCCTAGCAGAGAAGTGTGTGTGTGACAAGCCAGTTCTACACGCATAGCCTAGGTGTGAGACTAAAAGCTTTCCTCATTGACTTAAATTTGGATAACAGTGAGGTGTGGTGGGTATGATGTGTGCTTAGATGTGAGAGAAAAGCTCTACTCACCTGTAGGAGATTGTTTTTCAGTAGACTCCATCTCTAATCAAGACAGTTATGAAAAGCAAAGTGAACTGAAGTTGTTTCTGTATTCATTTTATTGCAAAGGAGCTACATCTTAGGTAAAAATTATGACCAACCAGATTAAACTCTACCCACATCCTGTATTTTAAGGTCTAAGTTTAACTGGACAACATTTATATGGATTGGAGCTATTAGTACATCAAATGTGATGGGTTTTTCTGTTGTTTGGAATAGTTTCAGAAGGAATGGTACCTGCTCCTCTTTGTACCTCTGGTAGAATTCGGCTGTGAATCCATCTGGTCATGAGCTTTTATGGTTGATAGGCTATTAATTACTGCCTCAATTTCAGAACTTGTTACTGGTCTATTCAGGGATTTGGCTTCTTCCTGGTTTAGTCTTGGGAGGGTGTATGTGTAGAGGAATTTATCCATTTCTTCTAGATGTCTAGTTTATTTGCGTAGAGGTGTTTATAGTACTCTGACAGTAGTTTGTATTTCTGTGGGATCAGTGGTGATATCCTCTTTATCATTTCTTATTGTGTCTATTTGACTCTTCTCTCTTTTCTCCTTTATTAATCTAGCTATTGGTCTAACTATTTTGTTAATCTTTTCAAAAAACCAGCTCCTGGATTCATTGATTTTTTTCAAGGGTTTTTTGTGTCTCTATCTCCCTCAGTTCTGTTCTGATCTTAGTTATTTCTTGTCTCCTGCTAGCTTTTGAATTTGTTTGCTCTTGCTTCTCTAGTTCTTTTGTGATGTTAGGGTGTTGATTTTAGATCTTTCCTCCTTTCTCTTTTGGGCATTTAGTGCTATAAATTTCCTTAACACTGCTTTAGCTATGTCCCAGAGATTCTGGTATGTTGTGTCTTTGTTCTCATTGGTTTCATTTATTTCTGCCTACATTTCGTTATGTACCCAGTAGTCATTCAACAGCAAGTTGTTCAGTTTCCATGTAGTTGTGCGGTTTTCAGTGAGTTTCTCAATCTTATGTTCTAATTTGAGTCTGAGAGACTTACGATTTCCATTCTTTTGCATTTGCTGAGGAGTGTTTTACTTCCAATTATGTGGTTGATTTTAGAATCAGTGCAATGTGGTGCTGAGAAGAATGAATATTCTGTTGATTTGGGGTACAGAGTTCTGTAGATGTCTATTAGGTCCACTTGGTCCAGAACTGAGTTCAAGTCCTGAATATCCTTGTTAATTTTCTGTCTCGTTGATGTAATGTTGACAGTGGGGTGTTAAAGTCTCCTACTCTTATTGTGTGGGAGTCTACATCTCTTTGTAGGTCTCTAAGAACTTGTTTTATAAATCTAGGTGCTCCTGTATTGAGTGCATATATATTTAGGATAGTTAGCTCTTCTTGTTGCATTGATCCCTTTACCATTATGTAATGCCCTTTGTTGTCCTTTTTGATCTTTGTTGGTTTAAAGTCTGTTTTATCAGAGACTAGAATTGCAACCCCTGCTTTTTTTTGCTTTCCATTTGCTTAGTAAATATTCCTCCATCCCTTTATTTTGAGCCTATGTGTGTCTTTGCATGTGAGATGGGTCTCCTGAATACAGCACACCAATAGGTCTTAACTGCTTATCCAATTGCCAGTCTGTGTCTTTTAATTAGGGCATTTAGCCCATTTACATTTAAGGTTAATATTGTTATGGGTAAATCTGATCCTGTCATCATGATGCTAGCTGGTTATTTTGCACATTAGTTGATGCAATTTCTTCATAGTGTCATTGGTCTTTACATTTTGGTGTGTTTTTGCAGTGGCTGGTACTGGTTTTTCCTTTCCATATTTAGTGCTTCCTTCAGGAGCTCTTCTGGTGGTGACAAAATACCTCAGCATTTGCTTGTCTGGAAAGGATTTTATTTCTCCTTCACTTATGAAGCTTAATTTGACTGGATATGAAATTCTGGATTGAAAATTCTTTCAGAATGTTGAATATTGGCCCCTACCCTCTTCTGGTTTGTAGGGTTTCTGCAGAGAGATTTGCTGTTAGTCTGATGGGCTTCCCTTTGTAGGTTACTTGACCTTTCTCTCTGGCTACCCTTAACATTTTTTCCTTCGTTTCAACCTTGGAGAATCTGCAATTGTGTGTCTTGAGGTTGCTTTTCTCAAGTAGTATCTTAGTGGTGTTCTCCGTATTTCCTGAATTTGATTGTTGGCCTGTCTTGCTAGGTTGGGGAAGTTCTCCTGGATAATATACTGAAGAGTGTTTTCCAACTTGGTTCCATTCTCCCCATCACTTTCAGGGACTCCAAATAATCATAGGTTTGGTCTTTTCACATAGTCCCTTATTTTTTGGAGGCTTTGTTTGTTCCTTTTTGTTTTTTCTCTAATCTTGTCTTCATGCCTTATTTCACTAACTTGATCTTCAATCTCTGATATCCTTTCTCCCCCTTGATGAATTCAGCTATTGATACTTGTGTATGGTTCATGAAGTTCTCATGCTGTGCTTTTCAGCTCCATCAGGTCATTTATGTTCCTCTCTAAACTGATTATTCTAGTTAGCAGTTCCTGTAACCTTTTGTCAAGGTTCTTAGCTTCCTTGCATTGGATTAGAACACGCTTCTTTAGCTCAGAGGCATTTGTTATTACCCACCTTCTGAAGCCTACTTCTGTCAGTTCATCAAACTCATTCTCTATCCAGCTTTGTGCCCTTTCTGGAGGAGTTGCGATCATTTGGAGGAGACGAGGCATTCTGGTTTTGGGAATTTTCATTGTTTTTGTGCTGGTTTTTCCTCATCTTCGTGGATTTATCTACCTTTGATCTTTGAGGCTGATGACCTTTGGATTGGGTTTCTGTGTGGGGGTCCTTTTTGTTGATCTTGATGTTGTTGCTTTCTGTTTGTTAGTTTTCCTTCTAACAGTCAGTCCCCTCTGCTGCAGATCTGCTGCCATTTGCTGGAGGTCCACTCCAGACCCTATATTTGCCTGGGTATCACTAGTGGAGGCCGCAGAACAGCAAAGGTTGCTGCCTGCTCCTTCCTCTGGAAGCTTCGTCCCAGAGGTGCCCCATCCTGATGCCAGCCAGAGCTCTCCTGCAATAGGCAGAGATGCCTGTTGACCCCTGTTGGGAGGTCTCTCCCAGTCAGGAGGCATGGGGGTCAGGACCCACTTGAGGAGGCAGTCTGTCTCTTAGCAGAGCTCAAGAGCTGTGCTGGGAGATTCGCTGCTCTGTTCAGAGCCGGCAGGTAGGAATTAAGTCTGCTGAAGCTGTGCCCACAGCCACCCCTTCTCCCAGGTGCTCTGTCGCAGGGAAGATGGGAGCTTTATCTATAAGTCCCTGACTGGGGCTTCTGCCTTTTAGAGATGCCCTGCCCAGTGAAGAGGAATCTAGAGAAGCAGTGTGGCCACAGCCGCTTTGCTGTGCTGTGTTGATTTCTGTGCAGTCCGAACTTCCAGGTCTCCTTAGCACTGTCAGGGGAAAACTGCCTACTTAAGCCTCAGTAATGGCTGATGCCCCTCCTCCCAACAAGCTCGATCTTCCCAGGTCAACTTCAGACTGCTGTGCTGGCAGTGAGAATTTCAAGCCAATGGTTCTTAGCTTGCTGGGCTCCATGGGAATGGGACCCACTGAGTGAGACCACTTGGCTCCCTGGCTTCAGCCCCCTTTCCAGGGGAGTAAACAGTTCTGTCTTGCTGTGGTTCCAGTGCCACTGGGGTATGAAAAAAACATTCTTGCAGCTAGCTCCGTGTCTGCCCAAACTAGCTCTTATTTTTCTTATGCTCTTAATCGCTTAGGTCTAAGTGTACATAAGGGTGAAAATCCATTTAAAGAAATACTTGTATAGATTTAAAAATCTAATTGCTCCCTGGAGCTAATCTGTATAATAAATTGATTACTAAACTGATTACATATTTTAAAAGGCGGGAGATATACAAAGAATTCCTACAACTCAAGAATAAAAATATAAGCAACACAAGTTTTTAAAAAACAGGCCAAAGATTTGAATAGACATTTCATCATAAAAGATATACATATGGCCAGTGGGCACATATAAAAAAGTATCCAACATCATTAGTCATTGGAGAAATGTAAATTAAAACCAAAAGTGAGTAGGAAACAAAAGCATTAAGAATAACTCATGTATTTCCATTTCTGGCCAAAATGCAGTAAGAAAGACCAGATTTATCCTCCTCTCTGAAACAACAACAAAAAGACAAATACGTGAAACAGCGAGTCTTAGAACAAATTAGACAATGAAGAATGGTGATCTCCAAGAAACAGGAAATAAATGATGTGAGCCAATGATTGCCCCAGTATACTATTTGGAGGAAGTTTTTTCAGGTCACAGGGCAGGGAAGAGGCACCTTTGTGGAGGTATCCTGGAACTGAGGAGACAGCTGAGAGTCTGGAGAGTAAGGTGGCTAGAGTGCCTAGGGCAGAGCACCAAAGACATGAGAGCTGCCCTGGGAAAACTTGAAGACCTACAGAAGGTCCCCCTCAAACATTCAGCTAAGTGCTGATCAGTGCATGTGTGTGGGAGAATGCCCAAGGTCAGGGGAAGAACCACTAAATTAACGTGAGGAAACAATCATCAGAGCTCACATAGTGCTAGAAAGGGTGAAAACTTGTGAATCTGTCTTCTGGGAATGTCAGGCTCTGTGACAGTCACACAGAGGTCAGTCTCTGCATACCCAAGACTTAAAAACATCTGTGAAATTGAACCGCTAACTCAGCAAGTGTTTCAGCAGGTGAGTCAACTATGTACCAAGCACTTGGAGCCATTAATAACACCCTACCAACCTGACTCAAAGTGTTGCTCAGGAAAAGTCTCTCTTAAGTGGGAACACCTCCCATGCTCATCAAATGCCACCATCCCCCAAAAGCTTCCTCCACACCAGCCATCTTTCTGGGTACTCCTCCTAGCTTGCCACCCCTAAGCCCTGGGACTTTTCCTTCCTGCTCTTTCCCATCAATACTGCCCTGTCTCATTCCTTCAGGACCTGGCCCCTCTGCTACTCAAAGTGGCAGCAAGCCTTCTCATAGCCTAACCAGCGCAAATGAGTGAGAAGCTGAGAGTTAAAGTGATTTCACCCAGTCACTCTCCTTCTCAGTGCAATGCGTTATGTAGTAGCAGTAGGGGTTTTCAGGAAATGCATGATCTCAACACGGAATAGCTGCCGTGTGGACATTGCTGGTATGCTAGCAAACAGAGTGAGGAAGAGTTTGGAGCAAGCAGGCATGACCATGCCCCCTTAAATCCCATCAAAGACAAAGTGACATTTTTCTCCACACATAATCCACCCCTGGGAAGATGCAGGACAGAGTCACAGAGCATTTCACATGTGTTAGGGGAATGTCCTATGTGTTTGGGGAAAACAAAAGGAAGATAGGAAGGAGGAAAAAATAAAGGAGATTCAGTCAACAAGCACTAGTTGAATATCCTACACATGCCAGGTACTGCTCTAGGTTTTGGGGTTATAGCAGTGAACAAATGGTTTTGTTCCTTTTATACTACCATGGAAATTTCCACCTTGGAGGACACAGAACTTTGAATGTGTCTTTGTAAGAAGTTTCCCAGATAAGTTTGATTGTCAGGCAATTTGAGGAACCACTATTGAAGCAACAGTTGAGATTCTTCTCATTGATCCAAAAAGCAACCTACAATACTCATGGCTGTTGACTTTGGAAAACAGTTTTATTGAATATCAAGGTGCTATCTTTCTTCACACAGTCTACCAAAGGTTTGCTTTGATGTCCTCCTAATCCTTCTCCAAACACTGAGGCCCCTCCCAATCTACTCCATATACTTATGCTTTGTGTATCAGGTCCCACCTGCACCTCTTAGAAAGTACCCCAACTCCCAATTATTTATCAGTCTCTTCACCACATGCCCATCAATTATATTTAGCAATATAATACGTACTGAGGACTTTTGATAAGAGGTATGTTCCTTCTGATTTATACATATTTTCTCATGTCATCCTAAAACTTTATGTAGTGGGTATTATCCTGCAGAAGAGGAAAGTGAGACAGACAGATTATATAACAAGACCATTGTTACTGAGAATGAGGTCATTCTTTATGTATTAACATGACCTTCCATCTTTCTACTGTGCCTCCATCATACTGAATAATACCTTAAGTTTTGAAATTGAGAGGGAGAAGAGGGAGAGAGAGAGAAAAGGAGAGAGACCTAGAGGGAATTGGGGGAAGAGAGGGGGAGAGGCTCTTAAATACAACACCTCTTCCATTTACTTGATATATGAACTTCACCTCTTAAAGCCTCTTTTCCACATCTGCAACAGAGAAATAATGACTCCTACTCTATGTAGGTTGTGGGGTTTAAATGAGGTTATGGATATAAAGCTTCTAAGTACTGCACTTGCTACATGATAAGCTTAAGTATGTGATAATAACAGCCCTATATCCATATACTCTGTTTTTTCTTCAGTTTTTTTTTTTTAAACCAGTATCTGACATTATATTGTGTGCGTGGTAGGTGGGTGTATTATCTCTCTGTCCCACTGTATTTTTTTTTTTTTTGAGACAAAGTCTCACTCTTGTTGCCCAGGCTGGAGTGCAATGGCATGACTTCGACTCAACGCAGCCTCTGCCTCCCAGGTTCAAGTGATTCTCTTGCCTCAGTCTCCCAAGTAACCAGGATTACAGACGTACGCCAACACACCCAGCTAATTTTTGCATTTTTAATAGAGACGGGGTTTCACTATGTTGGCCCAGGCTGATCTTGAACTCCCAACCTCAGGTGATCCACCCGCCTCAGCCTCCCAAAGTACTGGGATTACAGGCATGAGCCACTGCACCGTGCTGTCCCATTGTATATCATAAGCTCCACATGAGAAGGAATTTTGCCACATTTACCTCTGTATCCACAGTGCTTACAATGATGGCTGGCTTCTAGTAGGCACACTTTAAGTATTTGTTGAAGGAATGGTTGTTATGACCATAATCTTCCCTACAGCACCTTACTACAAACATAGTAGTTGCCCTACGAATGCTTTCTATGTGGTTTGCAGTAAATAGAATGCAAAACCCTTATTATCATACTATATTGCCACCCATCTCAGCTAAACTGAATGAATAAATAACCTTCTGGCTGGGGTAACCTATTTGAAGATAGAGGTCACAAAAACAAAGAGGGCATTTAATAAATATTGATTATTCATTACATTGCCTGCTTTCTACCCTGGCCTCTAGGAAAAAAAAAGTTCAGTGAATGTCATTCCTTCTAAGATGTATATTTAAACCTTTAAGATCTCCCGTATTTTTATAAATTTCCTAAAATATTGTATTATTTTTACAAATGGAAACAAAATTTTAATTGAGAAAAAATAATACAATAACTTAGCATGGAAAAAAGCACTGCACTCTAACCTGGGCGATAGCTCAAGACCCTGTCTCAAAAAAAAAAAAGAGAGGGTATTTAAGGTAAAGTCAAATCTTTCTTGCTCCATCTCTAACATCTGTCCCTAGAGGCAGCCAAATGGTAGTTTGGCATTTATCAGGATGACCAGGATGTCAGATTCTGTCTTTTTGTGTTTGATGTTACCAACCATTAATGTTCAATTCTATGATTTATCATTTCATCAGGGGCTTGCAAAAGGGCAAAACTCCATCACTTCTTTTTCATACATTAACTATAATCCTTTGGTAAGATAAATTTCCCTTTACCTACAACTTGCTTACCCAGTTGTACAGTTTGCAAAGAAAAGAATACATAATATTTTTCTTTAATTATTTTTCAAAATAAGGAGTTGGTTTCCTAGGACCCTCTAATTTTAGTTACATTATGAACACATTGCGTTAAACATATTTGATGAGTTTGAATCCACTCATTACTTGTATTAGTGCTCATATCATCCCATTTTGGTCAGTGAGAAGCCTATTTTTTAACTGGCAAATAAAGTGTGTATATTTAGAGTATACATGATGTTATGATATATGCATACATTGTGGAATGGCTGAATAGAGCTAATTAACATATATGTTACCTCACATACTTTTTTTGTGGTGAGAACACTTAAAATTTGATCTCAGCAATTTTCAAGTATACAATATGTTAACTATAGTGAACACAATGGACAATAGATTTCTTGAATTTATTCCTCCTGTCCAACTGAAATTTTGTATCCTTTGACTAACATCTTCCCAATTCGCCCATCTCCCAGCCTTTGGTAACCATCACTCTACTTTCTGCCTTGATGAATTTGACTTTTTTAAATCTTACAATTGCTATGTTGAAAGATGGTATTCCCTCCAAAACTCATGTTGAAACTTAATCCCCATGCAAAAGTATTAAGAGCTGTGGCCTTTGGAAGGTGATTCAGTCATGAGGGCTCTACCCTCATGAATGGAATTCGCACACTTAAAAGGGCTCAAGGTTGAAGGGAGAGTCCTCTTGCTCCTATGCTCTTCTGCCATGTGAGGACAGTGTTCTTCCCCTCCAAAGGATGCAGCAACTAGTTGCCAATTTGGAAGCAGAGATTGGGTCCTCACCATGTATCAAACCTGCCAGTGTCTTTTTCTTGAACTTCCCAGCCTCCAGAACTATGAGAAATACATTCCTGTTGAAAAATTACCAGTCTGTGATATTTTATTATACCAATATCAAACAGACTAAGACATACATATAAATGCGATCATGCAGTATTTGTCTTTTTGTGCTGGCTTATTTCATTTAATATAATGTGCTCTAGTTTCATCTATGTTGTCACAAATGACAGCATTTCCTTCTTTTTTTAAGGCTGAATAGTATTCCATTGTGTGTATATACACATTTTCCTTATCCTTTTATTCACGATAGATTGAGGTTGATTCCGTATCTTGGCTATTGTGATTAATGCTGCAATAAACATGGGAGTGCAGATATTCTCTTTTCAAATATCTCTGACACACTCACTTCAATTCCTTTGGATATATACCCATTAATGGGATTACTGGGTCATATGATAGTTCTATTTTAAATTTTGGGGGGAAACTTCATAGTGTTTTCCATAGCAGCAGTGCTATTTTATACTTTCACCAGCAATTTAAGGGTTCCCTTTCTTCTATATCCTCACCAACATTATTATCTTTCATCTTGTTGATAATAGCTGCTCTAACAGGTGCGAAGTGGTAAGTAGGAAGGTTTTCAAGCTGGCCCTTGTGAGTCATTTTGAGATGACCCCAATAGTATTTGATATTTCCTTGCCTCTCATATAACAAGATATTCCATGTTCTTCGTGTATATTTTGTGTCCAACACCTTGAATCAGCTATTTCTCCTAAAAGTTTTGGTTCTTCTTGCTGGAAAATGTGTCTGGAAACCACAATCTAGGTGCTAGAGGATAGATGTCAATTTGAGGCCGGGTGCGGCGGCTCATATCTGTAATCCTGGCACTTTGGGAGGCCAGGCAAGTGGATCACTTGATGTCAGGAGTTCAGGAGCAGCCTGGCCAACATGGTGAAGCCCTGTTTCTACTAAAAACACACAAAAAAATTAGCCAGATGTGGTGGCACACACCTGTAGTCCCAGTGAGCTGAGATCATGCCACTGCACTCCAGCCTGGGCAACAGAGTAAGACTCTGTCTCCAAAAAAAAAAAAAAAAAAAAAAGTCAATTTGCTTACTTTTGGATGCTGTAAAGAATTTCCTTCAAACTGTAGACAGTCCTAACAGCACTTGATTATTTAGAAATTCATTATCTGGATCTCTTGCTTTTTATAAGTGCTTTTGTATCTGTGCCCTTTCTGAGACTCGGAGTTTAAAAACCATAACCTCTTCTTCACCAGTCCCTGGCCCAAAGTTTGTAACATGCTAGACACTCAGAACATATTCATTGAATGAGAAAAATCAGGCTTTAGATGCTAAAAGAAATGACCAGAAATGAGTTTCAAAAATATGAGAAGAAACGGCAGCATAGTTAGAATAACCTGGTAGCCTCTGAGGACATTATTTTAATAGGGTCTACATTTGCTTGGCTGTTTAAATTCATGTTTACTTAAAAAGAAATTACATTAAAGACCTATGCTATATTTTTGAAAGGGCATTTCTGAGTTGGTTCAAAGGTTGTGGGTTATTGTTAAGTTGACTGACATTGTCTCCTCCAAAAACCACCCTTGACTAGTTCTAAAACAAAAGAGTTTCTGTGAAAAGATACAAGTTTTAATTTTCTATTCAGGTCATCCTCAGAGAATTTCAACCTATGATGATTATCAGAGACAAAAAGGGGCAAAGCAGGTCTAAGATAACAGCAGATAGTGTGGATAAATGTGCCAAGAGTGATGGAAATTCAGCCCCTCCCTGTTGGGCAGGGAGTTGGCAGGGTTGGGGTACATGGCAAGTTAGCCGAGATGAGGCTCCTGGTTGGCTGGGTGGGGAAGTACAGGGATAGAATGCGCCTGTGAAGCTACTGATTGGCCCTGGACAGTTTGCAGCTTTGAGTGGGAGGGGTAGGATCTGAAGAAGAGCAACAGAGATCTTTGGCAGGAATTGGGGTAAGGTGGTGGAGGGGAATCTGGTTCTTGTTAAGAAGCAGAGAAAGGATAGGCAAAAACAAATGGTCTTACTGTCTTTCTCCAGTGCCTCATCTATTATAGCTTTCTGCTGAATTTTGCTCCCACAAACCCCTTCTTTGCTCTTTCTCCAGCTGCTCCCTTAATCATTCTATTCCTCTTTCTGGCTGACAGCCTCTTTCTCTAGTAGCGTTTAATTGACCTTAACTCACAACAGAGGAATAAACTTTTTGCTCACTAATGGCAAAAATCCAACTCTGGCTACTTCCAGCAAAAGACAGGTTAGCGTAAGAAACTTGGTATCAATGAGAATCATGTAGGCAAGCTAAGAGAACGGGCCTTGGAGATTGGCAGGATCCAGGGTAGCTCTAAGGACTAGAAAGTGGGAGCCAAAGGATTGGTTTCCCAGCAGGAACAGTCTGGTCAAGGAGGTCACTGCTAGGGTAAACCTTTTGTGAAAATCTCAGTGACCTCCCTTGGCCAGGTCATGAGAAGAAGGAGCTTATGAAGTAAGAGGCAGACCACTGGATTTCCTCTCCCATGAAGGCTGTACATGATAGAGCGGATGTGTTTGGAAACTGGCAGTGCTATTAGAAAGAGATAGTGAATGCCAAGCAGCCAAAAAAAAAAAAAAAAAGAAAGAAAAAAAAACGTTTTTTTACTCAAAGACATCAACTTATTATCACAATTACTTAGTGATTCAAATCCTGTGATTTCTCTCTTAATTTCTTAAATTTTCAAAGTTAGTGCTCTCGGTGTCTTAAAAACAATTTTTTTTAAATTTTTAAGATTAAAAACTTATGTCCTCGTTTTATTTTCTTCTGATGAGTCAGCGACCTTAAGAATCCAAAGCTCTGCACCCCTGGACTAAGGCCAGGAGTGAAAATCCATTACTAAGATTAGTCAGCCCTGAAAAAAAAACACCCTTTTCCCTCTGGCATTTTCATTACTTCTCTCCACCCCAGTAGAAACAATTAGCCGTTGAAACTAAGTTGTTTTTTTCCTTGCTTTTCAACTTATTATGAAAATTTTCACAATATACAAATGTTGAGAGTATTATATAATGAAACTCCTTGAGCCAGCTTCAACAATTCATCTCTGCCCACACACCCTTACATCCATGCATGCAACCTCACACAATTTTGTTCTCCTTAGTTGGATGATTCTAAAGCCAACCCCAGACATATGATTTTATCCTGCAATATTTTATTATGTTTCTCTAAAATACAAAGACTCTGAAGAACGATAACCATAATATCACTACCAAACCTAATACATTTATTAAAAATTATTTCCTATCCTCAAATATCAAGTCTATGGTCAAGTTTTCCCAATTGTCTCATCTATTTCTGGATCAAATCAGGATCCAAATGTGGTCTGTACATTCTGGCCAAATTTTTAAGGAGATTACAGTAACTGCCCAAACTTTTATAGTCTCAGTTTGAAGTTTGAACACAGCTTTTTCTTTCCATTTTTTTTTTTTGAGATAGCATCTTCCTCTATCACCCAGGCTGGAGTGCAGTTGCGCTGGAGTGCACAGCCTCTGAGTTCAAGTGATTCTCATGTCCCAACGACCTGAGTAGCTGGGATTACAGGCGTACACCACCACGCCCAGCTAATATTTGTATTTTTAGTAGAGAGAGGGTTTCAACATGTTGGTCAGGCTGGTCTTAAACTCCTGACCTCAAGTGATCCAACCACGTCGGCTTCCCAAAGTGCTAAGATTACAGGCTTGAGCCACCTACGCCCACCCTATTTATTTCAATAGCTCTTTGGGGAACAGGTGGTGTTTGGTGACGTGAATATGTTCTTTAGTGGTGATTTCTGAGATTTTGGCACACCCATCACCTGAGCAGTGTACACTGAACACAGTTTTTTCATTTTAGTTTTCTTTGGTTGGTAGTCTAAGCTCATCTCTGTCCTGAAGCTGCCATAGTTGCAAGTATTGAAGTGATTCAGCATCCCTCAGCCCATGTCTTCAGGTTAAATAAGCATATCTTGCAACTTCATTAAGAACAACTATCCAGGCCTTTTTAAAAATGCTATTATTATTTCTTCTCAAAGAATAGAGAAAGTAGCAACTGTTTTCTAAAATGTAGAGTTTATTTACTGTAATATTGTTTATGGTGACTTCAGATTGGAACTAACTCAAAGGTCCACCAAGGAGCTTGGCTAAACAGACTACCCTATGCCCAAACTATACGAAACTATGCCACATTTAAAAATAATGAGGTCACTCTATCCGTAACAACGTGAAAATGCCAAATGCCTCGATATATTGGTGAATAAAAAATTAAATAGTATGAATAATGTGATCTATTTTTGCCTAAAAACAATGTTTCTAGATACACAGAAAGAAATCTCAAAGAATAACCACCAAATCTTGGAGGGAGGATGTAAAATTCTGGAGGAATTACACTTTCTACTTTTTACATTTTTGTATCATTTAAATGCTTTTATTATAAGTGTATATTAGCTTTATAATGTGAAAAAAGATACTTCTATGATGAAATATTATGTAAATTTAAAGTATTATATAAATGATTTTCCTTCTTTCTTCAATCTTTCTCCAATATCAAAAATAATTTGGAATTGACTCTACCACAGATACAATGTTATCAATTGGCAGAATATTTGAAGATACACCTCAATAGTCTTCCTCAATTCACAATATTGAACTATGACTATATGACAGACACAGACGTAAGCTTTATCCCATTTAATCTCCAGAATAAATACCACTGTCTACATTTTACATGTAAGGAAACTGAAGCTTAGAGTGTCAAAGTCACTTGCTTAAGTCACAGCTAGGATTCAAACCTTGGTCTCTTTCATGCCATGGCCCACAACTTCACCCTTTATGCACAGGTGTCCAATTTCTTGGCTTTCCTGGGCCACAACATAAGAATTGCCTTGGGCCACACATAAAATACACAAATACTAATAGTAGCTGATGAGCTAAAACAAAAAAAAAATTGCAAGAAAAGCTCATAATGTCATAATGTTTTAAGAAAGTTTATGAATTTGTCTTGAGCCATATTCAAAGCTGTCCTGGGCCGCCTGCGGCCTGTGGGCCACAGATTAGACAAGTTTGCTCTATAGCATACTGACTCTACCCTACTAAATATAACAAATGTACAAAAAAAGCAATATTCCAAAATCCAAGGCCATAATCCTCTCATATTTCTCTTTAGAGCCACTGTGTAAGGAGTTCCCAAGACCATGCAGGGTCCCATGATTTGTTTGAGGGATTCGGCCCATAGTCATACTCACATCCATGACTTATTGCAGTGAAATGATATAAGGCAGAATCAGCAAAGGAAAAAAGCCACATGGGGCAAAGCAAGGGGGAAACTAGGCATGAGTTTCCAGAGTCCTCTCCCAACAGAGTTACGTGGGATGTGCGTAATTCCCCTGACAACAAGTTGAAAGCACACATGTGAAATATTACCAACCAGGAGAGACTCAGCACTCAGGGATTTTATTGGGGGCTAGTTATGTAGGCATCCTCTGATTGGCACATACCCAAACTTTAAATTTCCAGAAGAAAATCACGTGTTCAGTATAACCACATTGTTTGTTCAAATAGCTTAGGTACTAAGCTATTGTACCTCTAACTGGTACACTCTACCAGTTAATCACAGGAACCCTCCCACAACCTAAGTTCGCAGATGCCAGCCTTATAATCAAGCCTGTCAAAGAATAGCACTTGGGCCTGTTATGCCAACTCTTTTCTGTACAGCCTCCAAACAATTATAAGGAGTCAAGTGCACAATGAAAATATAATTACATCAGCAGCCTCCAGTCTGTTTTCATAGTAAACATGGTGAAGCCACTCAATGTTATTTCTTTTCAGTAAATAACAATTTTCCTCCAGAGCCCTAGTGTCGTCCACTTATAGGCCAGACAGCCCTTTCAAATCTACTTTTCTTGGCCAAAGACATTGTAGTTCTTATCCCTTTCTTCACTTTTCAGAGCATCTTACAAAAAAGTTTAGACACAAAATATCACAAAGAAACAGTTTCCCCATGATGATAGCAGTGCCTATTTGATTGCCCATGCAGAGGAAGACCTTTGATATTTTGTTTCATTTTCAGTAACTGGTTGAAGGTTTTTTAAAAAGATTTGAGTGTAAACTTCTTCATCACTATTATGACCTTCTCTTTGATATCCATTTCCAAGTCAATGACTTGTACTTAGAATGGCAGGTTTCAAAAGAAACGAGCCATGTGCCTGATCACTCAGAAAATACTGTTCCTCGCATGTTAATTTGCCATACTTGAGAAATTCTAGCCTCACTATTAGGGTGATAACTTTTTACCCCATGCTTTTTACATGAAATACAGAACTTTATACAACCAAGCACCCACACCCAAGGTGTGTTTCACAGCGTCAATTTAAGATATGCTATCTGATGAATGTCATAGTATGCTCAGAGTTAAGCAATTTGAGGATTAGCTTATTGCCCAAAGCACTAGACCAACTTGTATAGTCCATAGAATTCTTTCCTTGTTTGCAATTCTATCTCTACTGAAAATGATAAAAACAGAGGAGTCGAAGACTGACTACACTTATGAAATTAAAAAAATTTAAAAACTCAGTTAAGTTCTGGTAATATTTATCCATGTTTTACTTATAAACATAAAGGGCTGTATTTCTTCCTTATGTACACATTTGTTATAGCCATTATGAGTTAGATGTGTGCCTCTTTGGGTTTGGAAATTACTGAAGTTGCACACCTACAATTACAACCTCAGAGACTGACATAATTTCAGATACCACTTCATATTTGAGTAAAAATTAGCAATATGTTTGAGGAGATGAACGTGCTTTGATGTAATCCCCTGACAGGAAAGTTTAACAAATATGTTGGGCAAATTTTTCTCTGTTCTAAAATTTGTTTTAAATTTCTGTGATTGAATAATCCACAAAGATACTCAATTATCTTAAGTACCCATGTAATTTCTACCTGTGAGTAACTGATATGGTTTGGATATTTGTTCCTTCCAAATCTCATGTTGAAATGTGATCCCCAGTGCTGGAGGTGGGGCCCAGTGGAAGGTGTTTGGGTCATGGGGACAGATCCCTCATGAATGGTGTGGTGCCCTGACTGCAGTAATGAATGAGTTCTCATTCTGTTGGTTCACATAAGAGCTGGTTGTTTAAAATAGCATGGCATTCCTCCCTCCCTCTCTTGCTCTCTTTCTCACCATAGGACCTGCCTGCTCCACCATCATCTTCTGCCATGAGTAAAAGCTTCCTGAAGCCTCACCAGAAGCTGAGCAGATAGATGCAGGTGCCATGCTTGAACAGTGTGCAGAGCTGTGAGCTAATTAAACCTTTTTTCTTCATAAATTAGCCAGCCTCGGGTACTCCTTTATAGCAATGCAAAATGAACACTAACTATGAATGAGCATATCAAAAACCTTCTATAAATATGTAGAGAATTTTGTCTACTATTTCTTAATTCATTTTGTGATCACTCACCTGCTGCCTTACCATATCTGTCTATTGCTTACTGACTAATGGTTTATATTCAGCTTTGTTGTTTAATGCTTTAGGCCTTTATCTGCTTTTCATCAAAATTTCCTAAGAACAGTGATTATATTTTGATTCATCTATGTTGAGCCCAGCGTAGAAAAGGTAGCCGGTACTTACTTACCTGTTTTCCTGCTTCATGGAGGAATGCATGGATGAATGAATAAATGGGTTGTGAGCTCCTGAAGAATGTGAACTAACTATATCTTCCACACAGTGGGGACTGGATCAACACTTCTGCCCTGAAGGAAAATATGAATCCTTATCTAAATTCAGAAATGTGGTTATGCCATGTTACTTCTCCACAATCAAAAATTCATAAGCAATCTTCACGTTTTAGAGATGCATGTTAACATTTATGAACAAAAATATTTAATGTTTGAGATTTTCCTCAAAACAGTGGGGGTAGGGAAAATGAAGGAACGAGTACAGGTAGAGCTAAAACAAGGTAGACCATCAGTTGACAAAAGTTGAAGCTTGGTATGTATTTGAAAGTTTTCATAATAAAATTTCATAGTGAACTTCACTCATCTAACCTGTTAATGGATGTTTATGTACCTATTCTAGTATGTTCTTCTCCCTGGAGAAGAGAGGTACTATTTACTGACTACCTACTATTGGAATATTTGTCATGTTTTCTCGCAGCTTTTTAACAACTTTCATATATTTTGGGAATTCCCTACTATTGGAGTCCCTGCCTCTCCAGTACAGAAGTCAGAAACTCACCTATTTAACCTTGTTTGTGAGTGGCATATAGGTATGGGACCTGGACTCTGTTGATCAGAACTATCTAGCTAAGTCATCAAATTAAAAGAGTGACATGAATAAGGAGGTGCTGGTAAGAATTATTTCTCGCCGGATGGAAAGGAAGCATTCAGCCTTCAGAGGCAGCACTTGCTGAGAGCCCAGCAGTTGCATCCCATGTTCAGGCCTGTGTCCAGGCTCTGAAGCCTTCCTTAATATAAATTGGGACATTGTTCCTGCTCCTCCACCTGGCATGGTTGTCCTGCCCTCAAGATTCTACTATTCTTTAACAAATTTCTTAGCGCTTACACTAACTGAAGTAGGTTTGTTTTTTGCTTTTATAACTAAGTACCTTGACTAATATATCTACCTTATACCAAGTATTTGATATTTAGTATCTCATTTAAGCTAGAAAAAATAACTCATTGAGACTTGAAAAGAAAGCAAGGGCTATATTATGAAAAACCTTATTGGCCAAGCTCAGTGGTTTGAAACTTATTTTCCAAACCCAAATAGTCTAGAATGCCTCAGCACACAAAGTAAAATCCTTACCCTGGCCACCAGGGCCATCCCTTGCTCATGTGCCTTCTCCTTTCCCTACCGAGCAGTTTGTGTATGAGCATGCCCAACCCACCAGCTCACCAACCCACAATGTAACAGCTCTCTTCTTGCTGTTATGGAAACAGATCTACAGACCACTGAGGAAAGTCACTGCAACTACCTACGCCAATCACTTTTGTCCTTCATTTTAAACATAAATGAGCCCCTGTGGCAGGCAGAATAATGGTCCCACAAAGATGTCCATGTCCTAATTCTAATCCCTGAAACCTGTGAATATATTATGTTACATAGCAACAGGGAATTACAGTTGTTAATCAGCTGTAATTTCCCTTAAGATAGGGAAATTATTCTGGATTGTCTGGATGGGCCCAATGGAATCACAAGGGTCCATGAAAGTGGAAGAGGAAGAAAAACAGGAGATTGGAATGATGCCATGTGAGATGGATTTGACCCTTCATTGCTGGCTATGATAATAGAGGAAGGGCCGTGATCCAAGGAGTATGGGCAGTCTCTAGACGCTAGAAAGGCAAGGAAATGAATTATTCCCTTAGGATCTCTAGAAAGTAATACAGCCTTGCCAACACCTTGATTT
Source organism: Homo sapiens (assembly GCF_000001405.40). NCBI lineage: Eukaryota > Metazoa > Chordata > Mammalia > Primates > Hominidae > Homo > Homo sapiens. The sequence continues at coordinate 25,200,308 of NC_000006.12, forward strand.
TAGTCCAGTGAGAGACATGTTGGATTTCTTACCTAAAAAATTGTGGGCCAGTAAATGTACATTGTTTTAAATCGCCAAGTTTGTGGTAATTTGTCACAGCAACCACAGAAAACTAATACAGCCCCAAGGACAAAAACCATTAGCATGAGAGAATTAACATGATACATACATTAAATCTTGGAGAATGACTGAAATGAGACTTCTGATCTGTGAGATAATTATATTTAAGTATTACAATTGACTGTTGTTTCTATTTCCTAAAAAAAAAAAAAAAGCTACTGCAGGTCAATAAAGTTATAGTAATGAACATAAAAAAGGAAAGATCTGGCGTTGGCACTCAGCTAGTTGTGAGATCTAAGACTATCAACCTTTCTGAAGCATTGTTTTACCACGTGCAAAGTGAGGTTAATATCTGCCCTGGTTAATGCAGTGTTGATTGAATTAAATGTCTATACAGTAAGTGCTACACAAAAATAAGGTATTTTAAAATTATTATTATTTTTAGCTTATGGCTAAACCAATAGTGGGGAAACCACCTAAGCAATCATAGATTGCTGTTATTTAGTGACTATTCAGGTAACCTCATTATTACATTTCATACCGTACATTCAATAAATATTCTTGACAGGCATTCAATATAATGTTTAAAAGCTTAGGCTATGGATTCAGAAAGACCTGAATTCTGTCTCTGAATGCTGTTAGGTAAATTGCTTTAATTCCTCATCTCTAAAATGTGAATAATAGAATTGTTTTGAGAATTAAAGTGAGATAATGTCAATAAAGGACCTACCTCAGGGCCTAGTACATATCAAAGACTAAACTAAATGGCAGCTATCATTATTAATATATATTAATAATGAATATGACATCAACCACTTTTGACCATTTAAGCAAGTTGTACACACATTCCATTTGATTATCACAGCCTCCCTTCAGAAAGCAGCATGGTAAATTTACACCCATGTTTCAGATAAGAAAAATTATGCACAGAGCTGGGTGCAGTTGCTCATGCTGTAATCCCAGCACTTTGGGAGGCTGAGGCAGGTGGATCACTTGAAGCCAGGAGTTTGGGACCAGGCCAGCCAACATGGCAAAACCCCCTCTCTACTAACAATATGAAAATAAGCTGGGCATGGTGGCCTATGCTACTAGTAATCCCAGCTACTTGGGAGGCTGAGGTGGGAGGATAGCTTGAGCCTAGGAGGCAGAGGCTGCTGTGAGCTGAGATGGCACCACTGCACTCCATCTCACTTTTGAGATGGCAAGACTCTGTCAAAAAAAAAAAAAGAAAAGAAAAATGGTGCACAGAAAGAAAATATACCTTAAGTAAAGTAGAGCAAGAACTAGTTCCACCTGAAAAGACTATGTGGAACTACAATAGCTAGAACAGTCTAGGAAGCAATTTCCTTTTGCACAAATCAATGATGCTAGAAGACTAGCAGGAAATCATGAGAATCTCCAATATATTTTACTCTTAAATAGTATTCAGTAGGAAGACAGTGGGATACTAGAGAAGCAGAATTCAGGTAGATTTAAAAGAGCCAAACTTCATGCCTGTAATCCCAGCACTTTGGGAGGCTGAAGTGGGTGAATCTCTTGAATCCAGGAGTTTGAGACTAGCCTGGGCAACATGGCAAATGGCTGTCTCTACAAAAAATACAAAAATTAGCTGGGAATGGTGGTGTGCACCTGCATTCCCAGCTACTCAGGAGGCTGAGGTGGGAGGATCACTTGAGCCCAGGAGGTCAAGGCTGAAATGAGCCATGAGCACACCACGGCACTCCAGCCTGGGTGATGGAGTGTGACCCTGTCTCATTAAAAAAATAAATAAATAAATAAAGGGCCAGGCATGGTGGTTCACACCTGTAATCCCAGCAGTTTGGGAGGCCGAGGTGGGTGGATCACTTGAGGTCAGGAGTTCGAGAGCAGCCTGGCCAACAAGGTGAAACCCCGTCTCTACTTAAAAAAAAATAGATATATATATATTAGCCAGGCATGGTGGCGTGCGCCTGTAATCCCAGCTACTCAGGAGGCTGAGGCAGGAGAATCACTTGAACCCCGGAGGCAGAGGTTGCAGTGAGCCGAGATTGCGCCACTGCACTCCAGTCTGGGCAACAGAGTGACACCCAGTCTCAAAAAAAAAATAAAAAAAAAAAAAAAAAAAGAAAGAAAGAAAGAAAAAAGTAAAAGAGCCAAACTTAGGAAGTGGAAATATTCTGTTGTTGGCCATTCAAAGGAGGGAGGTGAAAAGAGGAAAAATCACCTGCCAAGTATGTTTAGATTTTAGAGGATACACTATGATAGGATCTACAAGAGGAGTTGGAGACATTACAAAATAAACATCTGTATATATTCCTCATTATCCAACAGAAAAGCATAGAAGAAAAACAAATCTTATGTGTAATCACTTGAAATAAGACATTTGGAATGTTGCTCAGTGGTTCCTATTACCTCATGGGAAAGTTTTCCATGAGTTGTTTGGCTTTTCACCAGCTAAAAATAGTAAAATTCAAATAACAAAAAACATTTTGCAAGGAAAGGGTGAACTACATTGGAAGGATCTTTCTTTTAAAGATGGGATGGAGAAATGGGCTGGTGGTTCAGAACACTGTATATGTCGAGCAGCTACTAAGCATGATACTAATGATTTTTTTTCTTCATCTTTTTTCTCATGTCCTTTTCCCCCTTCTTTATTTCTGTCTTCCTTCTGCTTTTCCTACTTTGTCTTCCTTCCCTCCCTGTCTTCCATTCTTAATGAAACAACTCAGCACTCTGTCAACTATCAGAAATCAGCTCAAGCACAGCCATCTACTTTGAGAAGTCTTTTCAGCACCTGGTATGTAACTCCATTGTACTCTCAGCATACATCATCTTTAACATTTTGTTTCATTCCATAATAAAGTAATATGGCCAGGCACCATGGCTCACACCTGTAATCCCAACACTTTGGGAGGCCAAGGCGGGAGGATCTCTTGAGCCCAGGAGTTTGAAAGCAACCTGGGCAACAAAGTGAGACCCCCATCTCTACAAAAAAGTCAAAAAATTAGCTAGATGTGGTGGCATGTGCCTGTGGTCCCAGCTGCTGGGGAGCCTAAGGTGGGAGGATTACTTGAGCCCAGGAGTTCAAGGCTGCAGTGAACCATAATCGCACCATTGCACTCCAGCCTGAGTGACACAGTGAGACCCTGTCTCAATGAATAAATATATGCGACCTATATGTCCAACAATAGGAAAATAGTTAAATACATTAAAAATACATATTTTGGAGAATATTTAATGTTATGAGGAAGTGTTATGTGAAAAAGCAGAATTTAAACTGTATATATTTGTGCATGTATTTAAAAAGTGAGAGGAATACACATCAAATTGTTCATTGTGATTATTTCTTTAAGAGGATGGATGGGATAGAAAGAAGTAACTTTTATATTTAATTGATTCACTTTTAAATTGGTTGAAGGTCCCCCCTGCTGTAAGTATATATTGCTTTTGGATTCTAAAACAAAACTGCTAGAAAAATAGGTGAAAAAAGTCTTAATATATTAACAAGTCAAGCCTAGCAATATGTTAAAAAGAATACATTGAGAGCAGTTGCAGATTTTCCTAGAGAAGCAAGTTTAGTTTATTGTTTGAAAAAAATGAAATTCACTATATTAACAGAATAAAGGAGATAATAAAAATCATTTTAGTAGGTACAGAAAAGGCCGTTTGGCAAAATTCATTATTATTTTATCGTGAATTTTTATAAAAGTCTCAGTAAGTTTAGAATTGGAAGGAACTTTCTCAATCTGATAAAGAACATTTACAAAATACTTATATTTAACATCATATGAAGTGGTGGAATAAATGTTTTCCCCTAAGATAAAAAGAAAAAGCAAAGATGTCTATTCTCAACACTTCTAATCAACATTGTAGAAAATTCCAAGTAATCAGCAAAACAACTATTAGAATAAATGAGTTTCGCAAAGCTGCAAGATGCAAGGTTAGTATAAAAAGCAATTATGTTTTTATATACTAGAAGCAAATGATTTGAAATAAATTTTATTTTCAATATCAAACAATTAGATGTTTAAAAATAAATTTAACAAAGGATGTGCAAGACCTCTACATTGAAAACTGTAAACATCGCTGAAGGACAATGAAGAAAACTGAAGTAAATGGAGAAATGCATCTGTTCATAGATGGAAGGCTTAATGTTGTTAAGATGTCAATTCTCCTCAAATTTACCTGTAGATTCAATGGCAACCCAAATCATAATCCTGAAAGGCGCTTTCAAAGAAATTGACAAGCTGATTCTAAAATTTACACATAAATGAAAAGGACCCAAAATAGCCAAATACATCTTGTAAAAGAAGAACAAACTTGAAGGGCTGGTACTATCTATCTCTATGATTTACTATAAAGTATGGTAATCAAGACAGTGTGGTACCAGCATAAAAAACAGACAAGTAGATAAATAGAACAGAGCTTAGAAGTAGATTCATATTTATATGGTCCACTAATTTTCAACAACAAAAGTATCAAAGCAATCTTATGCAAAAAGAAGTCTTTTCATCAAATGGTACTGAAACAACTGAAAATCCAAATGGGAAAACAAATGAACCTTGACCTTTACCCCACACCTGCACAAAAGTCAACTCAAAATGGATCACAGGTCTAAACAAAGAATAAAACTATGAAACTTCTGGAAGAATGTATTTATGGCTTGGGAGTAGGCAAAAGTTTCTTGGAAAGGACAAAGAAGGCCATAACCATCAAAAAATTGATAAATTAGACTTTATCCAAATTAAAAGCTGCTCCTAATCAAAATACACCACTAAAAAAAAATAGATAAACTCCAGACCAAGAGAAAATATTCTCAAAACTAAAGTGTGACATAGGACTAATAATTGGAATAGATAAGGAACTCCCACAACTCCGTTTCTTTAAAAGGTTCAAACCACTCAATTAAATAAGGGGCAATATATTTGAACAGATATTTTACAAATGAAAATCTACTAATGGCAAATAAACACATGAAAAAGTATTCAATATCATTAGCCGTCAGAGATTAATTATCAGAGCCCAAAAAACCCACAAATTTAAACTACAATAAGGTACTATTACACACCCATCAGAATGGTTAAAATTGAAGACTTTAACACCAAATGCTGGCAAAAATATAGATCAATAGCAACTCTGATGCATTATGGATAAAAGTGTAAAATACATAGCCACTTTCCAAAAATGTCTGGCAGTTTCTTATAAAATTAAACATATACTGAAACCATAACCCGGCAATTTCACTCCTAGGCATTTATTCAAGAGAAATCAAAGCAGATGTGAACAGGCAGAAGGAAAAAAAAATCAGTGGAAGATAGTACATTCAAAATTTTCAAATCTAAAATAAAAGTGAACAGAGATGAAGGGACTTATGAAGCAGATTAATATATGCATTATGAGAATCCAAGGAGAAGAAAGAGATAGTGAGATTATATGCAGAAATAATGACTAAAAAAAATCCCAAATACAATGAAAGACATTAATATACAAATCCAAGAAACTCAGCTTCCAAAGTGGTCCACTCCAAAACATATTATAATCAAACTGTTAAAGACAGAATTGAGAGAAGAGAGAAGCAACTCATCACATACAAGCAATCTTCAAAAATACTATCAATCAATTCTTCAGCATATACTTTGGAGGACAAAATGCAGTGGGATAAAGTGCTGAAAGAAAATGTCAGCTGAGAATTCTGCATCTGGCAAAACAGTCTTTCAAAATGATGGAAAAGTTAAGACATTCACAGATAACCAGAAACCCAGGAAATTCATTACCACTAGACCTGCCTTATAAAAAATGTTAATGGTAGTCCTTCAGGTAGAAATGCAAGGACACTTACAGTAACTCATACCCATAGGAAGATATGAAGATCTTCAGCAAAAATAAATACATGGACTAATATAAAAGAAAGATCAGCCGGGTGATTACAGCCACTTGTAATCCCAGCTACTCAGGGCACTGAGACAAGAAGATCAGCTTGAGATCAGCTGGGCAACATAGCAAGACAGTGTGGTACCAGCATAAAAAAAGACTCATGCACGCGTGCACACACACACACACACACACACACATATACATGAGAGAGGTTTATATATATAATATAATATATATATATTTTATATATATATAAAATATATATATTTTATATATATATATAATATATATATTTTATATATAATATATATAATATATATTTTATATATATAATATATATAATATATATTTTATATATATATAATATATATATTTTATATTATATATAATATATATTTTTTATATTATATATATATAATATATTTTATATATATATATAATATATGAAAGGTAATAAAAGAAAAGCAACAAAATTACAAAAGCAGCAATAAAAATTTTGCAAACTGGGTCTCTCACTGCAGCCAGAGCTCCAGGTCTCCTCTTCACTGCTCTGTGTCCTCTGCTCCTAGAGGTGCAGCTTCTGTGGCCCTGTGACCTGCAGGTATTGGGAGATCCACAGCTAAGATGTCAGGACCCCCCTGAAAGCCTAGAAATGTGTACATTTTTGATTCCATGTTTTAATTAATCATTTTTTGACAACACATTGGATGGCATATTTAAAAAGATGTGTTTAGGGAGGGGCCAAGATAGCCAAATAGAAATAACTCCAGTCTGCAGCTCCCAGTGAGACCAATGCAGAAGGTAGGTGCATTTCCAACTGAGGGACCCAGTTCATTTCACTGGGACTGGTTAGGTATTGGGTGCAACCCACAGACAGCAAGCAGAAGCAAGCTGAAGTGTCACTTCACCCGGAAAGTGCCAGAAGCCAGGGGACCTCCCTCCCGAAGCCAAGGGAAGCCGTGAGGGACCGTGCTACCAAGACTGGGTAGTGCACTTTTCCCATGGTTTTTGCAACCCACAGATCAGGAGGCTCCCTCGTGTGCCTACACCACCAGGGCACTGGGTTTCAAGCCCAAAATTGGGTGGCTGTTTGGGCAGACACCATGCTAACTGCAGGAGTTTTTTTCATACCCCAGTGGTGCCAGGAACCCAAGCAAGATAGAATCATTCACTCCCCTGGAAAGGCAGCTGAAGCCAGGGAGCCAAGTGGTCTGGCTCAGCAGGTCCCACTCTAAAGGAGCCCAGCAAGCTAAGAACCACTGGCTTGAAATTCTTACAGCCAGCACAGCAGTCTGAAGTTGACCTGCGACAATCAAGCTTGGTAGGGGGAGGGGCATCTGCTATTATGAGGCTTTAGTTTTCCCCTGACACTGCTAAGGAGGCTGGGAGGTATGGACTGGGCAGAATTCACCACAGCACAGCACAGTGGATGTGGCCAGACTGCTTCCCTAGATTCCTCCTCACTGGGCAGGGCATCTCTGAAGGAAAAGCAGCAGCCCCAGTCAGGGGATTACAGATAAAACTCTTATCTCCCTGGGACAGAGCACCTGTGGGAGGGGCAGCTGTGGGGCAGCTTCAACGAATTTAATTTTTCCTGCCTGCTGACTCTGAAGAGAGCAGCTGATCCTGACAAGGGGGATTCTCCCAGCACAGTGCACCAGCTCTGCAAAGGGACAGCCTGCCTCCTCAGGTGGGTCCCTGACCCCCGTGCCTCCTGACTGAGAGAGACCTCCCAGCAGGGGTCGACAGACACCTCATGCAGGAGAGCTCTGGCTGGCATCAGGCCAGTGCCCCTCTGGGACAAAGCTTCCAGAGGAAGGAGCAGGCAGCAATCTTTGCTGTTCTGCAGCCTCCACTGGTGATACCCAGGAAAACAGGGTCTGGAGTGGACCTCCAGCAAACGGCAGCAGACTTACAGAGGAGGGGCCTGTTAGAAGAAAAACTAATGCACAGAAAGCAACAACATCAACATCAACATCAACAAAAAAGAACCCCACACAGAAACCCAATCCAAAGGTCATCATCCCCAAAGATCGAAGGTAAATAAATCCACAAAGATGAGGAAAAACCAGCACAAAAATGCTGAAAATTCTAAAAACCAGAATGCCTCTTCTCCAAATGATCACAACTCCTTTCCAGCAAGGACACAAAACTGGATAGAGAATGAGATTGATGAATTGACAGAAGTAGGCTTCAGAAGGTGGGTAATAAACTCCTCTGAGCTAAAGGAGTATGTTCTAACCCAATGCAAGGAAGCTAAGAACCTTGATAAAAGATTACAGGAACTGCTAACTAGAATAACCAGTCTAAAGAAGAACATAAATTGACCTGATGGAGCTGAAAAACACAGCATGAGAACTGTGTGAAGCATTCACAAGTATCAATAGCCAAATCCAACAAGCGGAAGAAAGGGTATCAGAGACTGAAGATCTCCTTACTAAAATAAGGCGTAAAGACAAGATTAGAAAAAAAAATAAGGAATGAAAAGGAACAAACAAAGCCTCCAAGAAATATGGTACTATGTGGAAAAGACCAAACCTATGATTGACTGGTGTACCTGAAAGTGACGGGGAGAATGGAACCAAGTTGGAAAACACACTTCAGGATATTATCCAGGAGAACTTCCCCAACCTAGCAAGACAGGCCAACATTCAAATTCAGGAAATACAGAGAACACCACTAAGATACTCCTCAAGAAGAGCAACCCCAAGACACATAATTGCAGATACTCCAAGGTTGAAACAAAAGAAAAAATGTTAAGGGCAGCCAGAGAGAAAGGTCAAGTTACCTACAAAGGGAAGCTCATTAGACTAACAGTTGATCTCTCTGTAGAAACCCTACAAACCAGAAGAGGGTAGAGGCCAATATTCAACATTCTGAAAGAATTTTCAATCCAGAATTTCATATCCAGTCAAATTAAGCTTCATAAGTGAAGGAGAAATAAAATCCTTTCCAGACAAGCAAATGCTGAGGTATTTTGTCACCACCAGAAGAGCTCCTGAAGGAAGCACTAAATATGGAAAGGAAAAACCAGTACCAGCCACTGCAAAAACACACCAAAATGTAAAGACCAATGACACTATGAAGAAATTGCATCAACTAATGTGCAAAATAACCAGCTAGCATCATGATGACAGGATCAGATTTACCCATAACAATATTAACCTTAAATGTAAATGGGCTAAATGCCCTAATTAAAAGACACAGACTGGCAATTGGATAAGGAGTTAAGACCTATTGGTGTGCTGCATTCAGGAGACCCATCTCACGTGCAAAGACACGTATAGGTTCAAAATAAAGGGATAGAGGAATATTTACCAAGCAAATGGAAGGCAAATAAATGACAGGGGTTGCAATCCTAGTCTCTGATAAAACAGACTTTAAACCAACAAAGATCAAAAAGGACAATGAAGGGCATTACACAATGGTAAAGGGATCAATGCAACAAGAAGAGCTAACTGTCCTAAATATATATGCACCCAATACAGGAGCACCCAGATTCATAAACCAAGTTCTTAGAGACCTGTAAAGAGACTTAGACTCCCACACAATAATGGTGGGAAACTTTAACACTCCACTGTCAATATTAGATGGCTCAACAAGACAGAAAATTAACAAGGATATTCAGGACTTGAACTCAGCTCTGGACCAAGTGGACCTAACAGACATCTACAGAACTCTCCACCCCAACAAAATATATATTCTTCTCAGTACCAAATGGCACTTATTCTAAAATTGATGACATAATTGGAAGTAAAACACTCCTCAGCAAATGCAAAAGAATGGAAATCATAACAGTCTCTCAGACCACAGTGCCGTCAAATTAGAACTTAGGATTAAAAAACTCACTCAAAACCACACAACCACATGGAAACTGAACAACTTGCTGTTGAATGACTACTGGGTAAATAACGAAATGAAGGCAGAAATAACAAAGTTCTTTAAAACCAATGAGAACAAAGAGACAACGTACCAGAATCACTGGGACACAGCTAAAGCAGTGTTAAGAGGGAAATTTATAGTACTAAATGCCCACATCAGAAAGCAGGAAAGATCTAAAATTGACACCTAACATCATAATTAAAAGAACTAGAGAAGCAAGAGCAAACAAATTCAAAAGCTAGCAGGAGACAAGAAATAACTAAGATCAGAACAGAACTGAGAGAGATAGAGACATAAAAAACCCTTAAAAAAATCATTGAATCCAAGAGCTGTTTTTTTTTTTTTTGAGAAGATTAACAAAATAGATGGACTGCTAGCTAGACTAATAAAGGAGAAAAGACAGAATCAAATAGACACAATAAAAAATGATAAAGGGGATATCACCACTGATCCCACAGAAATACAAACTACTATCAGAGAATACTATTAACTATAAACACCTCTACACAAATAAACCAGAAAATCTAGAAGAAATAGATAAATTCCTGGACACACACACCCTCCCAAGACTAAACAAGGAAGAAGTTGAATCCCTGAATAGATCAATAACAAGTTCTGAAATTGAGGCAGTAATGAATACCCTCCCAAACAAAGCCCAGGACCAGACGGATTCACAGCCGAATTCTACCAGAGGTACAAAGAGGAGCTGGTACAATTCCTTCTGAAACTATCCCAAACAATAGAAAAAGAAGGACTCCTCCCTTACTCATTTTATAAGGCCAGCATCATCCTGATACCATCACCTGGAAGACATACAACAAAAAAAGAAAATTATAGGCCAATATCCCTGATGAACATTGACGTGAATATCCTCAATAAAATACTGGCAAACCTAATCCAGCAGCCATCAAAAAGCTTATCCACCATGATCAAGTCGGCTTCATCCCTGGGACACAAGGCTGGTTCAACATGCACAAATCAATAAACATAATCCATTGCATAAACACAACCAATGACAAAACCACATGATTATCTCAATAGATACAGCAAATGGCTTTGATAAAATTCAACATCCCTTCATGCTAAAAACTCTCAATAAACTGGGTATTGATGGAACATCTCAAAATAATAAGAGCTATTTATGATAAGTCTGTAGCCAATATCATACTGAATGGGCAAAAGCTGAAGCATTCCCTCTGAAAACTGGTACAAGACAAGGACGCCCTCTCTCACCACTCCTATTCAACATAGTATTGGAAGTTCTGGCCAGGGCAATCAGGCAAGAGAGAGAAATAAAGTGTATTCAAATAGGAAGAGAGGAAGTAAAATTGTCTCTGTTTGCAGATGACATGATTGTGTATTTAGAAAACTCCATCGTCTCAGCCCAAAATCTCCTTAAGCTGATAAGCAACT